>NC_000018.10:19954518-20257978 GCF_000001405.40 Homo sapiens
TTCAGATCAAATCTAGACTGAAGCATTCTCAGAAACTTCTTTGGGATGTTTGCATTCAAGTCACAGAGTAGAACATTCCCTTTGGTAGAGCAGGTTTGAAACACTCTTTTTTTAGTATATGGAAGTGGACATTTGGAGCGCTTTCAGGCCTACGTTGGAAAAGGAAATATCTTCCCATAACAATTAGACAGAAGCATTCTCAGAAACTAGTTTCTGATGTGTGTCCTCAACTAACACAGTTGAACATTTCTTTAGACAGAACAGTTTTGAAACACTCTTTTTGTGGAATCTGCAAGTGGCTATTTGGCTAGATTTGAGGATTTCGTTGGAAACGGGATTACATATAAAAAGCAGTCAGCAGCATTCTCAGAAAGTTCTTTGTGATGATTGCATTCAAGTCACAGAATTGAACATTCCCTTTCACAGAGCAGGTTTGAAACACTCTTTTTGTAGTGTGTGTAAGTGGACATTTGGAGCGCTTTCCGGCCTAAGGTGAAAAAGGACATATCTTCCCATAAAAACTAGACAGAAGCATTCTCAGAAACTTACTCGTGATGTGTGTCCTCAACTAAAGGAGTAGAACCTTTCTTTTCATAGAGAAGTTTTGAAACGCTCTTTTTGTGGAATCTGCAAGTGGATATTTGGCTAGTTTTGAGGATTTCGTTGGAAGCGGGAATTCATACAAATTGCAGACTGCAGCGTTCTGAGAAACTGCTTTCTGATGTTTGCATTCAAGTCAAAAGTTGAACACTCCCTTTCATAGAGCAGTCCTGAAACACTCCTTTTGTAGTATCTGGAACTGGACTTTTGGAGCGCTTTCAGGGCTAAGGTGAAAAAGGAAATATCTTCCCATAAAAACTGGACAGAAGCATTCTCAGAAACTTGTTTATGCTGTATCTACTCAACTAACAAAGTTGAACCTTTCTTTTGATAGAGCAGTTTTGAAATGCTCTTTTTGTGGAATCTGCAAGTGGATATTTGGCTAGTTTTGAGGATTTCGTTGGAAGCGGGAATTCATACAAATTGCAGACTGCAGCGTTCTGAGAAACATCTTTGTGATGTTTGTATTCAGGACAGAGAGTTGAACATTCCCTATCATAGAGCAGGTTGGAATCACTCCTTTTGTAGTATCTGGAAGTGGACATTTGGAGCGCTTTCTGGTCTATGTTGAAAAAGGAAATATCTTCCCATAACAACTAGACACAAGCATTCTCAGAAACTTGTTTGTGATGTGTGCCCTCTACTGACAGAGTTGAACCTTTCTTTTCATAGAGCAGTTTTGAAACACTCTTTTTGTAGAATCTGCAAGAGGATATTTGCATAGCTTTGAGGATTTCGTGGGAAACGGGATTGTCTTCAGGTAAAATCTAGACAGAAGCATTCTCAGAAACTTCTTTGGGATGTTTGCATTCAAGTCACAGAGTAGAACATTCCCTTTGGTAGAGCAGGTTTGAAACACTCTTTTTGTAGTATCTGGAAGTGGACATTTGGAGCGCTTTCAGGCCTATGTTGGAAAGGGAAATATCTTCCCGTAACAACTAGGCAGAAGCATTCTCAGAAACTTATTTGAGATGTGTGTACTCAACTAAGAGAATTGAACCACCGTTTTGAAGGAGCAGTTTTGAAACACTCTTTTTCTGGAATCTGCAAGAGTATATTTGCCTAGCCTTGAGAATTTCGTTGGAAACGGGATTGTCTTCAGATAAAATCTAGACAGAAGCATTCTCAGAAACTTCTTTGGGATGTTTGCATTCAAGTCACAGAGTAGAACATTCCCTTTGGTAGAGCAGGTTTGAAACACTCTTTTTTTAGTATATGGAAGTGGACATTTGGAGCGCTTTCAGGCCTACGTTGGAAAAGGAAATATCTTCCCATAACAACTAGACAGAAGCATTCTCAGAAACTAGTTTCTGATGTGTGTCCTCAACTAACACAGTTGAACATTTCTTTAGACAGAACAGTTTTGAAACTCTCTTTTTGTGGAATCTGCAAGTGGCTATTTGGCTAGATTTGAGGATTTCGTTGGAAACGGGATTACATATAAAAAGCAGACAGCAGCATTCTCAGAACGTTCTTTGTGATGATTGCATTCAAGTCACAGAATTGAACATTCCCTTTCACAGAGCAGGTTTGAAACACTCTTTTTGTAGTGTGTGTAAGTGGACATTTGGAGCACTTTCCGGCCTAAGGTGAAAAAGGAAATATCTTCCCATAAAAACTAGACAGAAGCATTCTCAGAAACTTACTCGTGATGTGTGTCCTCAACTAAAGGAGTAGAACCTTTCTTTTCATAGAGAAGTTTTGAAACGCTCTTTTTGTGGAATCTGCAAGTGGATATTTGGCTAGTTTGGAGGATTTCGTTGGAAGCGGGAATTCATACAAATTGCAGACTGCAGCGTTCTGAGAAACATCTTTGTGATGTTTGTATTCAGGACACAGAGTTGAACATTCCCTATCATAGAGCAGGTTTGAATCACTCCTTTTGTAGTATCTGGAAGTGGACATTTGGAGCGCTTTCAGGCCTATGTTGGAAAAGGAAATATCTTCCCATAACAACTAGACAGAAGCATTCTCAGAAACTTATTTGAGATGTGTGTACTCAACTAAGAGAATTGAACCACCGTTTTGAAGGAGCAGTTTTGAAACTCTCTTTTTCTGGAATCTGCAAGTGGATATTTGGCTAGCTTTGGGGATTTCGCTGGAAGCGGGAATACATATAAAAAGCACACAGCAGCGTTCTGAGAAACTGCTTTCTGATGTTTGCATTCAAGTCAAAAGTTGAACACTCCCTTTCATAGAGCAGTCCTGAAACACTCCTTTTGTAGTATCTGGAACTGGACTTTTGGAGCGCTTTCAGGGCTAAGGTGAAAAAGGAAATATCTTCCCATAAAAACTGGACAGAAGCATTCTCAGAAACTTGTTTATGCTGTATCTACTCAACTAACAAAGTTGAACCTTTCTTTTGATAGAGCAGTTTTGAAATGGTCTTTTTGTGGAATCTGCAAGTGGATATTTGGCTAGTTTTGAGGATTTCGTTGGAAGCGGGAATTCATACAAATTGCAGACTGCAGCGTTCTGAGAAACATCTTTCTGATGTTTGTATTCAGGACACAGAGTTGAACATTCCCTATCATAGAGCAGGTTGGAATCACTCCTTTTGTAGTATCTGGAAGTGGACATTTGGAGCGCTTTCAGGCCTATTTTGGAAAGGGAAATATCTTCCCGTAACAACTATGCAGAAGCATTCTCAGAAACTTGTTTGTGATGTGTGCCCTCTACTGACAGAGTTGAACCTTTCTTTTCATAGAGCAGTTTTGAAACACTCTTTTTGTAGAATCTGCAAGAGGATATTTGCATAGCTTTGAGGATTTCGTGGGAAACGGGATTGTCTTCAGGTAAAATCTAGACAGAAGCATTCTCAGAAACTTCTTTGGGATGTTTGCATTCAAGTCACAGAGTAGAACATTCCCTTTGGTAGAGCAGGTTTGAAACACTCTTTTTGTAGTATCTGGAAGTGGACATTTGGAGCGCTTTCAGGCCCATGTTGGAAAGGGAAATATCTTCCCGTAACAACTAGGCAGAAGCATTCTCAGAAACTTATTTGAGATGTGTGGACTCAACTAAGAGAATTGAACCACAGTTTTGAAGGAGCAGTTTTGAAACACTCTTTTTCTGGAATCTGCAAGAGTATATTTGCCTAGCCTTGAGGATTTCGTTGGAAACGGGATTGTCTTCAGATAAAATCTAGACAGAAGCATTCTCAGAAACTTCTTTGGGATGTTTGCATTCAAGTCACAGAGTAGAACATTCCCTTTGGTAGAGCAGGTTTGAAACACTCTTTTTTTAGTATATGGAAGTGGACATTTGGAGCGCTTTCAGGCCTATGTTGGAAAAGGAAATATCTTCCCATAACAACTAGACAGAAGCATTCTCAGAAACTAGTTTCTGATGTGTGTCCTCAACTAACACAGTTGAACTTTTCTTTAGACAGAACAG
The DNA here is from genome assembly GCF_000001405.40 of Homo sapiens. Classification (NCBI taxonomy): domain Eukaryota; kingdom Metazoa; phylum Chordata; class Mammalia; order Primates; family Hominidae; genus Homo; species Homo sapiens. The sequence goes on from NC_000018.10 coordinate 19,958,515, forward strand.
TTTTGAAACACTCTTTTTGTGGAATCTGCAAGTGGATATTGGGCTAGATTTGAGGATTTCGTTGGAAACGGGATTACATATAAAAAGCAGACAGCAGCATTCTCAGAAAGTTCTTTGTGATGATTGCATTCAAGTCACAGAATTGAACATTCCCTTTCACAGAGCAGGTTTGAAACACTCTTTTTGTAGTGTGTGTAAGTGGACATTTGGAGCGCTTTCCGGCCTAAGGTGAAAAAAGAAATATCTTCCCATAAAAACTAGACAGAAGCATTCTCAGAAACTTACTCGTGATGTGTGTCCTCAACTAAAGGAGTAGAACCTTTCTTTTCATAGAGAAGTTTTGAAACGCTCTTTTTGTGGAATCTGCAAGTGGATATTTGGCTAGTTTTGAGGATTTCGTTGGAAGCGGGAATTCATACAAATTGCAGACTGCAGCGTTCTGAGAAACATCTTTGTGATGTTTGTATTCAGGACACAGAGTTGAACATTCCCTATCATAGAGCAGGTTTGAATCACTCCTTTTGTAGTATCTGGAAGTGGACATTTGGAGCGCTTTCAGGCCTATGTTGGAAAAGGAAATATCTTCCCATAACAACTAGACAGAAGCATTCTCAGAAACTTATTTGAGATGTGTGTACTCAACTAAGAGAATTGAACCACCGTTTTGAAGGAGCAGTTTTGAAACACTCTTTTTCTGGAATCTGCAAGTGGATATTTGGCTAGCTTTGGGGATTTCGCTGGAAGCGGGAATACATATAAAAAGCACACAGCAGCGTTCTGAGCAAACTGCTTTCTGATGTTTGCATTCAAGTCAAAAGTTGAACACTCCCTTTCATAGAGCAGTCTTGAAACACCCCTTTTGTAGTATCTGGAACTGGACTTTTGGAGCGATTTCAGGGCTAAGGTGAAAAAGGAAATATCTTCCCATAAAAACTGGACAGAAGCATTCTCAGAAACTTGTTTATGCTGTATCTACTCAACTAACAAAGTTGAACCTTTCTTTTGATAGAGCAGTTTTGAAATGCTCTTTTTGTGGAATCTGCAAGTGGATATTTGGCTAGTTTTGAGGATTTCGTTGGAAGCGGGAATTCATACAAATTGCAGACTGCAGCGTTCTGAGAAACATCTTTGTGATGTTTGTATTCAAGACACAGAGATGAACATTCCCTATCATAGACCATGTTGGAATCAGTCCTTTTGTAGTATCTGGAAGTGGACATTTGGAGCGCTTTCAGGCCTATGTTGAAAAAGGAAATATCTTCCCATAACAACTAGACACAAGCATTCTCAGAAACTTGTTTGTGATGTGTGCCCTCTACTGACAGAGTTGAACCTTTCTTTTCATAGAGCAGTTTTGAAACACTCTTTTTGTAGAATCCGCAAGAGGATATTTGCATAACTTTGAGGATTTCGTGGGAAACGGGATTGTCTTCAGGTAAAATCTAGACAGAAGCATTCTCAGAAACTTCTTTGGGATGTTTGCATTCAAGTCACAGAGTAGAACATTCCCTTTGGTAGAGCAGGTTTGAAACACTCTTTTTGTAGTATCTGGAAGTGGACATTTGGAGCGCTTTCAGGCCCATGTTGGAAAGGGAAATATCTTCCCGTAACAACTAGGCAGAAGCATTCTCAGAAACTTATTTGTGATGTGTGTACTCAACTAAGAGAATTGAACCACCGTTTTGAAGGAGCAGTTTTGAAACCCTCTTTTTCTGGAATCTGCAAGAGTATATTTGCCTAGCCTTGAGGATTTCGTTGGAAACGGGATTGTCTTCAGATAAAATCTAGACAGAAGCATTCTCAGAAACTTCTTTGGGATGTTTGCATTCAAGTCACAGAGTAGAACATTCCCTTTGGTAGAGCAGGTTTGAAACACTCTTTTTTTAGTATATGGAAGTGGACATTTGGAGCGCTTTCAGGCCTACGTTGGAAAAGGAAATATCTTCCCATAACAACTAGACAGAAGCATTCTCAGAAACTAGTTTCTGATGTGTGTCCTCAACTAACACAGTTGTACATTTCTTTAGACAGAACAGTTTTGAAACACTCTTTTTGTGGAATCTGCAAGTGGATATTGGGCTAGATTTGAGGATTTCGTTGGAAACGGGATTACATATAAAAAGCAGACAGCGGCATTCTCAGAAAGTTCTTTGTGATGATTGCATTCAAGTCACAGAATTGAACATTCCCTTTCACAGAGCAGGTTTGAAACACTCTTTTTGTAGTGTGTGTAAGTGGACATTTGGAGCACTTACCGGCCTAAGGTGAAAAAGGAAATAATCTTCCCATAAAAACTAGACAGAAGCATTCTCAGAAACTTACTCGTGATGTGTGTCCTCAACTAAAGGAGTAGAACCTTTCTTTTCATAGAGAAGTTTTGAAACGCTCTTTTTGTGGAATCTGCAAGTGGATATTTGGCTAGTTTGGAGGATTTCGTTGGAAGCGGGAATTCATACAAATTGCAGACTGCAGCGTTCTGAGAAACATCTTTGTGATGTTTGTATTCAGGACACAGAGATGAACATTCCCTATCATAGAGCAGGTTGGAATCACTCCTTTTGTAGTATCTGGAAGTGGACATTTGGAGCGCTTTCAGGCCTATGTTGAAAAAGGAAATATTTTCCCATAACAACTAGACACAAGCATTCTCAGAAACTTATTTGAGATGTGTGTACTCAACTAAGAGAATTGAACCACCGTTTTGAAGGAGCAGTTTTGAAACACTCTTTTTCTGGAATCTGCAAGTGGATATTTGGCTAGCTTTGGGGATTTCGCTGGAAGCGGGAATACATATAAAAAGCACACAGCAGCGTTCTGAGAAACTGCTTTCTGATGTTTGCATTCAAGTCAAAAGTTGAACACTCCCTTTCATAGAGCAGTCTTGAAACACCCCTTTTGTAGTATCTGGAACTGGACTTTTGGAGCGATTTCAGGGCTAAGGTGAAAAAGGAAATATCTTCCCATAAAAACTGGACAGAAGCATTCTCAGAAACTTGTTTATGCTGTATCTACTCAACTAACAAAGTTGAACCTTTCTTTTGATAGAGCAGTTTTGAAATGGTCTTTTTGTGGAATCTGCAAGTGGATATTTGGCTAGTTTTGAGGATTTCGTTGGAAGCGGGAATTCATACAAATTGCAGACTGCAGCGTTCTGAGAAACATCTTTGTGATGTTTGTATTCAGGACAGAGAGTTGAACATTCCCTATCATAGAGCAGGTTGGAATCACTCCTTTTGTAGTATCTGGAAGTGGACATTTGGAGCGCTTTCTGGCCTATGTTGAAAAAGGAAATATCTTCCCATAACAACTAGACACAAGCATTCTCAGAAACTTGTTTGTGATGTGTGCCCTCTACTGACAGAGTTGAACCTTTCTTTTCATAGAGCAGTTTTGAAACACTCTTTTTGTAGAATCTGCAAGAGGATTTTTGCATAGCTTTGAGGATTTCGTGGGAAACGGGATTGTCTTCAGGTAAAATCTAGACAGAAGCATTCTCAGAAACTTCTTTGGGATGTTTGCATTCAAGTCACAGAGTAGAACATTCCCTTTGGTAGAGCAGGTTTGAAACACTCTTTTTGTAGTATCTGGAAGTGGACATTTGGAGCGCTTTCAGGCCCATGTTGGAAAGGGAAATATCTTCCCGTAACAACTAGGCAGAAGCATTCTCAGAAACTTATTTGAGATGTGTGTACTCAACTAAGAGAATTGAACCACCGTTTTGAAGGAGCAGTTTTGAAACACTCTTTTTCTGGAATCTGCAAGAGTATATTTGCCTAGCCTTGAGGATTTCGTTGGAAACGGGATTGTCTTCAGAGAAAATCTAGACAGAAGCATTCTCAGAAACTTCTTTGGGATGTTTGCATTCAAGTCACAGAGTAGAACATTCCCTTTGGTAGAGCAGGTTTGAAACACTCTTTTTTTAGTATATGGAAGTGGACATTTGGAGCGCTTTCAGGCCTACGTTGGAAAAGGAAATATCTTCCCATAACAACTAGACAGAAGCATTCTCAGAAACTAGTTTCTGATGTGTGTCCTCAACTAACACAGTTGAACTTTTCTTTAGACAGAACAGTTTTGAAACACTCTTTTTGTGGAATCTGCAAGTGGATATTGGGCTACATTTGAGGATTTCGTTGGAAACGGGATTACATATAAAAAACAGTCAGCAGCATTCTCAGAAAGTTCTTTGTGATGATTGCATTCAAGTCACAGAATTGAACATTCCCTTTCACAGAGCAGGTTTGAAACACTCTTTTTGTAGTGTGTGTAAGTGGACATTTGGAGTGCTTTCCGGCCTAAGGTGAAAAAGGACATATCTTCCCATAAAAACTAGACAGAAGCATTCTCAGAAACTTACTCGTGATGTGTGTCCTCAACTAAAGGAGTAGAACCTTTCTATTCATAGAGAAGTTTTGAAACGCTCTTTTTGTGGAATCTCCAAGTGGATATTTGGTTAGTTTTGAGGATTTCGTTGGAAGCGGGAATTCATACAAATTGCAGACTGCAGCGTTCTGAGAAACATCTTTGTGATGTTTGTATTCAAGACACAGAGATGAACATTCCCTATCATAGAGCAGGTTGGAATCACTCCTTTTGTAGTATCTGGAAGTGGACATTTGGAGCGCTTTCAGGCCTATGTTGAAAAAGGAAATATCTTCCCATAACAACTAGACACAAGCATTCTCAGAAACTTATTTGAGATGTGTGTACTCAACTAAGAGAATTGAACCACCGTTTTGAAGGAGCAGTTTTGAAACACTCTTTTTCTGGAATCTGCAAGTGGATATCTGGCTAGCTTTGGGGATTTCGCTGGAAGCGGGAATACATATAAAAAGCACACAGCAGCGTTCTGAGAAACTGCTTTCTGATGTTTGCATTCAAGTCAAAAGTTGAACACTCCCTTTCATAGGGCAGTCCTGAAACACCCCTTTTGTAGTATCTGGAACTGGACTTTTGGAGCGATTTCAGGGCTAAGGTGAAAAAGGAAATATCTTCCCATAAAAACTGGACAGAAGCATTCTCAGAAACTTGGTTATGCTGTATCTACTCAACTAACAAAGTTGAACCTTTCTTTTGATAGAGCAGTTTTGAAATGGTCTTTTTGTGGAATCTGCAAGTGGATATTTGGCTAGTTTTGAGGATTTCGTTGGAAGCGGGAATTCATACAAATTGCAGACTGCAGCGTTCTGAGAAACATCTTTGTGATGTTTGTATTCAGGACAGAGAGTTGAACATTCCCTATCTTAGAGCAGGTTGGAATCACTCCTTTTGTAGTATCTGGAAGTGGACATTTGGAGCGCTTTCAGGCCTATGTTGAAAAAGGAAATATCTTCCCATAACAACTAGACACAAGCATTCTCAGAAACTTGTTTGTGATGTGTGCCCTCTACTGACAGAGTTGAACCTTTCTTTTCATAGAGCAGTTTTGAAACACTCTTTTTGTAGAATCTGCAAGAGGATATTTGCATAGCTTTGAGGATTTCGTGGGAAACGGGATTGTCTTCAGGTAAAATCTAGACAGAAGCATTCTCAGAAACTTCTTTGGGATGTTTGCATTCAAGTCACAGAGTAGAACATTCCCTTTGGTAGAGCAGGTTTGAAACACTCTTTTTGTAGTATCTGGAAGTGGACATTTGGAGCGCTTTCAGGCCTATGTTGGAAAGGGAAATATCTTCCCGTAACAACTAGGCAGAAGCATTCTCAGAAACTTATTTGAGATGTGTGTACTCAACTAAGAGAATTGAACCACCGTTTTGAAGGAGCAGTTTTGAAACACTCTTTTTCTGGAATCTGCAAGAGTATATTTGCCTAGCCTTGAGGATTTCGTTGGAAACGGGATTGTCTTCAGATCAAATCTAGACAGAAGCATTCTCAGAAACTTCTTTGGGATGTTTGCATTCAAGTCACAGAGTAGAACATTCCCTTTGGTAGAGCAGGTTTGAAACACTCTTTTTTTAGTATATGGAAGTGGACATTTGGAGCGCTTTCAGGCCTACGTTGGAAAAGGAAATATCTTCCGATAACAACTAGACAGAAGCATTCTCAGAAACTAGTTTCTGATGTGTGTCTTCAACTAACACAGTTGAACTTTTCTTTAGACAGAACAGTTTTGAAACACTCTTTTTGTGGAATCTGCAAGTGGATATTTGGCTAGATTTGAGGATTTCGTTGGAAACGGGATTACATATAAAAAGCAGACAGCAGCATTCTCAGAAAGTTCTTTGTGATGATTGCATTCAAGTCACAGAATTGAACATTCCCTTTCACAGAGCAGGTTTGAAACACTCTTTTTGTAGTGTGTGTAAGTGGACATTTGGAGCGCTTTCCGGCCTAAGGTGAAAAAGGACATATCTTCCCATAAAAACTAGACAGAAGCATTCTCAGAAACTTACTCGTGATGTGTGTCCTCAACTAAAGGAGTAGAACCTTTCTATTCATAGAGAAGTTTTGAAACGCTCTTTTTGTGGAATCTCCAAGTGGATATTTGGCTAGTTTTGAGGATTTCGTTGGAAGCGGGAATTCATCCAAATTGCAGACTGCAGCGTTCTGAGAAACATCTTTGTGATGTTTGTATTCAGGACACAGAGATGAACATTCCCTATCATAGAGCAGGTTGGAATCACTCCTTTTGTAGTATCTGGAAGTGGACATTTGTAGCGCTTTCAGGCCTATGTTGAAAAAGGAAATATTTTCCCATAACAACTAGACACAAGCATTCTCAGAAACTTATTTGAGATGTGTGTACTCAACTAAGAGAATTGAACCACCGTTTTGAAGGAGCAGTTTTGAAACACTCTTTTTCTGGAATCTGCAAGTGGATATTTGGCTAGCTTTGGGGATTTCGCTGGAAGCGGGAATACATATAAAAAGCACACAGCAGCGTTCTGAGAAACTGCTTTCTGATGTTTGCATTCAAGTCAAAAGTTGAACACTCCCTTTCATAGAGCAGTCTTGAAACACCCCTTTTGTAGTATCTGGAACTGGACTTTTGGAGCGATTTCAGGGCTAAGGTGAAAAAGGAAATATCTTCCCATAAAAACTGGACAGAAGCATTCTCAGAAACTTGGTTATGCTGTATCTACTCAACTAACAAAGTTGAACCTTTCTTTTGATAGAGCAGTTTTGAAATGGTCTTTTTGTGGAATCTGCAAGTGGATATTTGGCTAGTTTTGAGGATTTCGTTGGAAGCGGGAATTCATACAAATTGCAGACTGCAGCGTTCTGAGAAACATCTTTGTGATGTTTGTATTCAGGACACAGAGTTGAACATTCCCTATCATAGAGCAGGTTGGGATCACTCCTTTTGTAGTATCTGGAAGTGGACATTTGGAGCGCTTTCAGGCCTATGTTGAAAAAGGAAAAATCTTCCCATAACAACTAGACAGAAGCATTCTCAGAAACTTTTTGGTGATGTGTTTCCTCTACTGACAGAGTTGAACCTTTCTTTTCATAGAGCAGTTTCGAAACACTCTTTTTGTAGAATCTGCAAGAGGATATTTGCATAGCTCTGAGGATTTCGTGGGAAACGGGATTGTCTTCAGGTAAAATCTAGACAGAAGCATTCTCAGAAACTTCTTCGGGATGTTTGCATTCAAGTCACAGAGTAGAACATTCCCTTTGGTAGAGCAGGTTTGAAACACTCTTTTTGTCGTATCTGGAAGTGGACATTTGTTGCGCTTTCAGGCCTATGTTGGAAAGGGAAATATCTTCCCGTAACAACTAGGCAGAAGCATTCTCAGAAACTTATTTGAGATGTGTGTACTCAACTAAGAGAATTGAACCACCGTTTTGAAGGAGCAGTTTTGAAACACTCTTTTTCTGGAATCTGCAAGAGTATATTTGCCTAGCCTTGAGGATTTCGTTGGAAACGGGATTGTCTTCAGAGAAAATCTAGACAGAAGCATTCTCAGAAACTTCTTTGGGATGTTTGCATTCAAGTCACAGAGTAGAACATTCCCTTTGGTAGAGCAGGTTTGAAACACTCTTTTTTTAGTATATGGAAGTGGACATTTGGAGCGCTTTCAGGCCTACGTTGGAAAAGGAAATATCTTCCCATAACAATTAGACAGAAGCATTCTCAGAAACTAGTTTCTGATGTGTGTCCTCAACTAACACAGTTGTACATTTCTTTATACAGAACAGTTTTGAAACACTCTTTTTGTGGAATCTGCAAGTGGATATTGGGCTAGATTTGAGGATTTCGTTGGAAACGGGATTACATATAAAAAGCAGACAGCAAGCATTCTCACAAAGTTCTTTGTGATGATTGCATTCAAGTCACAGAATTGAACATTCCCTTTCACAGAGCAGGTTTGAAACACTCTTTTTGTAGTGTGTGTAAGTGGACATTTGGAGCACTTTCCGGCCTAAGGTGAAAAAGGAAATATCTTCCCATAAAAACTAGACAGAAGCATTCTCAGAAACTTACTCGTGATGTGTGTCCTCAACTAAAGGAGTAGAACATTTCTATTCATAGAGAAGTTTTGAAACGCTCTTTTTGTGGAATCTCCAAGTGGATATTTGGCTAGTTTTGAGGATTTCGTTGGAAGCGGGAATTCATACAAATTGCAGACTGCAGCGTTCTGAGAAACATCTTTGTGATGTTTGTATTCAGGACACAGAGTTGAACATTCCCTATCATAGAGCAGGTTGGAATCACTCCTTTTGTAGTATCTGGAAGTGGACATTTGGAGCGCTTTCAGGCCTATGTTGGAAAAGGAAATATCTTCCCATAACAACTAGACAGAAGCATTCCCAGAAACTTATTTGAGATGTGTGTACTCAACTAAGAGAATTGAACCACCGTTTTGAAGGAGCAGTTTGGAAACACTCTTTTTCTGGAATCTGCAAGTGGATATTTGGCTAGCTTTGGGGATTTCGCTGGAAGCGGGAATACATATAAAAAGCACACAGCAGCGTTCTGAGAAACTGCTTTCTGATGTTTGCATTCAAGTCAAAAGTTGAACACTCCCTTTCATAGAGCAGTCCTGAAACACTCCTTTTGTAGTATCTGGAACTGGACTTTTGGAGCGCTTTCAGGGCTAAGGTGAAAAAGGAAATATCTTCCCATAAAAACTGGACAGAAGCATTCTCAGAAACTTGTTTATGCTGTATCTGCTCAACTAACAAAGTTGAACCTTTCTTTTGATAGAGCAGTTTTGAAATGCTCTTTTTGTGGAATCTGCAAGTGGATATTTGGCTAGTTTTGAGGATTTCGTTGGAAGCGGGAATTCATACAAATTGCAGACTGCAGCGTTATGAGAAACATCTTTGTGATGTTTGTATTCAGGACACAGAGTTGAACATTCCCTATCATAGAGCAGGTTGGAATCACTCCTTTTGTAGTATCTGGAAGTGGACATTTGGAGCGCTTTCAGGCCTATTTTGGACAGGGAAATATCTTCCCATAACAACTATGCAGAAGCATTCTCAGCAAACTTGTTTGTGATGTGTGCCCTCTACTGACAGAGTTGAACCTTTCTTTTCATAGAGCAGTTTTGAAACACTCTTTTTGTAGAATCTGCAAGAGGATATTTGCATAGCTTTGAGGATTTCGTGGGAAACGGGATTGTCTTCAGGTAAAATCTAGACAGAAGCATTCTCAGAAACTTCTTTGGGATGTTTGCATTCAAGTCACAGAGTAGAACATTCCCTTTGGTAGAGCAGGTTTGAAACACTCTTTTTGTAGTATCTGGAAGTGGACATTTGGAGCGCTTTCAGGCCTATGTTGGAAAGGGAAATATCTTCCCGTAACAACTAGGCAGAAGCATTCTCAGAAACTTATTTGAGATGTGTGTACTCAACTAAGAGAATTGAACCACCGTTTTGAAGGTGCAGTTTTGAAACACTCTTTTTCTGGAATCTGCAAGAGTATATTTGCCTAGCCTTGAGGATTTCGTTGGAAACGGGATTGTCTTCAGATAAAATCTAGACAGAAGCATTCTCAGAAACTTCTTTGGGATGTTTGCATTCAAGTCACAGAGTAGAACATTCCCTTTGGTAGAGCAGGTTTGAAACACTCTTTTTTTAGTATATGGAAGAGGACATTTGGAGCGCTTTCAGGCCTACGTTGGAAAAGGAAATATCTTCCCATAACAACTAGACAGAAGCATTCTCATTGAACTAGTTTCTGATGTGTGTCCTCAACTAACACAGTTGAACTTTTCTTTAGACAGAACAGTTTTGAAACACTCTTTTTGTGGAATCTGCAAGTGGATATTTGGCTAGATTTGAGGATTTCGTTGGAAACGGGATTACATATAAAAAGCAGACAGCAGCATTCTCAGAAAGTTCTTTGTGATGATTGCATTCAAGTCACAGAATTGAACATTCCCTTTCACAGAGCAGGTTTGAAACACTCTTTTTGTAGTGTGTGTAAATGGACATTTGGAGCGCTTTCCGGCCTAAGGTGAAAAAGGAAATATCTTCCCATAAAAACTAGACAGAAGCATTCTCAGAAACTTACTCGTGATGTGTGTCCTCAACTAAAGGAGTAGAACCTTTCTATTCGTAGAGAAGTTTTGAAATGCTCTTTTTGTGGAATCTCCAAGTGGATATTTGGCTAGTTTTGAGGATTTCGTTGGAAGCGGGAATTCATACAAATTGCAGACTGCAGCATTCTCAGAAACTTATTTGAGATGTGTGTACTCAACTAAGTAGAATTGAACCACCGTTTTGAAGGAGCAGTTTTGAAACTCTCTTTTTCTGGAATCTGCAAGTGGATATTTGGCTAGCTTTGGGGATTTCGCTGGAAGCGGGAATACATATAAAAAGCACACAGCAGCATTCTCAGAAACTTATTTGAGATGTGTGTACTCAACTAAGAGAATTGAACCACCGTTTTGAAGGAGCAGTTTTGAAACACTCTTTTTCTGGAATCTGCAAGTGGATATTTGGCTAGCTTTGGGGATTTCGCTGGAAGCGGGAATACATATAAAAAGCACACAGCAGCGTTCTGAGAAACTGCTTTCTGATGTTTGCATTCAAGTCAAAAGTTGAACACTCCCTTTCATAGAGCAGTCCTGAAACACCCCTTTTGTAGTATCTGGAACTGGACTTTTGGAGCGATTTCAGGGCTAAGGTGAAAAAGGAAATATCTTCCCATAAAAACTGGACAGAAGCATTCTCAGAAACTTGTTTATGCTGTATCTACTCAACTAACAAAGTTGAACCTTTCTTTTGATAGAGCAGTTTTGAAATGCTCTTTTTGTGGAATCTGCAAGTGGATATTTGGCTAGTTTTGAGGATTTCGCTGGAAGCGGGAATTCATACAAATTGCAGACTGCAGCGTTCTGAGAAACATCTTTGTGATGTTTGTATTCAGGACACAGAGTTGAACATTCCCTATCATAGAGCAGGTTGGAATCACTCCTTTTGTAGTATCTGGAAGTGGACATTTGGAGCGCTTTCAGGCCTATTTTGGAAAGGGAAATATCTTCCCGTAACAACTATGCAGAAGCATTCTCAGAAACTTGTTTGTGATGTGTGCCCTCTACTGACAGAGTTGAACCTTTCTTTTCATAGAGCAGTTTTGAAACACTCTTTTTGTAGAATCTGCAAGAGGATATTTGCATAGCTTTGAGGATTTCGTGGGAAACGGGATTGTCTTCAGGTAAAATCTAGACAGAAGCATTCTCAGAAACTTCTTTGGGATGTTTGCATTCAAGTCACAGAGTAGAACATTCCCTTTGGTAGAGCAGGTTTGAAACACTCTTTTTGTAGTATCTGGAAGTGGACATTTGGAGCGCTTTCAGGCCCATGTTGGAAAGGGAAATATCTTCCCGTAACAACTAGGCAGAAGCATTCTCAGAAACTTATTTGAGATGTGTGTACTCAACTAAGAGAATTGAACCACCGTTTTGAAGGTGCAGTTTTGAAACACTCTTTTTCTGGAATCTGCAAGAGTATATTTGCCTAGCCTTGAGGATTTCGTTGGAAACGGGATTGTCTTCAGATAAAATCTAGACAGAAGCATTCTCAGAAACTTCTTTGGGATGTTTGCATTCAAGTCACAGAGTAGAACATTCCCTTTGGTAGAGCAGGTTTGAAACACTCTTTTTTTAGTATATGGAAGTGGACATTTGGAGCGCTTTCAGGCCTACGTTGGAAAAGGAAATATCTTCCCATAACAACTAGACAGAAGCCTTCTCAGAAACTAGTTTCTGATGTGTGTCCTCAACTAACAGAGTTGAACCTTTCTTTTGGCAGAACAGTTTTGAAACACTCTTTTTGAGGAATCTGCAAGTGGATATTTGGCTAGATTTGAGGATTTCGTTGGAAACGGGATTACATATAAAAAGCAGACAGCAGCATTCTCAGAAACTTCTTTGTGGTGATTGCATTCAAGTCACAGAACTGAACATTCCCTTTCACAGAGCAGGTTTGAAACACTCTTTTGTAGTGTCTGTAAGTGGACATTTGGAGCGCTTTCCGGCCTCAGGTGAAAAAGGAAATATCTTCCCATAAAAACTAGACAGAAGCATTCTCAGAAACTTACTCGTGATGTGTGTCCTCAACTAAAGGAGTAGAACCTTTCTTTTCATAGAGAAGTTTTGAAACGCTCTTTTTGTGGAATCTGCAAGTGGATATTTTGCTAGTTTTGAGGATTTCGTTGGAAGCGGGAATTCATACAAATTGCAGACTGCAGCGTTCTGAGAAACATCTTTGTGATGTTTGTATTCAGGACACAGAGTTGAACATTCCCTATTATAGAGCAGGTTTGAATCACTCCTTTTGTAGTATCTGGAAGTGGACATTTGGAGCGCTTTCAGGCCTATGTTGGAAAAGGAAATATCTTCCCATAACAACTAGACAGAAGCATTCTCAGAAACTTATTTGAGATGTGTGTACTCAACTAAGAGAATTGAACCACCGTTTTGAAGGAGCAGTTTTGAAACACTCTTTTTCTGGAATCTGCAAGTGGATATTTGGCTAGCTTTGGGGATTTCGCTGGAAGCGGGAATACATATAAAAAGCACACAGCAGCGTTCTGAGAAACTGCTTTCTGATGTTTGCATTCAAGTCAAAAGTTGAACACTCCCTTTCATAGTGCAGTCCTGAAACACTCCTTTTGTAGTATCTGGAACTGGACTTTTGGAGCGCTTTCAGGGCTAAGGTGAAAAAGGAAATATCTTCCCATAAAAACTGGACAGAAGCATTCTCAGAAACTTGTTTATGCTGTATCTACTCAACTAACAAAGTTGAACCTTTCTTTTGATAGAGCAGTTTTGAAATGGTCTTTTTGTGGAATCTGCAAGTGGATATTTGGCTAGTTTTGAGGATTTCGTTGGAAGCGGGAATTCATACAAATTGCAGACTGCAGCGTTCTGAGAAACATCTTTGTGATGTTTGTATTCAGGACACAGAGTTGAACATTCCCTATCATAGAGCAGGTTGGAATCACTCCTTTTGTAGTATCTGGAAGTGGACATTTGGAGCGCTTTCAGGCCTATTTTGGAAAGGGAAATATCTTCCCGTAACAACTATGCAGAAGCATTCTCAGAAACTTGTTTGTGATGTGTGCCCTCTACTGACAGAGTTGAACCTTTCTTTTCATAGAGCAGTTTTGAAACACTCTTTTTGTAGAACCTGCAAGACGATATTTGCATAGCTTTGAGGATTTCGTGGGAAACCGGATTGTCTTCAGGTAAAATCTAGACAGAAGCATTCTCAGAAACTTCTTTGGGATGTTTGCATTCAAGTCACAGAGTAGAACATTCCCTTTGGTAGAGCAGGTTTGAAACACTCTTTTTGTAGTATCTGGAAGTGGACATTTGGAGCGCTTTCAGGCCCATGTTGGAAAGGGAAATATCTTCCCGTAACAACTAGGCAGAAGCATTCTCAGAAACTTATTTGAGATGTGTGTACTCAACTAAGAGAATTGAACCACCGTTTTGAAGGAGCAGTTTTGAAACACTCTTTTTCTGGAATCTGCAAGAGTATATTTGCCTAGCCTTGAGGATTTCGTTGGAAACGGGATTGTCTTCAGATCAAATCTAGACAGAAGCATTCTCAGAAACTTCTTTGGGATGTTTGCATTCAAGTCACAGAGTAGAACATTCCCTTTGGTAGAGCAGGTTTGAAACACTCTTTTTTTAGTATATGGAAGTGGACATTTGGAGCGCTTTCAGGCCTACGTTGGAAAAGGAAATATCTTCCCATAACAACTAGACAGAAGCATTCTCAGAAACTAGTTTCTGATGTGTGTCCTCAACTAACACAGTTGTACATTTCTTTAGACAGAACAGTTTTGAAACACTCTTTTTGTGGAATCTGCAAGTGGATATTGGGCTAGATTTGAGGATTTCGTTGGAAACGGGATTACATATAAAAAGCAGTCAGCAGCATTCTCAGAAAGTTCTTTGTGATGATTGCATTCAAGTCACAGAATTGAACATTCCCTTTCACAGAGCAGGTTTGAAACATTCTTTTTGTAGTGTGTGTAAGTGGACATTTGGAGAGCTTTCCGGCCTAAGGTGAAAAAGGACATATCTTCCCATAAAAACTAGACAGAAGCATTCTCAGAAACTTACTCGTGATGTGTGACCTCAACTAAAGGAGTAGCACCTTTCTATTCGTAGAGAAGTTTTGAAACGCTCTTTTTGTGGAATCTCCAAGTGGATATTTGGCTAGTGTTGAGGATTTCGTTGGAAGCGGGAATTCATACAAATTGCAGACTGCAGCGTTCTGAGAAACATCTTTGTGATGTTTGTATTCAGGACACAGAGATGAACATTCCCTATCATAGAGCAGGTTGGAATCACTCCTTTTGTAGTATCTGGAAGTGGACATTTGGAGCGCTTTCAGGCCTATGTTGAAAAAGGAAATATCTTCCCATAACAACTAGACACAAGCATTCTCAGAAACTTGTTTGTGATGTGTGCCCTCTACTGACAGAGTTGAACCTTTCTTTTCATAGAGCAGTTTTGAAACACTCTTTTTGTAGAATCCGCAAGAGGATATTTGCATAGCTTTGAGGATTTCGTGGGAAACGGGATTGTCTTCAGGTAAAATCTAGACAGAAGCATTCTCAGAAACTTCTTTGGGATGTTTACATTCAAGTCACAGAGTAGAACATTCCCTTTGGTAGAGCAGGTTTGAAACCCTCTTTTTGTAGTATCTGGAAGTGGACATTTGGAGCGCTTTCTGGCCCATGTTGCAAAGGGAAATATCTTCCCGTAACAACTAGGCAGAAGCATTCTCAGAAACTTATTTGAGATGTGTGTACTCAACTAAGAGAATTGAACCACCGTTTTGAAGGAGCAGTTTTGAAACACTCTTTTTCTGGAATCTGCAAGAGGATATTTGCCTAGCCTTGAGGATTTCGTTGGAAACGGGATTGTCTTCAGATCAAATCTAGACAGAAGCATTCTCAGAAACTTCTTTGGGATGTTTGCATTCAAGTCACAGAGTAGAACATTCCTTTGGTAGAGCAGGTTTGAAACACTCTTTTTTTAGTATATGGAAGTGGACATTTGGAGCGCTTTCAGGCCTACGTTGGAAAAGGAAATATCTTCCCATAACAACTAGACAGAAGCATTCTCAGAAACTAGTTTCTGATGTGTGTCCTCAACTAACACAGTTGAACATTTCTTTAGACAGAACAGTTTTGAAACACTCTTTTTGTGGAATCTGCAAGTGGCTATTTGGCTAGATTTGAGGATTTCGTTGGAAACGGGATTACATATAAAAAGCAGTCAGCAGCATTCTCAGAAAGTTCTTTGTGATGATTGCATTCAAGTCACAGAATTGAACATTCCCTTTCACAGAGCAGGTTTGAAACACTCTTTTTGTAGTGTGTGTAAGTGGACATTTGGAGCACTTACCGGCCTAAGGTGAAAAAGGAAATATCTTCCCATAAAAACTAGACAGAAGCATTCTCAGAAACTTACTCGTGATGTGTGTCCTCAACTAAAGTAGTAGAACCTTTCTTTTCATAGAGAAGTTTTGAAACGCTCTTTTTGTGGAATCTGCAAGTGGATATTTGGCTAGTTTTGAGGATTTCGTTGGAAGCGGGAATTCATACAAATTGCAGACTGCAGCGTTCTGAGAAACATCTTTGTGATGTTTGTATTCAGGACACAGAGTTGAACATTCCCTATCATAGAGCAGGTTTGAATCACTCCTTTTGTAGTATCTGGAAGTGGACATTTGGAGCGCTTTCAGGCCTATGTTGGAAAAGGAAATATCTTCCCATAACAACTAGACAGAAGCATTCTCAGAAACTTATTTGAGATGTGTGTACTCAACTAAGAGAATTGAACCACCGTTTTGAAGGAGCA
Source organism: Homo sapiens (assembly GCF_000001405.40). Taxonomy (NCBI): domain Eukaryota; kingdom Metazoa; phylum Chordata; class Mammalia; order Primates; family Hominidae; genus Homo; species Homo sapiens. The sequence continues at coordinate 19,974,795 of NC_000018.10, forward strand.
GTTTTGAAACTCTCTTTTTCTGGAATCTGCAAGTGGATATTTGGCTAGCTTTGGGGATTTCGCTGGAAGCGGGAATACATATAAAAAGCACACAGCAGCGTTCTGAGAAACTGCTTTCTGATGTTTGCATTCAAGTCAAAAGTTGAACACTCCCTTTCATAGAGCAGTCTTGAAACACCCCTTTTGTAGTATCTGGAACTGGACTTTTGGAGCGATTTCAGGGCTAAGGTGAAAAAGGAAATATCTTCCCATAAAAACTGGACAGAAGCATTCTCAGAAACTTGTTTATGCTGTATCTACTCAACTAACAAAGTTGAACCTTTCTTTTGATAGAGCAGTTTTGAAATGCTCTTTTTGTGGAATCTGCAAGTGGATATTTGGCTAGTTTTGAGGATTTCGTTGGAAGCGGGAATTCATACAAATTGCAGACTGCAGCGTTCTGAGAAACATCTTTGTGATGTTTGTATTCAGGACACAGAGTTGAACATTCCCTATCATAGAGCAGGTTTGAATCACTCCTTTTGTAGTATCTGGAAGTGGACATTTGGAGCGCTTTCAGGCCTATGTTGGAAAAGGAAATATCTTCCCATAACAACTAGACAGAAGCATTCTCAGAAACTTATTTGAGATGTGTGTACTCAACTAAGAGAATTGAACCACCGTTTTGAAGGAGCAGTTTTGAAACACTCTTTTTCTGGAATCTGCAAGTGGATATTTGGCTAGCTTTGGGGATTTCGCTGGAAGCGGGAATACATATAAAAAGCACACAGCAGCGTTCTGAGAAACTGCATTCTGATGTTTGCATTCAAGTCAAAAGTTGAACACTCCCTTTCATAGAGCAGTCCTGAAACACTCCTTTTGTAGTATCTGGAACTGGACTTTTGGAGCGCTTTCAGGGCTAAGGTGAAAAAGGAAATATCTTCCCATAAAAACTGGACAGAAGCATTCTCAGAAACTTGTTTATGCTGTATCTACTCAACTAACAAAGTTGAACCTTTCTTTTGATAGAGCAGTTTTGAAATGGTCTTTTTGTGGAATCTGCAAGTGGATATTTGGCTAGTTTTGAGGATTTCGTTGGAAGCGGGAATTCATACAAATTGCAGACTGCAGCGTTCTGAGAAACATCTTTGTGATGTTTGTATTCAGGACACAGAGTTGAACATTCCCTATCATAGAGCAGGTTGGAATCACTCCTTTTGTAGTATCTGGAAGTGGACATTTGGAGCGCTTTCAGGCCTATTTTGGAAAGGGAAATATCTTCCCGTAACAACTATGCAGAAGCATTCTCAGAAACTTGTTTGTGATGTGTGCCCTCTACTGACAGAGTTGAACCTTTCTTTTCATAGAGCAGTTTTGAAACACTCTTTTTGTAGAATCTGCAAGAGGATATTTGCATAGCTTTGAGGATTTCGTGGGAAACGGGATTGTCTTCAGGTAAAATCTAGACAGAAGCATTCTCAGAAACTTCTTTGGGATGTTTGCATTCAAGTCACAGAGTAGAACATTCCCTTTGGTAGAGCAGGTTTGAAACCCTCTTTTTGTAGTATCTGGAAGTGGACATTTGGAGCGCTTTCAGGCCCATGTTGGAAAGGGAAATATCTTCCCGTAACAACTAGGCAGAAGCATTCTCAGAAACTTATTTGAGATGTGTGTACTCAACTAAGAGAATTGAATCACCGTTTTGAAGGAGCAGTTTTGAAACACTCTTTTTCTGGAATCTGCAAGAGGATATTTGCCTAGCCTTGAGGATTTCGTTGGAAACGGGATTGTCTTCAGATCAAATCTAGACAGAAGCATTCTCAGAAACTTCTTTGGGATGTTTGCATTCAAGTCACAGAGTAGAACATTCCCTTTGGTAGAGCAGGTTTGAAACACTCTTTTTTTAGTATATGGAAGTGGACATTTGGAGCGCTTTCAGGCCTACGTTGGAAAAGGAAATATCTTCCCATAACAAGTAGACAGAAGCATTCTCAGAAACTAGTTTCTGATGTGTGTCCTCAACTAACACAGTTGAACATTTCTTTAGACAGAACAGTTTTGAAACACTCTTTTTGTGGAATCTGCAAGTGGATATTTGGCTAGATTTGAGGATTTCGTTGGAAACGGGATTACATATAAAAAGCAGACAGCAGCATTCTCAGAAAGTTCTTTGTGATGATTGCATTCAAGTCACAGAATTGAACATTCCCTTTCACAGAGCAGGTTTGAAACACTCTTTTTGTAGTGTGTGTAAGTGGACATTTGGAGCGCTTTCCGGCCTAAGGTGAAAAAGGAAATATCTTCCCATAAAAACTAGACAGAAGCATTCTCAGAAACTTACTCGTGATGTGTGTCCTCAACTAAAGGAGTAGAACCTTTCTTTTCATAGAGAAGTTTTGAAACGCTCTTTTTGTGGAATCTGCAAGTGGATATTTGGCTAGTTTGGAGGATTTCGTTGGAAGCGGGAATTCATACAAATTGCAGACTGCAGCATTCTCAGAAACTTGTTTATGCTGTATCTACTCAACTAACAAAGTTGAACCTTTCTTTTGATAGAGCAGTTTTGAAATGCTCTTTTTGTGGAATCTGCAAGTGGATATTTGGCTAGTTTTGAGGATTTCGTTGGAAGCGGGAATTCATACAAATTGCAGACTGCAGCGTTCTGAGAAACATCTTTGTGATGTTTGTATTCAGGACACAGAGTTGAACATTCCCTATCATAGAGCAGGTTGGAATCACTCCTTTTGTAGTATCTGGAAGTGGACATTTGGAGCGCTTTCAGGCCTATTTTGGAAAGGGAAATATCTTCCCGTAACAACTATGCAGAAGCATTCTCAGAAACTTATTTGAGATGTGTGTACTCAACTAAGAGAATTGAACCACCGTTTTGAAGGAGCAGTTTTGAAACACTCTTTTTCTGGAATCTGCAAGAGTATATTTGCCTAGCCTTGAGGATTTCGTTGGAAACGGGATTGTTTTCAGATCAAATCTAGACAGAAGCATTCTCAGAAACTTCTTTGGGATGTTTGCATTCAAGTCACAGAGTAGAACATTCCCTTTGGTAGAGCAGGTTTGAAACACTCTTTTTGTAGTGTGTGTAAGTGGACATTTGGAGCGCTTTCAGGCCTACGTTGGAAAAGGAAATATCTTCCCATAACAACTAGACAGAAGCATTCTCAGAAACTAGTTTCTGATGTGTGTCCTCAACTAACACAGTTGAACATTTCTTTAGACAGAACAGTTTTGAAACACTCTTTTTGTGGAATCTGCAAGTGGATATTTGCCTAGATTTGAGGATTTCGTTGGAAACGGGATTACATATAAAAAGCAGACAGCAGCATTCTCAGAAAGTTCTTTGTGATGATTGCATTCAAGTCACAGAATTGAACATTCCCTTTCACAGAGCAGGTTTGAACACTCTTTTTATAGTGTGTGTAAGTGGACATTTGGAGCACTTTCCGGCCTAAGGTGAAAAAGGAAATATCTTCCCATAAAAACTAGACAGAAGCATTCTCAGAAACTTACTCGTGATGTGTGTCCTCAACTAAAGGAGTAGAACCTTTCTTTTCATAGAGAAGTTTTGAAACGCTCTTTTTGTGGAATCTGCAAGTGGATATTTGGCTAGTTTTGAGGATTTCGTTGGAAGCGGGAATTCATACAAATTGCAGACTGCAGCGTTCTGAGAAACTGCTTTCTGATGTTTGCATTCAAGTCAAAAGTTGAACACTCCCTTTCATAGAGCAGTCCTGAAACACTCCTTTTGTAGTATCTGGAACTGGACTTTTGGAGCGCTTTCAGGGCTAAGGTGAAAAAGGAAATATCTTCCCATAAAAACTGGACAGAAGCATTCTCAGAAACTTGTTTATGCTGTATCTACTCAACTAACAAAGTTGAACCTTTCTTTTGATAGAGCAGTTTTGAAATGCTCTTTTTGTGGAATCTGCAAGTGGATATTTGGCTAGTTTTGAGGATTTCGGTTGGAAGCGGGAATTCATACAAATTGCAGACTGCAGCGTTCTGAGAAACATCTTTGTGATGTTTGTATTCAGGACAGAGAGTTGAACATTCCCTATCATAGAGCAGGTTGGAATCACTCCTTTTGTAGTATCTGGAAGTGGACATTTGGAGCGCTTTCAGGCCTATGTTGAAAAAGGAAATATCTTCCCATAACAACTAGACACAAGCATTCTCAGAAACTTGTTTGTGATGTGTGCCCTCTACTGACAGAGTTGAACCTTTCTTTTCATAGAGCAGTTTTGAAACACTCTTTTTGTAGAATCTGCAAGAGGATATTTGCATAGCTTTGAGGATTTCGTGGGAAACAGGATTGTCTTCAGGTAAAATCTAGACAGAAGCATTCTCAGAAACTTCTTTGGGATGTTTGCATTCAAGTCACAGAGTAGAACATTCCCTTTGGTAGAGCAGGTTTGAAACCCTCTTTTTGTAGTATCTGGAAGTGGACATTTGGAGCGCTTTCAGGCCCATGTTGGAAAGGGAAATATCTTCCCGTAACAACTAGGCCGAAGCATTGTCAGAAACTTATTTGAGATGTGTGTACTCAACTAAGAGAATTGAACCACCGTTTTGAAGGAGCAGTTTTCAAACACTCTTTTTCTGGAATCTGCAAGAGTATATTTGCCTAGCCTTGAGGATTTCGTTGGAAACGGGATTGTCTTCACATAAAATCTAGACAGAAGCATTCTCAGAAACTTCTTTGGGATGTTTCTATGCAAGTCACAGAGTAGAACATTCTCTTTGGAAGAGCAGGTTTGAAACACTCTTTTTTTAGTATATGGAAGTGGACATTTGGAGCGCTTTCAGGCCTATGTTGGAAAAGGAAATATCTTCCCATAACAACTAGACAGAAACATTGTCAGAAACTAGTTTCTGATGTGTGTCCTCAACTAACACAGTTGAACATTTCTTTAGACAGAACAGTTTTGAAACACTCTTTTTGTGGAATCTGCAAGTGGATATTTGGCTAGATTTGAGGATTTCGTTGGAAACGGGATTACATATAAAAAGCAGACAGCAGCATTCTCAGAAACTTCTTTGTGATGATTGCATTCAAGTCACAGAATTGAACATTCCCTTTCACAGAGCAGGTTTGAAACACTCTTTTTGTAGTGTGTGTAAGTGTACATTTGGAGCGCTTTTCGGCCTAAGGTGAACAAGGAAATATCTTCCCATAAAAACTAGACAGAAGCATTCTCAGAAACTTACTCGTGATGTGTGTCCTCAACTAAAGGAGTAGAACCTTTCTTTTCATAGAGAAGTTTTGAAACGCTCTTTTTGTGGACTCTGCAAGTGGATATTTGGCTAGTTTGGAGGATTTCGTTGGAAGCGGGAATTCATACAAATTGCAGACTGCAGCGTTCTGAGAAACTGCTTTCTGATGTTTGCATTCAAGTCAAAAGTTGAACACTCCCTTTCATAGAGCAGTCTTGAAACACCCCTTTTGTAGTATCTGGAACTGGACTTTTGGAGCGATTTCAGGGCTAAGGTGAAAAAGGAAATATCTTCCCATAAAAACTGGACAGAAGCATTCTCAGAAACTTGTTTATGCTGTATCTACTCAACTAACAAAGTTGAACCTTTCTTTTGATAGAGCAGTTTTGAAATGGTCTTTTTGTGGAATCTGCAAGTGGATATTTGGCTAGTTTTTAGGATTTCGTTGGAAGCGGGAATTCATACAAATTGCAGACTGCAGCGTTCTGAGAAACATCTTTGTGATGTTTGTATTCAGGACAGAGAGTTGAACATTCCCTATCATAGAGCAGGTTGGAATCACTCCTTTTGTAGTATCTGGAAGTGGACATTTGGAGCGCTTTCAGGCCTATGTTGAAAAAGGAAATATCTTCCCATAACAACTAGACACAAGCATTCTCAGAAACTTGTTTGTGATGTGTGCCCTCTACTGACAGAGTTGAACCTTTCTTTTCATAGAGCAGTTTTGAAACACTCTTTTTGTAGAATCTGCAAGACGATATTTGCATAGCTTTGAGGATTTCGTGCGAAACGGGATTGTCTTCAGGTAAAATCTAGACAGAAGCATTCTCAGAAACTTCTTTGGGATGTTTGCATTCAAGTCACAGAGTAGAACATTCCCTTTGGTAGAGCAGGTTTGAAACACTCTTTTTGTAGTATCTGGAAGTGGACATTTGGAGCGCTTTCAGGCCCATGTTGGAAAGGGAAATATCTTCCCGTAACAACTAGGCAGAAGCATTCTCAGAAACTTATTTGAGATGTGTGTACTCAACTAAGAGAATTGAACCACCGTTTTGAAGGAGCAGTTTTGAAACACTCTTTTTCTGGAATCTGCAAGAGTATATTTGCCTGGCCTTGAGGATTTCGTTGGAAACGGGATTGTCTTCAGATAAAATCTAGACAGAAGCATTCTCAGAAACTTCTTTGGGATGTTTGCATTCAAGTCACAGAGTAGAACATTCCCTTTGGTAGAGCAGGTTTGAAACACTCTTTTTTTAGTATATGGAAGGACATTTGGAGCGCTTTCAGGCCTACGTTGGAAAAGGAAATATCTTCCCATAACAACTAGACAGAAGCATTCTCAGAAACTAGTTTCTGATGTGTGTCCTCAACTAACACAGTTGTACATTTCTTTAGACAGAACACTTTTGAAACACTCTTTTTGTGGAATCTGCAAGTGGATATTGGGCTAGATTTGAGGATTTCGTTGGAAACGGGATTACATATAAAAAGCAGTAAGCAGCATTCTCAGAAAGTTCTTTGTGATGATTGCATTCAAGTCACAGAATTGAACATTCCCTTTCACAGAGCAGGTTTGAAACACGCTTTTTGTAGTGTGTGTAAGTGGACATTTGGAGCGCTTTCCGGCCTAAGGTGAAAAAGGAAATATCTTCCCATAAAAACTAGACAGAAGCATTCTCAGAAACTTACTCGTGATGTGTGTCCTCAACTAAAGGAGTAGAACCTTTCTTTTCATAGAGAAGTTTTGAAACGCTCTTTTTGTGGAATCTGCAAGTGGATATTTGGCTAGTTTTGAGGATTTCGTTGGAAGCGGGAATTCATACAAATTGCAGACTGCAGCGTTCTGAGAAACATCTTTGTGATGTTTGTATTCAGGACACAGAGTTGAACATTCCCTATCATAGAGCAGGTTGGAATCACTCCTTTTGTAGTATCTGGAAGTGGACATTTGGAGCGCTTTCAGGCCTATGTTGGAAAAGGAAATATCTTCCCATAACAACTAGACAGAGAAGCATTCTCAGAAACTTATTTGAGATGTGTGTACTCAACTAAGAGAATTGAACCACCGTTTTGAAGGAGCAGTTTTGAAACTCTCTTTTTCTGGAATCTGCAAGTGGATATTTGGCTAGCTTTGGGGATTTCGCTGGAAGCGGGAATACATATAAAAAGCACACAGCAGCGTTCTGAGAAACTGCTTTCTGATGTTTGCATTCAAGTCAAAAGTTGAACACTCCCTTTCATAGAGCAGTCCTGAAACACTCCTTTTGTAGTATCTGGAACTGGACTTTTGGAGCGCTTTCAGGGCTAAGGTGAAAAAGGAAATATCTTCCCATAAAAACTGGACAGAAGCATTCTCAGAAACTTGTTTATGCTGTATCTACTCAACTAACAAAGTTGAACCTTTCTTTTGATAGAGCAGTTTTGAAATGCTCTTTTTGTGGAATCTGCAAGTGGATATTTGGCTAGTTTTGAGGATTTCGTTGGAAGCGGGAATTCATACAAATTGCAGACTGCAGCGTTCTGAGAGACATCTTTGTGATGTTTGTATTAAGGACACAGAGTTGAACATTCCCTATCATAGAGCAGGTTGGAATCACTCCTTTTGTAGTATCTGGAAGTGGACATTTGGAGCGCTTTCAGGCCTATGTTGAAAAAGGAAATATCTTCCCATAACAACTAGACAGAAGCATTCTCAGAAACTTGTTTGAGATGTGTGCCCTCTACTGACACTGTTGAACCTTTCTTTTCATAGAGCACTTTCGAAACACTCTTTTTGTAGAATCTGCAAGAGGATATTTGCATAGCTTTGAGGATTTCGTGGGAAACGGGATTGTCTTCAGGTAAAATCTAGACAGAAGCATTCTCAGAAACTTCTTTGGGATGTTTGCATTCAAGTCACAGAGTAGAACATTCCCTTTGGTAGAGCAGGTTTGAAACACTCTTTTTGTAGTGTGTGTAAGTGGACATTTGGAGCGCTTTCTGGCCTACGTTGGAAAAGGAAATATCTTCCCATAACAACTAGACAGAAGCATTCTCAGAAACTAGTTTCTGATGTGTGTCCTCAACTAAAACAGTTGAACATTTCTTTAGACAGAACAGTTTTGAAACACTCTTTTTGTGGAATCTGCAAGTGGATATTTGGCTACATTTGAGGATTTCGTTGGAAACGGGATTACATATAAAAAGCAGACAGCAGCATTCTCAGAAAGTTCTTTGTGATGATTGCATTCAAGTCACAGAATTGAACATTCCCTTTCACAGAGCAGGTTTGAAACACTCTTTTTGTAGTGTGTGTAAGTGGACATTTGGAGCGCTTTCCGGCCTAAGGTGAAAAAGGACATATCTTCCCATAAAAACTAGACAGAAGCATTCTCAGAAACTTACTCGTGATGTGTGTCCTCAACTAAAGGAGTAGAACCTTTCTTTCATAGAGAAGTTTTGAAACGCTCTTTTTGTGGAATCTGCAAGTGGATATTTGGCTAGTTTGGAGGATTTCGTTGGAAGCGGGAATTCATACAAATTGCAGACTGCAGCATTCTCAGAAACTTATTTGAGATGTGTGTACTCAACTAAGAGAATTGAACCACCGTTTTGAAGGAGCAGTTTTGAAACACTCTTTTTCTGGAATCTGCAAGTGGATATTTGGCTAGCTTTGGGGATTTCGCTGGAAGCGGGAATACATATAAAAAGCACACAGCAGCATTCTCAGAAACTTATTTGAGATGTGTGTACTCAACTAAGAGAATTGAACCACCGTTTTGAAGGAGCAGTTTTGAAACTCTCTTTTTCTGGAATCTGCAAGTGGATATTTGGCTAGCTTTGGGGATTTCGCTGGAAGCGGGAATACATATAAAAAGCACACAGCAGCGTTCTGAGAAACTGCTTTCTGATGTTTGCATTCAAGTCAAAAGTTGAACACTCCCTTTCATAGAGCAGTCTTGAAACACCCCTTTTGTAGTATCTGGAACTGGACTTTTGGAGCGATTTCAGGGCTAAGGTGAAAAAGGAAATATCTTCCCATAAAAACTGGACAGAAGCATTCTCAGAAACTTGTTTATGCTGTATCTACTCAACTAACAAAGTTGAACCTTTCTTTTGATAGAGCAGTTTTGAAATGGTCTTTTTGTGGAATCTGCAAGTGGATATTTGGCTAGTTTTGAGGATTTCGTTGGAAGCGGGAATTCATACAAATTGCAGACTGCAGCGTTCTGAGAAACATCTTTGTGATGTTTGTATTCAGGACACAGAGTTGAACATTCCCTATCATAGAGCAGGTTGGAATCACTCCTTTTGTAGTATCTGGAAGTGGACATTTGGAGCGCTTTCAGGCCTATTTTGGAAAGGGAAATATCTTCCCGTAACAACTATGCAGAAGCATTCTCAGAAACTTGTTTGTGATGTGTGCCCTCTAGTGACAGAGTTGAACCTTTCTTTTCATAGAGCAGTTTTGAAACACTCTTTTTGTAGAATCTGCAAGAGGATATTTGCATAGCTTTGAGGATTTCGTGGGAAACGGGATTGTCTTCAGGTAAAATCTAGACAGAAGCATTCTCAGAAACTTCTTTGGGATGTTTGCATTCAAGTCACAGAGTAGAACATTCCCTTTGGTAGAGCAGGTTTGAAACACTCTTTTTGTAGTATCTGGAAGTGGACATTTGGAGCGCTTTCAGGCCCATGTTGGAAAGGGAAATATCTTCCCGTAACAACTAGGCAGAAGCATTCTCAGAAACTTATTTGAGATGTGTGTACTCAACTAAGAGAATTGAACCACCGTTTTGAAGGAGCAGTTTTGAAACACTCTTTTTCTGGAATCTGCAAGAGTATATTTGCCTAGCCTTGAGGATTTCGTTGGAAACGGGATTGTCTTCAGAGAAAATCTAGACAGAAGCATTCTCAGAAACTTCTTTGGGATGTTTGCATTCAAGTCACAGAGTAGAACATTCCCTTTGGTAGAGCAGGTTTGAAACACTCTTTTTTTAGTATATGGAAGGACATTTGGAGCGCTTTCAGGCCTACGTTGGAAAAGGAAATCTCTTCCCATAACAACTAGACAGAAGCATTCTCAGAAACTAGTTTCTGATGTGTGTCCTCAACTAACACAGTTCTACATTTCTTTAGACAGAACCGTTTTGAAACACTCTTTTTGTGGAATCTGCAAGTGGCTATTTGGCTAGATTTGAGGATTTCGTTGGAAACGGGATTACATATAAAAAGCAGACAGCAGCATTCTCAGAAAGTTCTTTGTGATGATTGCATTCAAGTCACAGAATTGAACATTCCCTTTCACAGAGCAGGTTTGAAACACTCTTTTTGTAGTGTGTGTAAGTGGACATTTGGAGCGCTTTCCGGCCTAAGGTGAAAAAGGAAATATCTTCCCATAAAAACTAGACAGAAGCATTCTCAGAAACTTACTCGTGATGTGTGTCCTCAACTAAAGGAGTAGAACCTTTCTTTTCATAGAGAAGTTTTGAAACGCTCTTTTTGTGGAATCTGCAAGTGGATATTTGGCTAGTTTGGAGGATTTCGTTGGAAGCGGGAATTCATACAAATTGCAGACTGCAGCGTTCTGAGAAACTGCTTTCTGATGTTTGCATTCAAGTCAAAAGTTGAACACTCCCTTTCATAGAGCAGTCCTGAAACACTCCTTTTGTAGTATCTGGAACTGGACTTTTGGAGCGCTTTCAGGGCTAAGGTGAAAAAGGAAATATCTTCCCATAAAAACTGGACAGAAGCATTCTCAGAAACTTGTTTATGCTGTATCTACTCAACTAACAAAGTTGAACCTTTCTTTTGATAGAGCAGTTTTGAAATGCTCTTTTTGTGGAATCTGCAAGTGGATATTTGGCTAGTTTTGAGGATTTCGTTGGAAGCGGGAATTCATACAAATTGCAGACTGCAGCGTTCTGAGAAACATCTTTGTGATGTTTGTATTCAGGACAGAGAGTTGAACATTCCCTATCATAGAGCAGGTTGGAATCACTCCTTTTGTAGTATCTGGAAGTGGACATTTGGAGCGCTTTCTGGCCTATGTTGAAAAAGGAAATATCTTCCCATAACAACTAGACACAAGCATTCTCAGAAACTTGTTTGTGATGTGTGCCCTCTACTGACAGAGTTGAACCTTTCTTTTCATAGAGCAGTTTTGAAACACTCTTTTTGTAGAATCTGCAAGAGGATATTTGCATAGCTTTGAGGATTTCGTGGGAAACGGGATTGTCTTCAGGTAAAATCTAGACAGAAGCATTCTCAGAAACTTCTTTGGGATGTTTGCATTCAAGTCACAGAGTAGAACATTCCCTTTGGTAGAGCAGGTTTGAAACACTCTTTTTGTAGTATCTGGAAGTGGACATTTGGAGCGCTTTCAGGCCTATGTTGGAAAGGGAAATATCTTCCGGTAACAACTAGGCAGAAGCATTCTCAGAAACTTATTTGAGATGTGTGTACTCAACTAAGAGAATTGAACCACCGTTTTGAAGGAGCAGTTTTGAAACACTCTTTTTCTGGAATCTGCAAGAGTATATTTGCCTAGCCTTGAGGATTTCGTTGGAAACGGGATTGTCTTCAGAGAAAATCTAGACAGAAGCATTCTCAGAAACTTCTTTGGGATGTTTGCATTCAAGTCACAGAGTAGAACATTCCTTTGGTAGAGCAGGTTTGAAACACTCTTTTTTTAGTATATGGAAGTGGACATTTGGAGCGCTTTCAGGCCTACGTTGGAAAAGGAAATATCTTCCCATAACAACTAGACAGAAGCATTCTCAGAAACTAGTTTCTGATGTGTGTCCTCAACTAACACAGTTGAACATTTCTTTAGACAGAACAGTTTTGAAACACTCTTTTTGTGGAATCTGCAAGTGGCTATTTGGCTAGATTTGAGGATTTCGTTGGAAACGGGATTACATATAAAAAGCAGACAGCAGCATTCTCAGAAACTTCTTTGTGATGATTGCATTCAAGTCACAGAATTGAACATTCCCTTTCACAGAGCAGGTTTGAAACACTCTTTTTGTAGTGTGTGTAAGTGGACATTTGGAGCGCTTTCCGGCCTAAGGTGAAAAAGGACATATCTTCCCATAAAAACTAGACAGAAGCATTCTCAGAAACTTACTCGTGATGTGTGTCCTCAACTAAAGGAGTAGAACCTTTCTTTTCATAGAGAAGTTTTGAAACGCTCTTTTTGTGGAATCTGCAAGTGGATATTTGGCTAGTTTTGAGGATTTCGTTGGAAGCGGGAATTCATACAAATTGCAGACTGCAGCGTTCTGAGAAACTGCTTTCTGATGTTTGCATTCAAGTCAAAAGTTGAACACTCCCTTTCATAGAGCAGTCCTGAAACACCCCTTTTGTAGTATCTGGAACTGGACTTTTGGAGCGATTTCAGGGCTAAGGTGAAAAAGGAAATATCTTCCCATAAAAACTGGACAGAAGCATTCTCAGAAACTTGTTTATGCTGTATCTACTCAACTAACAAAGTTGAACCTTTCTTTTGATAGAGCAGTTTTGAAATGCTCTTTTTGTGGAATCTGGAAGTGGATATTTGGCTAGTTTTGAGGATTTCGTTGGAAGCGGGAATTCATACAAATTGCAGACTGCAGCGTTCTGAGAAACATCTTTGTGATGTTTGTATTCAAGACACAGAGTTGAACATTCCCTATCATAGAGCAGGTTGGAATCACTCCTTTTGTAGTATCTGGAAGTGGACATTTGGAGCGCTTTCAGGCCTATGTTTAAAAAGGAAATATCTTCCCATAACAAGTAGACACAAGCATTCTCAGAAACTTGTTTGTGATGTGTGCCCTCTACTGACAGAGTTGAACCATTCTTTTCATAGAGCAGTTTCGAAACACTCTTTTTGTAGAATCTGCAAGAGGATATTTGCATAGCTTTGAGGATTTCGTGGGAAACGGGATTGTCTTCAGGTAAAATCTAGACAGAAGCATTCTCAGAAAATTCTTCGGGATGTTTGCATTCAAGTCACAGAGTAGAACATTCCCTTTGGTAGAGCAGGTTTGAAACACTCTTTTTGTAGTATCTGGAAGTGGACATTTGGAGCGCTTTCAGGCCTATGTTGGAAAGGGAAATATCTTCCCGTAACAACTAGGCAGAAGCATTCTCAGAAACTTATTTGAGATGTGTGTACTGAACTAAGAGAATTGAACCACCGTTTTGAAGGAGCAGGTTTGAAACACTCTTTTTGTAGTATCTGGAAGTGGACATTTGGAGCGCTTTCAGGCCTATGTTGGAAAGGGAAATATCTTCCCGTAACAACTAGGCAGAAGCATTCTCAGAAACTTATTTGAGATGTGTGTACTCAACTAAGAGAATTGAACCACCGTTTTGAAGGAGCAGTTTTGAAACACTCTTTTTCTGGAATCTGCAAGAGTATATTTGCCTAGCCTTGAGGATTTCGTTGGAAACGGGATTGTCTTCAGAGAAAATCTAGACAGAAGCATTCTCAGAAACTTCTTTGGGATGTTTGCATTCAAGTCACAGAGTAGAACATTCCCTTTGGTAGAGCAGGTTTGAAACACTCTTTTTTTAGTATATGGAAGTGGACATTTGGAGCGCTTTCAGGCCTACGTTGGAAAAGGAAATATCTTCCCATAACAACTAGACAGAAGCATTCTCAGAAACTAGTTTCTGATGTGTGTCCTCAACTAACACAGTTGAACTTTTCTTTAGACAGAACAGTTTTGAAACACTCTTTTTGTGGAATCTGCAAGTGGATATTTGGCTAGATTTGAGGATTTCGTTGGAAACGGTATTACATATAAAAAGCAGACAGCAGCATTCTCAGAAAGTTCTTTGTGATGATTGCATTCAAGTCACAGAATTGAACATTCCCTTTCACAGAGCAGGTTTGAAACACTCTTTTTGTAGTGTGTGTAAGTGGACATTTGGAGCACTTTCCGGCCTAAGGTGAAAAAGGAAATATCTTCCCATAAAAACTAGACAGAAGCATTCTCAGAAACTTACTCGTGATGTGTGTCCTCAACTAAAGGAGTAGAACCTTTCTTTTCATAGAGAAGTTTTGAAACGCTCTTTTTGTGGAATCTGCAAGTGGATATTTGGCTAGTTTTGAGGATTTCGTTGGAAGCGGGAATTCATACAAATTGCAGACTGCAGCGTTCTGAGAAACATCTTTGTGATGTTTGTATTCAGGACACAGAGTTGAACATTCCCTATCATAGAGCAGGTTGGAATCACTCCTTTTGTAGTATCTGGAAGTGGACATTTGGAGCGCTTTCAGGCCTATGTTGGAAAAGGAAATATCTTCCCATAACAACTAGACAGAAGCATTCTCAGAAACTTATTTGAGATGTGTGTACTCAACTAAGAGAATTGAACCACCGTTTTGAAGGAGCAGTTTTGAAACACTCTTTTTCTGGAATCTGCAAGTGGATATTTGGCTAGCTTTGGGGATTTCGCTGGAAGCGGGAATACATATAAAAAGCACACAGCAGCGTTCTGAGAAACTGCTTTCTGATGTTTGCATTCAAGTCAAAAGTTGAACACTCCCTTTCATAGAGCAGTCTTGAAACACCCCTTTTGTAGTATCTGGAACTGGACTTTTGGAGCGATTTCAGGGCTAAGGTGAAAAAGGAAATATCTTCCCATAAAAACTGGACAGAAGCATTCTCAGAAAGTTGTTTATGCTGTATCTACTCAACTAACAAAGTTGAACCTTTCTTTTGATAGAGCAGTTTTGAAATGGTCTTTTTGTGGAATCTGCAAGTGGATATTTGGCTAGTTTTGAGGATTTCGTTGGAAGCGGGAATTCATACAAATTGCAGACTGCAGCGTTCTGAGAAACATCTTTGTGATGTTTGTATTCAGGACACAGAGTTGAACATTCCCTATCATAGAGCAGGTTGGAATCACTCCTTTTGTAGTATCTGGAAGTGGACATTTGGAGCGCTTTCAGGCCTATTTTGGAAAGGGAAATATCTTCCCGTAACAACTATGCAGAAGCATTCTCAGAAACTTACTCGTGATGTGTGTCCTCCACTAAATGAGTAGAACCTTTCTTTTCATAGAGAAGTTTTGAAACGCTCTTTTTGTAGAATCTGCAAGAGGATATTTGCATAGCTTTGAGGATTTCGTGGGAAACGGGATTGTCTTCAGGTAAAATCTAGACAGAAGCATTCTCAGAAACTTCTTTGGGATGTTTGCATTCAAGTCACAGAGTAGAACATTCCCTTTGGTAGAGCAGGTTTGAAACCCTCTTTTTGTAGTATCTGGAAGTGGACATTTGGAGCGCTTTCAGGCCCATGTTGGAAAGGGAAATATCTTCCCGTAACAACTAGGCAGAAGCATTCTCAGAAACTTATTTGAGATGTGTGTACTCAACTAAGAGAATTGAACCACCGTTTTGAAGGAGCAGTTTTGAAACACTCTTTTTCTGGAATCTGCAAGAGTATATTTGCCTAGCCTTGAGGATTTCGTTGGAAACGGGATTGTCTTCAGATAAAATCTAGACAGAAGCATTCTCAGAAACTTCCTTGGGATGTTTGCATTCAAGTCACAGAGTAGAACATTCCCTTTGGTAGAACAGGTTTGAAACACTCTTTTTGTAGTATCTGGAAGTGGACATTTGGAGCGCTTTCAGGCCTACGTTGGAAAAGGAAATATCTTCCCATAACAACTAGACAGAAGCATTCTCAGAAACTAGTTTCTGATGTGTGTCCTCAACTAACACAGTTGAACTTTTCTTTAGACAGAACAGTTTTGAAACACTCTTTTTGTGGAATCTGCAAGTGGATATTTGGCTAGATTTGAGGATTTCGTTGGAAACGGGATTACATATAAAAAGCAGACTGCAGCATTCTCAGAAAGTTCTTTGTGATGATTGCATTCAAGTCACAGAATTGAACATTCCCTTTCACAGAGCAGGTTTGAAACACTCTTTTTGTAGTGTGTGTAAGTGGACATTTGGAGCGCTTTCCGGCCTAAGGTGAAAAAGGAAATATCTTCCCATAAAAACTGGACAGAAACATTCTCAGAAACTTGTTTATGCTGTATCTACTCAACTAACAAAGTTGAACCTTTCTTTTGATAGAGCAGTTTTGAAATGCTCTTTTTGTGGAATCTGCAAGTGGATATTTGGCTAGTTTTGAGGATTTCGTTGGAAGCGGGAATTCATACAAATTGCAGACTGCAGCGTTCTGAGAAACATCTTTGTGATGTTTGTATTCAGGACAGAGAGTTGAACATTCCCTATCATAGAGCAGGTTGGAATCACTCCTTTTGTAGTATCTGGAAGTGGACATTTGGAGCGCTTTCTGGCCTATGTTGAAAAAGGAAATATCTTCCCATAACAACTAGACACAAGCATTCTCAGAAACTTGTTTGTGATGTGTGCCCTCTACTGACAGAGTTGAACCTTTCTTTTCATAGAGCAGTTTTGAAACACTCTTTTTGTAGAATCTGCAAGAGGATATTTGCATAGCTTTGAGGATTTCGTGGGAAACGGGATTGTCTCAGGAAAAATCTAGACAGAAGCATTCTCAGAAACTTCTTTGGGATGTTTGCATTCAAGTCACAGAGTAGAACATTCCCTTTGGTAGAGCAGGTTTGAAACACTCTTTTTGTAGTATCTGGAAGTGGACATTTGGAGCGCTTTCAGGCCCATGTTGGAAAGGGAAATATCTTCCCGTAACAACTAGGCAGAAGCATTCTCAGAAACTTATTTGAGATGTGTGTACTCAACTAAGAGAATTGAACCACCGTTTTGAAGGAGCAGTTTTGAAACACTCTTTTTCTGGAATCTGCAAGAGTATATTTGCCTAGCCTTGAGGATTTCGTTGGAAACGGGATTGTCTTCAGAGAAAATCTAGACAGAAGCATTCTCAGAAACTTCTTTGGGATGTTTGCATTCAAGTCACAGAGTAGAACATTCCCTTTGGTAGAGCAGGTTTGAAACACTCTTTTTTTAGTATATGGAAGTGGACATTTGGAGCGCTTTCAGGCCTACGTTGGAAAAGGAAATATCTTCCCATAACAACTAGACAGAAGCATTCTCAGAAACTAGTTTCTGATGTGTGTCCTCAACTAACACAGTTGAACATTTCTTTAGACAGAACAGTTTTGAAACACTCTTTTTGTGGAATCTGCAAGTGGCTATTTGGCTAGATTTGAGGATTTCGTTGGAAACGGGATTACATATAAAAAGCAGTCAGCGGCATTCTCAGAAAGTTCTTTGTGATGATTGCATTCAAGTCACAGAATTGAACATTCCCTTTCACAGAGCAGGTTTGAAACACTCTTTTTGTAGTGTGTGTAAGTGGACATTTGGAGCACTTACCGGCCTAAGGTGAAAAAGGAAATAATCTTCCCATAAAAACTAGACAGAAGCATTCTCAGAAACTTACTCGTGATGTGTGTCCTCAACTAAAGGAGTAGAACCTTTCTTTTCATAGAGAAGTTTTGAAACGCTCTTTTTGTGGAATCTGCAAGTGGATATTTGGCTAGTTTTGAGGATTTCGTTGGAAGCGGGAATTCATACAAATTGCAGACTGCAGCGTTCTGAGAAACATCTTTGTGATGTTTGTATTCAGGACACAGAGTTGAACATTCCCTATCATAGAGCAGGTTGGAATCACTCCTTTTGTAGTATCTGGAAGTGGACATTTGGAGCGCTTTCAGGCCTATGTTGGAAAAGGAAATATCTTCCCATAACAACTAGACAGAAGCATTCTCAGAAACTTATTTGAGATGTGTGTACTCAACTAAGAGAATTGAACCACCGTTTTGAAGGAGCAGTTTTGAAACACTCTTTTTCTGGAATCTGCAAGTGGATATTTGGCTAGCTTTGGGGATTTCGCTGGAAGCGGGAATACATATAAAAAGCACACAGCAGCGTTCTGAGAAACTGCTTTCTGATGTTTGCATTCAAGTCAAAAGTTGAACACTCCCTTTCATAGAGCAGTCCTGAAACACCCCTTTTGTAGTATCTGGAACTGGACTTTTGGAGCGATTTCAGGGCTAAGGTGAAAAAGGAAATATCTTCCCATAAAAACTGGACAGAAGCATTCTCAGAAACTTGTTTATGCTGTATCTACTCAACTAACAAAGTTGAACCTTTCTTTTGATAGAGCAGTTTTGAAATGGTCTTTTTGTGGAATCTGCAAGTGGATATTTGGCTAGTTTTGAGGATTTCGTTGGAAGCGGGAATTCATACAAATTGCAGACTGCAGCGTTCTGAGAAACATCTTTGTGATGTTTGTATTCAGGACAGAGAGTTGAACATTCCCTATCATAGAGCAGGTTGGAATCACTCCTTTTGTAGTATCTGGAAGTGGACATTTGGAGCGCTTTCAGGCCTATGTTGAAAAAGGAAATATCTTCCCATAACAACTAGACACAAGCATTCCCAGAAACTTGTTTGTGATGTGTGCCCTCTACTGACAGATTTGAACCTTTCTTTTCATAGAGCAGTTTTGAAACACTCTTTTTGTAGAATCTGCAAGAGGATATTTGCATAGCTTTGAGGATTTCGTGGGAAACGGGATTGTCTTCAGGTAAAATCTGGACAGAAGCATTCTCAGAAACTTCTTTGGGATGTTTGCATTCAAGTCACAGAGTAGAACATTCCCTTTGGTAGAGCAGGTTTGAAACACTCTTTTTGTAGTATCTGGAAGTGGACATTTGGAGCGCTTTCAGGCCTATGTTGGAAAGGGAAATATCTTCCCGTAACAACTAGGCAGAAGCATTCTCAGAAACTTATTTGAGATGTGTGTACTCAACTAAGAGAATTGAACCACCGTTTTGAAGGAGCAGTTTGGAAACACTCTTTTTCTGGAATCTGCAAGAGGATATTTGCCTAGCTTTGAGGATTTCGTTGGAAAAGGGATTGTCTTCAGATCAAATCTAGACAGAAGCATTCTCAGAAACTTCTTTGGGTGTTTGCATTCAATTCATAGAGTAGAACATTCCCTTTGTTAGAGCAGGTTTGAAACACTCTTTTTTTAGTATATGGAAGTGGACATTTGGAGCGCTTTCAGGCCTACGTTGGAAAAGGAAATATCTTCCCATAACAACTAGACAGAAGCATTCTCAGAAACTAGTTTCTGATGTGTGTCCTCAACTAACACAGTTGAACATTTCTTTAGACAGAACAGTTTTGAAACACTCTTTTTGTGGAATCTGCAAGTGGCTATTTGGCTAGATTTGAGGATTTCTTTGGAAACGGGATTACATATAAAAAGCTGACAGCAGCATTCTCAGAAAGTTCTTTGTGATGATTGCATTCAAGTCACAGAATTGAACATTCCCTTTCACAGAGCAGGTTTGAAACACTCTTTTTGTAGTGTGTGTAAGTGGACATTTGGAGCGCTTTCCGGCCTAAGGTGAAAAAGGAAATATCTTCCCATAAAAACTAGACAGAAGCATTCTCAGAAACTTACTCGTGATGTGTGTCCTCAACTAAAGGAGTAGAACCTTTCTTTTCATAGAGAAGTTTTGAAACGCTCTTTTTGTGGAATCTGCAAGTGGATATTTGGCTAGTTTTGAGGATTTCGTTGGAAGCGGGAATTCATACAAATTGCAGACTGCAGCGTTCTGAGAAACATCTTTGTGATGTTTGTATTCAGGACACAGAGTTGAACATTCCCTATCATAGAGCAGGTTGGAATCACTCCTTTTGTAGTATCTGGAAGTGGACATTTGGAGCGCTTTCAGGCCTATGTTGGAAAAGGAAATATCTTCCCATAACAACTAGACAGAAGCATTCTCAGAAACTTATTTGAGATGTGTGTACTCAACTAAGAGAATTGAACCACCGTTTTGAAGGAGCAGTTTTGAAACTCTCTTTTTCTGGAATCTGCAAGTGGATATTTGGCTAGCTTTGGGGATTTCGCTGGAAGCGGGAATACATATAAAAAGCACACAGCAGCGTTCTGAGAAACTGCTTTCTGATGTTTGCATTCAAGTCAAAAGTTGAACACTCCCTTTCATAGAGCAGTCCTGAAACACTCCTTTTGTAGTATCTGGAACTGGACTTTTGGAGCGCTTTCAGGGCTAAGGTGAAAAAGGAAATATCTTCCCATAAAAACTGGACAGAAGCATTCTCAGAAACTTGTTTATGCTGTATCTACTCAACTAACAAAGTTGAACCTTTCTTTTGATAGAGCAGTTTTGAAATGGTCTTTTTGTGGAATCTGCAAGTGGATATTTGGCTAGTTTTGAGGATTTCGTTGGAAGCGGGAATTCATACAAATTGCAGACTGCAGCGTTCTGAGAAACATCTTTGTGATGTTTGTATTCAGGACACAGAGTTGAACATTCCCTATCATAGAGCAGGTTGGAATCACTCCTTTTGTAGTATCTGGAAGTGGACATTTGGAGCGCTTTCAGGCCTATTTTGGAAAGGGAAATATCTTCCCGTAACAACTATGCAGAAGCATTCTCAGAAACTTGTTTGTGATGTGTGCCCTCTACTGACAGAGTTGAACCTTTCTTTTCATAGAGCAGTTTTGAAACACTCTTTTTGTAGAATCTGCAAGAGGATATTTGCATAGCTTTGAGGATTTCGTGGGAAACGGGATTGTCTTCAGGTAAAATCTAGACAGAAGCATTCTCAGAAACTTCTTTGGGATGTTTGCATTCAAGTCACAGAGTAGAACATTCCCTTTGGTAGAGCAGGTTTGAAACACTCTTTTTGTAGTATCTGGAAGTGGACATTTGGAGCGCTTTCAGGCCCATGTTGGAAAGGGAAATATCTTCCCGTAACAACTAGGCAGAAGCATTCTCAGAAACTTATTTGAGATGTGTGTACTCAACTAAGAGAATTGAACCACCGTTTTGAAGGAGCAGTTTTGAAACACTCTTTTTCTGGAATCTGCAAGAGTATATTTGCCTAGCCTTGAGGATTTCGTTGGAAACGGGATTGTCTTCAGAGAAAATCTAGACAGAAGCATTCTCAGAAACTTCTTTGGGATGTTTGCATTCAAGTCACAGAGTAGAACATTCCCTTTGGTAGAGCAGGTTTGAAACACTCTTTTTTTAGTATATGGAAGTGGACATTTGGATCGCTTTCAGGCCTACGTTGGAAAAGGAAATATCTTCCCATAACAACTAGACAGAAGCATTCTCAGAAACTAGTTTCTGATGTGTGTCCTCAACTAACACAGTTGAACATTTCTTTAGACAGAACAGTTTTGAAACACTCTTTTTGTGGAATCTGCAAGTGGCTATTTGGCTAGATTTGAGGATTTCGTTGGAAACGGGATTACATATAAAAAGCAGTCAGCAGCATTCTCAGTAAAGTTCTTTGTGATGATTGCATTCAAGTCACAGAATTGAACATTCCCTTTCACAGAGCAGGGTTGAAACACGCTTTTTGTAGTGTGTGTAAGTGGACATTTGGAGTGCTTTCCGGCCTAAGGTGAAAAAGGAAATATCTTCCCATAAAAACTAGACAGAAGCATTCTCAGAAACTTACTCGTGATGTGTGTCCTCAACTAAAGGAGTAGAACCTTTCTATTCATAGAGAAGTTTTGAAACGCTCTTTTTGTGGAATCTCCAAGTGGATATTTGGCTAGTGTTGAGGATTTCGTTGGAAGCGGGAATTCATACAAATTGCAGACTGCAGCGTTCTGAGAAACTGCTTTCTGATGTTTGCATTCAAGTGAAAAGTTGAACACTCCCTTTCATAGAGCAGTCCTGAAACACTCCTTTTGTAGTATCTGGAACTGGACTTTTGGAGCGCTTTCAGGGCTAAGGTGAAAAAGGAAATATCTTCCCATAAAAACTGGACAGAAGCATTCTCAGAAACTTGTTTATGCTGTATCTACTCAACTAACAAAGTTGAACATTTCTTTTGATAGAGCAGTTTTGAAATGCTCTTTTTGTGGAATCTGCAAGTGGATATTTGGCTAGTTTTGAGGATTTCGTTGGAAGCGGGAATTCATACAAATTGCAGACTGCAGCGTTCTGAGAAACATCTTTGTGATGTTTGTATTCAGGACAGAGAGTTGAACATTCCCTATCATAGAGCAGGTTGGAATCACTCCTTTTGTAGTATCTGGAAGTGGACATTTGGAGCGCTTTCAGGCCTATGTTGAAAAAGGAAATATCTTCCCATAACAACTAGACACAAGCATTCTCAGAAACTTGTTTGTGATGTGTGCTCTCTACTGACAGAGTTGAACCTTTCTTTTCATAGAGCAGTTTTGAAACACTCTTTTTGTAGAATCTGCAAGAGGATATTTGCATAGCTTTGAGGATTTCGTGGGAAACGGGATTGTCTTCAGGTAAAATCTAGACAGAAGCATTCTCAGAAACTTCTTTGGGATGTTTGCATTCAAGTCACAGAGTAGAACATTCCCTTTGGTAGAGCAGGTTTGAAACACTCTTTTTGTAGTATCTGGAAGTGGACATTTGGAGCGCTTTCAGGCCTATGTTGGAAAGGGAAATATCTTCCCGTAACAACTAGGCAGAAGCATTCTCAGAAACTTATTTGAGATGGGTGTACTCAACTAAGAGAATTGAACCACCCTTTTGAAGGAGCAGTTTTCAAACACTCTTTTTCTGGAATCTGCAAAAGTATATTTGCCTAGCTTTGAGGATTTCGTTGGAAACGGGATTGTCTTCAGATAAAATCTAGACAGAAGCATTCTCAGAAACTTCTTTGGGATGTTTGCATTCAAGTCACAGAGTAGAACATTCCCTTTGGTAGAGCAGGTTTGAAACACTCTTTTTTTAGTATATGGAAGTGGACATTTGGATCGCTTTCAGGCCTACGTTGGAAAAGGAAATATCTTCCCATAACAACTAGACAGAAGCATTCTCAGAAACTAGTTTCTGATGTGTGTCCTCAACTAACACAGTTGAACATTTCTTTAGACAGAACAGTTTTGAAACACTCTTTTTGTGGAATCTGCAAGTGGCTATTTGGCTAGATTTGAGGATTTCGTTGGAAACGGGATTACATATAAAAAGCAGTCAGCAGCAGTCTCAGAAAGTTCTTTTTGATGATTGCATTTAAGTCACAGAATTGAACATTCCCTTTCACAGAGCAGGTTTGAAACACTCTTTTTGTAGTGTGTGTAAGTGGACATTTGGAGCGCTTTCCGGCCTAAGGTGAAAAAGGAAATATCTTCCCATAAAAACTAGACAGAAGCATTCTCAGAAACTTACTCGTGATGTGTGTCCTCAACTAAAGGAGTAGAACCTTTCTTTTCATAGAGAAGTTTTGAAACGCTCTTTTTGTGGAATCTGCAAGTGGATATTTGGCTAGTTTTGAGGATTTCGTTGGAAGCGGGAATTCATACAAATTGCAGACTGCAGCGTTCTGAGAAACATCTTTGTGATGTTTGTATTCAGGACACAGAGTTGAACATTCCCTATCATAGAGCAGGTTGGAATCACTCCTTTTGTAGTATCTGGAAGTGGACATTTGGAGCGCTTTCAGGCCTATGTTGGAAAAGGAAATATCTTCCCATAACAACTAGACAGAAGCATTCCCAGAAACTTATTTGAGATGTGTGTACTCAACTAAGAGAATTGAACCACCGTTTTGAAGGAGCAGTTTGGAAACACTCTTTTTCTGGAATCTGCAAGTGGATATTTGGCTAGCTTTGGGGATTTCGCTGGAAGCGGGAATACATATAAAAAGCACACAGCAGCGTTCTGAGAAACTGCTTTCTGATGTTTGCATTCAAGTCAAAAGTTGAACACTCCCTTTCATAGAGCAGTCTTGAAACACCCCTTTTGTAGTATCTGGAACTGGACTTTTGGAGCGATTTCAGGGCTAAGGTGAAAAAGGAAATATCTTCCCATAAAAACTGGACAGAAGCATTCTCAGAAACTTGTTTATGCTGTATCTACTCAACTAACAAAGTTGAACCTTTCTTTTGATAGAGCAGTTTTGAAATGGTCTTTTTGTGGAATCTGCAAGTGGATATTTGGCTAGTTTTGAGGATTTCGTTGGAAGCGGGAATTCATACAAATTGCAGACTGCAGCGTTCTGAGAAACATCTTTGTGATGTTTGTATTCAGGACACAGAGTTGAACATTCCCTATCATAGAACAGGTTTGAATCACTCCTTTTGTAGTATCTGGAAGTGGACATTTGGAGCGCTTTCAGGCCTATGTTGGAAAAGGAAATATCTTCCCATAACAACTAGACAGAAGCATTCCCAGAAACTTATTGGAGATGTGTGTACTCAACTATGAGAATTGAACCACCGTTTTGAAGGAGCAGTTTGGAAACACTCTTTTTCTGGAATCTGCAAGTGGATATTTGGCTAGCTTTGGGGATTTCGCTGTAAGCGGGAATACATATAAAAAGCACACAGCAGCGTTCTGAGAAACTGCTTTCTGATGTTTGCATTCAAGTCAAAAGTTGAACACTCCCTTTCATAGAGCAGTCTTGAAACACCCCTTTTGTAGTATCTGGAACTGGACATTTGGAGCGCCTTCAGGGCTAAGGTGAAAAAGGAAATATCTTCCCATAAAAACTGGACAGAAGCATTCTCAGAAACTTGTTTATGCTGTATCTACTCAACTAACAAAGTTGAACCTTTCTTTTGATAGAGCAGTTTTGAAATGCTCTTTTTGTGGAATCTGCAAGTGGATATTTGGCTGGTTTTGAGGATTTCGTTGGAAGCGGGAATTCATACAAATTGCAGACTGCAGCGTTCTGAGAAACATCTTTGTGATGTTTGTATTCAGGACACAGAGTTGAACATTCCCTATCATAGAGCAGGTTTGAATCACTCCTTTTGTAGTATCTGGAAGTGGACATTTGGAGCGCTTTCAGGCCTATGTTGAAAAAGGAAAAATCTTCCCATAACAACTAGACAGAAGCATTCTCAGAAACTTGTTTGTGATGTGTGCCCTCTACTGACAGAGTTGAACCTTTCTTTTCATAGAGCAGTTTTGAAACACTCTTTTTGTAGAATCTGCAAGAGGATATTTGCATAGCTTTGAGGATTTCGTGGGAAACGGGATTGTCTTCAGGTAAAATCTAGACAGAAGCATTCTCAGAAACTTCTTTGGGATGTTTGCATTCAAGTCACAGAGTAGAACATTCCCTTTGGTAGAGCAGGTTTGAAACACTCTTTTTGTAGTATCTGGAAGTGGACATTTGGAGCGCTTTCAGGCCTATGTTGGAAAGGGAAATATCTTCCCGTAACAACTAGGCAGTAGCATTCTCAGAAACTTATTTGAGATGTGTGTACTCAACTAAGAGAATTGAATCACCGTTTTGAAGGAGCAGTTTTGAAACACTCTTTTTCTGGAATCTGCAAGAGGATATTTGCCTAGCCTTGAGGATTTCGTTGGAAACGGGATTGTCTTTAGATCAAATCTAGACAGAAGCATTCTCAGAAACTTCTTTGGGATGTTTGCATTCAAGTCACAGAGTAGAACATTCCCTTTGGTAGAGCAGGTTTGAAACACTCTTTTTTTAGTATATGGAAGTGGACATTTGGAGCGCTTTCAGGCCTACGTTGGAAGAGGAAATATCTTCCCATAACAACTAGACAGAAGCATTCTCAGAAACTAGTTTCTGATGTGTGTCCTCAACTAACACAGTTGAACATTTCTTTAGACAGAACAGTTTTGAAACACTCTTTTTGTGGAATCTGCAAGTGGCTATTTGGCTAGATTTGAGGATTTCGTTGGAAACGGGATTACATATAAAAAGCAGACAGCAGCATTCTCAGAAACTTCTTTGTGATGATTGCATTCAAGTCACAGAATTGAACATTCCCTTACACAGAGCAGGTTTGAAACACTCTTTTTGTAGTGTGTGTAAGTGGACATTTGGAGCGCTTTCCGGCCTAAGGTGAACAAGGAAATATCTTCCCATAAAAACTAGACAGAAGCATTCTCAGAAACTTACTCGTGATGTGTATCCTCAACTAAAGGAGTAGAACCTTTCTTTTCATAGAGAAGTTTTGAAACGCTCTTTTTGTGGAATCTGCAAGTGGATATTTGGCTAGTTTGGAGGATTTCGTTGGAAGCGGGAATTCATACAAATTGCAGACTGCAGCGTTCTGAGAAACATCTTTGTGATGTTTGTATTCAGGACACAGAGTTGAACATTCCCTATCATAGAGCAGGTTTGAATCACTCCTTTTGTAGTATCTGGAAGTGGACATTTGGAGCGCTTTCAGGCCTATGTTGGAAAAGGAAATATCTTCCCATAACAACTAGACAGAAGCATTCTCAGAAACTTATTTGAGATGTGTGTACTCAACTAAGAGAATTGAACCACCGTTTTGAAGGAGCAGTTTTGAAACACTCTTTTTCTGGAATCTGCAAGTGGATATTTGGCTAGCTTTGGGGATTTCGCTGGAAGCGGGAATACATATAAAAAGCACACAGCAGCATTCTCAGAAACTTATTTGAGATGTGTGTACTCAACTAAGAGAATTGAACCACCGTTTTGAAGGAGCAGTTTTGAAACACTCTTTTTCTGGAATCTGCAAGTGGATATTTGGCTAGCTTTGGGGATTTCGCTGGAAGCGGGAATACATATAAAAAGCACACAGCAGCGTTCTGAGAAACTGCTTTCTGATGTTTGCATTCAAGTCAAAAGTTGAACACTCCCTTTCATAGAGCAGTCTTGAAACACCCCTTTTGTAGTATCTGGAACTGGACTTTTGGAGCGATTTCAGGGCTAAGGTGAAAAAGGAAATATCTTCCCATAAAAACTGGACAGAAGCATTCTCAGAAACTTGTTTATGCTGTATCTACTCAACTAACAAAGTTGAACCTTTCTTTTGATAGAGCAGTTTTGAAATGGTCTTTTTGTGGAATCTGCAAGTGGATATTTGGCTAGTTTTGAGGATTTCGTTGGAAGCGGGAATTCATACAAATTGCAGACTGCAGCGTTCTGAGAAACATCTTTGTGATGTTTGTATTCAGGACACAGAGTTGAACATTCCCTATCATAGAGCAGGTTGGAATCACTCCTTTTGTAGTATCTGGAAGTGGACATTTGGAGCGCTTTCTGGCCTATGTTGAAAAAGGAAATATCTTCCCATAACAACTAGACACAAGCATTCTCAGAAACTTGTTTGTGATGTGTGCCCTCTACTGACAGAGTTGAACCTTTCTTTTCATAGAGCAGTTTTGAAACACTCTTTTTGTAGAATCTGCAAGAGGATATTTGCATAGCTTTGAGGATTTCGTGGGAAACGGGATTGTCTTCAGGTAAAATCTAGACAGAAGCATTCTCAGAAACTTCTTTGGGATGTTTGCATTCAAGTCACAGAGTAGAACATTCCCTTTGGTAGAGCAGGTTTGAAACACTCTTTTTGTAGTATCTGGAAGTGGACATTTGGAGCGCTTTCAGGCCCATGTTGGAAAGGGAAATATCTTCCCGTAACAACTAGGCAGAAGCATTCTCAGAAACTTATTTGAGATGTGTGTACTCAACTAAGAGAATTGAACCACCGTTTTGAAGGAGCAGTTTTGAAACACTCTTTTTCTGGAATCTGCAAGAGTATATTTGCCTAGCCTTGAGGATTTCGTTGGAAACGGGATTGTCTTCAGAGAAAATCTAGACAGAAGCATTCTCAGAAACTTCTTTGGGATGTTTGCATTCAAGTCACAGAGTAGAACATTCCCTTTGGTAGAGCAGGTTTGAAACACTCTTTTTGTAGTATCTGGAAGTGGACATTTGGAGCGCTTTCAGGCCTACGTTGGAAAAGGAAATATCTTCCCATAACAACTAGACAGAAGCATTCTCAGAAACTAGTTTCTGATGTGTGTCCTCAACTAACACAGTTGAACATTTCTTTAGACAGAACAGTTTTGAAACACTCTTTTTGTGGAATCTGCAAGTGGCTATTTGGCTAGATTTGAGGATTTCGTTGGAAACGGGATTACATATAAAAAGCAGTCAGCAGCATTCTCAGAAAGTTCTTTGTGATGATTGCATTCAAGTCACAGAATTGAACATTCCCTTTCACAGAGCAGGTTTGAAACACTCTTTTTGTAGTGTGTGTAAGTGGACATTTGGAGCACTTACCGGCCTAAGGTGAAAAAGGAAATATCTTCCCATAAAAACTAGACAGAAGCATTCTCAGAAACTTACTCGTGATGTGTGTCCTCAACTAAAGGAGTAGAACCTTTCTTTTCATAGAGAAGTTTTGAAACGCTCTTTTTGTGGAATCTGCAAGTGGATATTTGGCTAGTTTGGAGGATTTCGTTGGAAGCGGGAATTCATACAAATTGCAGACTGCAGCATTCTCAGAAACTTGTTTATGCTGTATCTACTCAACTAACAAAGTTGAACCTTTCTTTTGATAGAGCAGTTTTGAAATGCTCTTTTTGTGGAATCTGCAAGTGGATATTTGGCTAGTTTTGAGGATTTCGTTGGAAGCGGGAATTCATACAAATTGCAGACTGCAGCGTTCTGAGAAACATCTTTGTGATGTTTGTATTCAGGACACAGAGTTGAACATTCCCTATCATAGAGCAGGTTGGAATCACTCCTTTTGTAGTATCTGGAAGTGGACATTTGGAGCGCTTTCAGGCCTATGTTAAAAAAGGAAATATCTTCCCATAACAACTAGACACAAGCATTCTCAGAAACTTGTTTGTGATGTGTGCCCTCTACTGACAGAGTTGAACCTTTCTTTTCATAGAGCAGTTTTGAAACACTCTTTTTGTAGAATCTGCAAGAGGATATTTGCATAGCTTTGAGGATTTCGTGGGAAACGGGATTGTCTTCAGGTAAAATCTAGACAGAAGCATTCTCAGAAACTTCTTTGGGATGTTTGCATTCAAGTCACAGAGTAGAACATTCCCTTTGGTAGAGCAGGTTTGAAACACTCTTTTTGTAGTATCTGGAAGTGGACATTTGGAGCGCTTTCAGGCCCATGTTGGAAAGGGAAATATCTTCCCGTAACAACTAGGCAGAAGCATTCTCAGAAACTTATTTGAGATGTGTGCACTCAACTAAGAGAATTGAACCACCGTTTTGAAGGAGCAGTTTTGAAACACTCTTTTTCTGGAATCTGCAAGAGGATATTTGCCTAGCTTTGAGGATTTCGTTGGAAACGGGATTGTGTTCAGATCAAATCTAGACAGAAGCATTCTCAGAAACTTCTTTGGGATGTTTGCATTCAAGTCACAGAGTAGAACATTCCCTTTGGTAGAGCAGGTTTGAAACACTCTTTTTTTAGTATATGGAAGTGGACATTTGGAGCGCTTTCAGGCCTACGTTGGAAAAGGAAATATCTTCCCATAACAACTAGACAGAAGCATTCTCAGAAACTAGTTTCTGATGTGTGTCCTCAACTAACACAGTTGTACATTTCTTTAGACAGAACAGTTTTGAAACACTCTTTTTGTGGAATCTGCAAGTGGCTATTTGGCTAGATTTGAGGATTTCGTTGGAAACGGGATTACATATAAAAAGCAGACAGCAGCATTCTCAGAAACTTCTTTGTGATGATTGCATTCAAGTCACAGAATTGAACATTCCCTTTCACAGAGCAGGTTTGAAACACTCTTTTTGTAGTGTGTGTAAGTGGACATTTGGAGCGCTTTCCGGCCTAAGGTGAACAAGGAAATATCTTCCCATAAAAACTAGACAGAAGCATTCTCAGAAACTTACTCGTGATGTGTGTCCTCAACTAAAGGAGTAGAACCTTTCTTTTCATAGAGAAGTTTTGAAACGCTCTTTTTGTGGACTCTGCAAGTGGATATTTGGCTAGTTTGGAGGATTTCGTTGGAAGCGGGAATTCATACAAATTGCAGACTGCAGCGTTCTGAGAAACTGCTTTCTGATGTTTGCATTCAAGTCAAAAGTTGAACACTCCCTTTCATAGAGCAGTCTTGAAACACCCCTTTTGTAGTATCTGGAACTGGACTTTTGGAGCGATTTCAGGGCTAAGGTGAAAAAGGAAATATCTTCCCATAAAAACTGGACGGAAGCATTCTCAGAAACTTATTTGAGATGTGTGTACTCAACTAAGAGAATTGAACCACCGTTTTGAAGGAGCAGTTTTGAAACACTCTTTTTCTGGAATCTGCAAGTGGATATTTGGCTAGCTTTGGGGATTTCGCTGGAAGCGGGAATACATATAAAAAGCACACAGCAGCGTTCTGAGCAAACTGCTTTCTGATGTTTGCATTCAAGTCAAAAGTTGAACACTCCCTTTCATAGAGCAGTCTTGAAACACCCCTTTTGTAGTATCTGGAACTGGACATTTGGAGCGCTTTCAGGGCTAAGGTGAAAAAGGAAATATCTTCCCATAAAAACTGGACAGAAGCATTCTCAGAAACTTGTTTATGCTGTATCTACTCAACTAACAAAGTTGAACCTTTCTTTTGATAGAGCAGTTTTGAAATGGTCTTTTTGTGGAATCTGCAAGTGGATATTTGGCTAGTTTTGAGGATTTCGTTGGAAGCGGGAATTCATACAAATTGCAGACTGCAGCGTTCTGAGAAACATCTTTGTGATGTTTGTATTCAGGACACAGAGATGAACATTCCCTATCATAGAGCAGGTTGGAATCACTCCTTTTGTAGTATCTGGAAGTGGACATTTGGAGCGCTTTCAGGCCTATGTTGAAAAAGGAAATATCTTCCCATAACAACTAGACACAAGCATTCTCAGAAACTTGTTTGTGATGTGTGCCCTCTACTGACAGAGTTGAACCTTTCTTTTCATAGAGCAGTTTTGAAACACTCTTTTTGTAGAATCCGCAAGAGGATATTTGCATAGCTTTGAGGATTTCGTGGGAAACGGGATTGTCTTCAGGTAAAATCTAGACAGAAGCATTCTCAGAAACTTCTTTGGGATGTTTGCATTCAAGTCACAGAGTAGAACATTCCCTTTGGTAAAGCAGGTTTCAAACACTCTTTTTGTAGTATCTGGAAGTGGACATTTGGAGCGCTTTCAGGCCTATGTTGGAAAGGGAAATATCTTCCCGTAACAACTAAGCAGAAGCATTCTCAGAAACTTATTTGAGATGTGTGTACTCAACTAAGAGAATTGAACCACCGTTTTGAAGGAGCAGTTTTGAAACACTCTTTTTCTGGAATCTGCAAGAGGATATTTGCCTAGCCTTGAGGATTTCGTTGGAAACGGGATTGTCTTCAGATCAAATCTAGACAGAAGCATTCTCAGAAACTTCTTTGGGATGTTTGCATTCAAGTCACAGAGTAGAACATTCCCTTTGGTAGAGCAGGTTTGAAACACTCTTTTTTTAGTATATGGAAGTGGACATTTGGAGCGCTTTCAGGCCTACGTTGGAAAAGGAAATATCTTCCCATAACAACTAGACAGAAGCATTCTCAGAAACTAGTTTCTGATGTGTGTCCTCAACTAACACAGTTGAACATTTCTTTAGACAGAACAGTTTTGAAACACTCTTTTTGTGGAATCTGCAAGTGGCTATTTGGCTAGATTTGAGGATTTCGTTGGAAACGGGATTACATATAAAAAGCAGACAGCAGCATTCTCAGAAAGTTCTTTGTGATGATTGCATTCAAGTCACAGAATTGAACATTCCCTTTCACAGAGCAGGTTTGAAACACTCTTTTTGTAGTGTGTGTAAGTGGACATTTGGAGCGCTTTCCGGCCTAAGGTGAAAAAGGAAATATCTTCCCATAAAAACTAGACAGAAGCATTCTCAGAAACTTACTCGTGATGTGTGTCCTCAACTAAAGGAGTAGAACCTTTCTTTTCATAGAGAAGTTTCGAAACGCTCTTTTTGTGGAATCTGCAAGTGGATATTTGGCTAGTTTTGAGGATTTCGTTGGAAGCGGGAATTCATACAAATTGCAGACTGCAGCGTTCTGAGAAACATCTTTCTGATGTTTGTATTCAGGACACAGAGTTGAACATTCCCTATCATAGAGCAGGTTTGAATCACTCCTTTTGTAGTATCTGGAAGTGGACATTTGGAGCGCTTTCAGGCCTATGTTGGAAAAGGAAATATCTTCCCATAACAACTAGACAGAAGCATTCTCAGAAACTTATTTGAGATGTGTGTACTCAACTAAGAGAATTGAACCACCGTTTTGAAGGAGCAGTTTTGAAACACTCTTTTTCTGGAATCTGCAAGTGGATATTTGGCTAGCTTTGGGGGATTTCGCTGGAAGCGGGAATACATATAAAAAGCACACAGCAGCGTTCTGAGAAACTGCTTTCTGATGTTTGCATTCAAGTCAAAAGTTGAACACTCCCTTTCATAGAGCAGTCCTGAAACACTCCTTTTGTAGTATCTGGAACTGGACTTTTGGAGCGCTTTCAGGGCTAAGGTGAAAAAGGAAATATCTTCCCATAAAAACTGGACAGAAGCATTCTCAGAAACTTGTTTATGCTGTATCTACTCAACTAACAAAGTTGAACCTTTCTTTTGATAGAGCAGTTTTGAAATGGTCTTTTTGTGGAATCTGCAAGTGGATATTTGGCTAGTTTTGAGGATTTCGTTGGAAGCGGGAATTCATACAAATTGCAGACTGCAGCGTTCTGAGAAACATCTTTGTGATGTTTGTATTCAGGACAGAGAGTTGAACATTCCCTATCATAGAGCAGGTTGGAATCACTCCTTTTGTAGTATCTGGAAGTGGACATTTGGAGCGCTTTCAGGCCTATGTTGAAAAAGGAAATATCTTCCCATAACAACTAGACACAAGCATTCTCAGAAACTTGTTTGTGATGTGTGCCCTCTACTGACAGAGTTGAACCTTTCTTTTCATAGAGCAGTTTTGAAACACTCTTTTTGTAGAATCTGCAAGAGGATATTTGCATAGCTTTGAGGTTTTCGTGGGAAACGGGATTGTCTTCAGGTAAAATCTAGACAGAAGCATTCTCAGAAACTTCTTTGGGATGTTTGCATTCAAGTCACAGAGCAGAACATTCCCTTTGGTAGAGCAGGTTTGAAACACTCTTTTTGTAGTATCTGGAAGTGGACATTTGGAGCGCTTTCAGGCCTATGTTGGAAAGGGAAATATCTTCCCGTAACAACTAGGCAGAAGCATTCTCAGAAACTTATTTGAGATGTGTGTACTCAACTAAGAGAATTGAACCACCGTTTTGAAGGAGCAGTTTTGAAACACTCTTTTTCTGGAATCTGCAAGAGTATATTTGCCTAGCCTTGAGGATTTCGTTGGAAACGGGATTGTCTTCAGAGAAAATCTAGACAGAAGCATTCTCAGAAACTTCTTTGGGATGTTTGCATTCAAGTCACAGAGTAGAACATTCCCTTTGGTAGAGCAGGTTTGAAACACTCTTTTTTTAGTATATGGAAGTGGACATTTTGATCGCTTTCAGGCCTACGTTGGAAAAGGAAATATCTTCCCATAACAACTAGACAGAAGCATTCTCAGAAACTAGTTTCTGATGTGTGTCCTCAACTAACACAGTTGAACATTTCTTTAGACAGAACAGTTTTGAAACACTCTTTTTGTGGAATCTGCAAGTGGCTATTTGGCTAGATTTGAGGATTTCGTTGGAAACGGGATTACATATAAAAAGCAGACAGCAGCATTCTCAGAAAGTTCTTTGTGATGATTGCATTCAAGTCACAGAATTGAACATTCCCTTTCACAGAGCAGGTTTGAAACACTCTTTTTATAGTGTGTGTAAGTGGACATTTGGAGCACTTTCCGGCCTAAGGTGAAAAAGGAAATATCTTCCCATAAAAACTAGACAGAAGCATTCTCAGAAACTGACTGGTGATGTGTGTCCTCAACTAAAGGAGTAGAACCTTTCTTTTCATAGAGAAGTTTTGAAACGCTCTTTTTGTGGAATCTGCAAGTGGATATTTGGCTAGTTTTGAGGATTTCGTTGGAATCGAGAATTCATACAAATTGCAGACTGCAGCGTTCTGAGAAACATCTTTGTGATGTTTGTATTCAGGACACAGAGTTGAACATTCCCTATCATAGAGCAGGTTGGAATCACTCCTTTTGTCGTATCTGGATGTGGACGCTTGGAGCGCTTTCAGGCCTATGTTGGAAAAGGAAATATACTCCCATAACAGCTAGACAGAAGCGTTCTGAGAAACATCTTTGTGATGTTTGTATTCAGGACACAGAGTTGAACATTCCCTATCATAGAGCAGGTTGGAATCACTCCTTTTGTAGTATCTGGAAGTGGCCATTTCGAGCGCTTTCAGGCCTATGTTGAAAAAGGAAATATCTTCCCATAACAAGTAGACACAAGCATTCTCAGAAACTTGTTTGTGATGTGTGCCCTCTACTGACAGAGTTGAACCTTTCTTTTCATAGAGCAGTTTTGAAACACTCTTTTTGTAGAATCCGCAAGAGGATATTTGCATAGCTTTGAGGATTTCGTGGGAAACGGGATTGTCTTCAGGTAAAATCTAGACAGAAGCATTCTCAGAAACTTCTTTGGGATGTTTGCATTCAAGTCACAGAGTAGAACATTCCCTTTGGTAGAGCAGGTTTGAAACACTCTTTTTGTAGTATCTGGAAGTGGACATTTGGAGCGCTTTCAGGCCCATGTTGGAAAGGGAAATATCTTCCCGTAACAACTAGGCAGAAGCATTCTCAGAAACTTATTTGAGATGTGTGTACTCAACTAAGAGAATTGAACCACCGTTTTGAAGGAGCAGTTTTGAAACACTCTTTTTCTGGAATCTGCAAGAGTATATTTGCCTAGCCTTGAGGATTTCGTTGGAAACGGGATTGTCTTCAGAGAAAATCTAGACAGAAGCATTCTCAGAAACTTCTTTGGGATGTTTGCATTCAAGTCACAGAGTAGAACATTCCCTTTGGTAGAGCAGGTTTGAAACACTCTTTTTGTAGTATCTGGAAGTGGACATTTGGAGCGCTTTCAGGCCTACGTTGGAAAAGGAAATATCTTCCCATAACAACTAGACAGAAGCATTCTCAGAAACTAGTTTCTGATGTGTGTCCTCAACTAACACAGTTGAACATTTCTATAGACAGAACAGTTTTGAAACACTCTTTTTGTGGAATCTGCAAGTGGCTATTTGGCTAGATTTGAGGATTTCGTTGGAAACGGGATTACATATAAAAAGCAGTCAGCAGCATTCTCAGAAAGTTCTTTGTGATGATTGCATTCAAGTCACAGAATTGAACATTCCCTTTCACAGAGCAGGTTTGAAACACTCTTTTTGTAGTGTGTGTAAGTGGACATTTGGAGCGCTTTCCGGCCTAAGGTGAAAAAGGACATATCTTCCCATAAAAACTAGACAGAAGCATTCTCAGAAACTTACTCGTGATGTGTGTCCTCAACTAAAGGAGTAGAACCTTTCTATTCATAGAGAAGTTTTGAAACGCTCTTTTTGTGGAATCTCCAAGTGGATATTTGGCTAGTTTTGAGGATTTCGTTGGAAGCGGGAATTCATACAATTTGCAGACTGCAGCGTTCTGAGAAACATCTTTGTGATGTTTGTATTCAAGACACAGAGATGAACATTCCCTATCATAGAGCATGTTGGAATCACTCCTTTTGTAGTATCTGGAAGTGGACATTTGGAGCGCTTTCAGGCCTATGTTGAAAAAGGAAATATCTTCCCATAACAACTAGACACAAGCATTCTCAGAAACTTATTTGAGATGTGTGTACTCAACTAAGAGAATTGAACCACCGTTTTGAAGGAGCAGTTTTGAAACTCTCTTTTTCTGGAATCTGCAAGTGGATATTTGGCTAGCTTTGGGGATTTCGCTGGAAGCGGGAATACATATAAAAAGCACACAGCAGCGTTCTGAGAAACTGCTTTCTGATGTTTGCATTCAAGTCAAAAGTTGAACACTCCCTTTCATAGAGCAGTCTTGAAACACCCCTTTTGTAGTATCTGGAACTGGACTTTTGGAGCGATTTCAGGGCTAAGGTGAAAAAGGAAATATCTTCCCATAAAAACTGGACAGAAGCATTCTCAGAAACTTGGTTATGCTGTATCTACTCAACTAACAAAGTTGAACCTTTCTTTTGATAGAGCAGTTTTGAAATGGTCTTTTTGTGGAATCTGCAAGTGGATATTTGGCTAGTTTTGAGGATTTCGTTGGAAGCGGGAATTCATACAAATTGCAGACTGCAGCGTTCTGAGAAACATCTTTGTGATGTTTGTATTCAGGACAGAGAGTTGAACATTCCCTATCATAGAGCAGGTTGGAATCACTCCTTTTGTAGTATCTGGAAGTGGACATTTGGAGCGCTTTCAGGCCTATGTTGAAAAAGGAAATATCTTCCCATAACAACTAGACACAAGCATTCTCAGAAACTTGTTTGTGATGTGTGCCCTCTACTGACAGAGTTGAACCTTTCTTTTCATAGAGCAGTTTTGAAACACTCTTTTTGTAGAATCCGCAAGAGGATATTTGCATCGCTTTGAGGATTTCGTGGGAAACGGGATTGTCTTCAGGTAAAATCTAGACAGAAGCATTCTCAGAAACTTCTTTGGGATGTTTGCATTCAAGTCACAGAGTAGAACATTCCCTTTGGTAGAGCAGGTTTGAAACACTCTTTTTGTAGTATCTGGAAGTGGACATTTGGAGCGCTTTCAGGCCCATGTTGGAAAAGGAAATATCTTCCCGTAACAACTAGGCAGAAGCATTCTCAGAAACTTATTTGAGATGTGTGTACTCAACTAAGAGAATTGAACCACCGTTTTGAAGGAGCAGTTTTGAAACACTCTTTTTCTGGAATCTGCAAGAGTATATTTGCCTAGCCTTGAGGATTTCGTTGGAAACGGGATTGTCTTCAGAGAAAATCTAGACAGAAGCATTCTCAGAAACTTCTTTGGGATGTTTGCATTCAAGTCACAGAGTAGAACATTCCCTTTGGTAGAGCAGGTTTGAAACACTCTTTTTTTAGTATATGGAAGTGGACATTTGGAGCGCTTTCAGGCCTACGTTGGAAAAGGAAATATCTTCCCATAACAACTAGACAGAAGCATTCTCAGAAACTAGTTTCTGATGTGTGTCCTCAACTAACACAGTTGAACATTTCTTTAGACAGAACAGTTTTGAAACTCTCTTTTTGTGGAATCTGCAAGTGGCTATTTGGCTAGATTTGAGGATTTCGTTGGAAACGGGATTACATATAAAAAGCAGACAGCAGCATTCTCAGAAAGTTCTTTGTGATGATTGCATTCAAGTCACAGAATTGAACATTCCCTTTCACAGAGCAGGTTTGAAACACTCTTTTTGTAGTGTGTGTAAGTGGACATTTGGAGCACTTACCGGCCTAAGGTGAGAAAGGAAATATCTTCCCATAAAAACTAGACAGAAGCATTCTCAGAAACTTACTCGTGATGTGTGTCCTCAACTAAAGGAGTAGAACCTTTCTTTCATAGAGAAGTTTTGAAACGCTCTTTTTGTGGAATCTGCAAGTGGATATTTGGCTAGTTTGGAGGATTTCGTTGGAAGCGGGAATTCATACAAATTGCAGACTGCAGCGTTCTGAGAAACATCTTTGTGATGTTTGTATTCAGGACACAGAGTTGAACATTCCCTATCATAGAGCAGGTTTGAATCACTCCTTTTGTAGTATCTGGAAGTGGACATTTGGAGCGCTTTCAGGCCTATGTTGGAAAAGGAAATATCTTCCCATAACAACTAGACAGAAGCATTCTCAGAAACTTATTTGAGATGTGTGTACTCAACTAAGAGAATTGAACCACCGTTTTGAAGGAGCAGTTTTGAAACTCTCTTTTTCTGGAATCTGCAAGTGGATATTTGGCTAGCTTTGGGGATTTCGCTGGAAGCGGGAATACATATAAAAAGCACACAGCAGCGTTCTGAGAAACTGCTTTCTGATGTTTGCATTCAAGTCAAAAGTTGAACACTCCCTTTCATAGAGCAGTCTTGAAACACCCCTTTTGTAGTATCTGGAACTGGACTTTTGGAGCGATTTCAGGGCTAAGGTGAAAAAGGAAATATCTTCCCATAAAAACTGGACAGAAGCATTCTCAGAAACTTGTTTATGCTGTATCTACTCAACTAACAAAGTTGAACCTTTCTTTTGATAGAGCAGTTTTGAAATGGTCTTTTTGTGGAATCTGCAAGTGGATATTTGGCTAGTTTTGAGGATTTCGTTGGAAGCGGGAATTCATACAAATTGCAGACTGCAGCATTCTGAGAAACATCTTTGTGATGTTTGTATTCAGGACACAGAGATGAACATTCCCTATCATAGAGCAGGTTGGAATCACTCCTTTTGTAGTATGTGGAAGAGGACATTTGGAGCGCTTTCAGGCCTATGTTGAAAAAGGAAATATCTTCCCATAACAACTAGACACAAGCATTCTCAGAAAGTTGTTTGTGATGTGTGCCCTCTACTGACAGAGTTGAACCTTTCTTTTCATAGAGCAGTTTTGAAACACTCTTTTTGTAGAATCCGCAAGAGGATATTTGCATAGCTTTGAGGATTTCGTGGGAAACGGGATTGTCTTCAGGTAAAATCTAGACAGAAGCATTCTCAGAAACTTCTTTGGGATGTTTGCATTCAAGTCACAGAGTAGAACATTCCCTTTGGTAGAGCAGGTTTGAAACACTCTTTTTGTAGTATCTGGAAGTGGACATTTGGAGCGCTTTCAGGCCCATGTTGGAAAGGGAAATATCTTCCCGTAACAACTAGGCAGAAGCATTCTCAGAAACTTATTTGAGATGTGTGTATTCAACTAAGCAGAATTGAACCACCGTTTTGAAGGAGCAGTTTTGAAACACTCTTTTTCTGGAATCTGAAAGAGGATATTTGCCTAGCCTTGAGGATTTCGTTGGAAACGGGATTGTCTTC
Source organism: Homo sapiens (assembly GCF_000001405.40). Classification (NCBI taxonomy): domain Eukaryota; kingdom Metazoa; phylum Chordata; class Mammalia; order Primates; family Hominidae; genus Homo; species Homo sapiens. The sequence continues at coordinate 20,013,706 of NC_000018.10, forward strand.
AGATCAAATCTATACAGAAGCATTCTCAGAAACTTCTTTGGGATGTTTGCATTCAAGTCACAGAGTAGAACATTCCCTTTGGTAGAGCAGGTTTGAAACACTCTTTTTTTAGTATATGGAAGTGGACATTTGGAGCGCTTTCAGGCCTACGTTGGAAAAGGAAATATCTTCCCATAACAACTAGACAGAAGCATTCTCAGAAACTAGTTTCTGATGTGTGTCCTCAACTAACACAGTTGAACATTTCTTTAGACAGAACAGTTTTGAAACACTCTTTTTGTGGAATCTGCAAGTGGCTATTTGGCTAGATTTGAGGATTTCGTTGGAAACGGGATTACATATAAAAAGCAGTCAGCAGAATTCTCAGAAAGTTCTTTTTGATGATTGCATTCAAGTCACAGAATTGAACATTCCCTTTCACAGAGCAGGTTTGAAACACTCTTTTTGTAGTGTGTGTAAGTGGACATTTGGAGCGCTTTCCGGCCTAAGGTGAAAAAGGAAATATCTTCCCATAAAAACTAGACAGAAGCACTCTCAGAAACTTACTCGTGATGTGTGTCCTCAACTAAAGGAGTAGAACCTTTCTTTTCATAGAGAAGTTTTGAAACGCTCTTTTTGTGGAATCTGCAAGTGGATATTTGGCTAGTTTGGAGGATTTCGTTGGAAGCGGGAATTCATACAAATTGCAGACTGCAGCGTTCTGAGAAACATCTTTGTGATGTTTGTATTCAGGACACAGAGTTGAACATTCCCTATCATAGAGCAGGTTTGAATCACTCCTTTTGTAGTATCTGGAAGTGGACATTTGGAGCGCTTTCAGGCCTATGTTGGAAAAGGAAATATCTTCCCATAACAACTAGACAGAAGCATTCTCAGAAACTTATTTGAGATGTGTGTACTCAACTAAGAGAATTGAACCACCGTTTTGAAGGAGCAGTTTTGAAACACTCTTTTTCTGGAATCTGCAAGTGGATATTTGGCTAGCTTTGGGGATTTCGCTGGAGGCGGGAATACATATAAAAAGCACACAGCAGCGTTCTGAGAAACTGCTTTCTGATGTTTGCATTCAAGTCAAAAGTTGAACACTCCCTTTCATAGAGCAGTCCTGAAACACTCCTTTTGTAGTATCTGGAACTGGACTTTTGGAGCGCTTTCAGGGCTAAGGTGAAAAAGGAAATATCTTCCCATAAAAACTGGACAGAAGCATTCTCAGAAACTTGTTTATGCTGTATCTACTCAACTAACAAAGTTGAACCTTTCTTTTGATAGAGCAGTTTTGAAATGGTCTTTTTGTGGAATCTGCAAGTGGATATTTGGCTAGTTTTGAGGATTTCGTTGGAAGCGGGAATTCATACAAATTGCAGACTGCAGCGTTCTGAGAAACATCTTTGTGATGTTTGTATTCAGGACACAGAGTTGAACATTCCCTATCATAGAGCAGGTTGGAATCACTCCTTTTGTAGTATCTGGAAGTGGACATTTGGAGCGCTTTCAGGCCTACGTTGGAAAAGGAAATATCTTCCCATAACAACTAGACAGAAGCATTCTCAGAAACTTGTTTGTGATGTGTGCCCTCTACTGACAGAGTTGAACCTTTCTTTTCATAGAGCAGTTTTGAAACACTCTTTTTGTAGAATCTGCAAGAGGATATTTGCATAGCTTTGAGGATTTCGTGGGAAACGGGATTGTCTTCAGGTAAAATCTAGACAGAAGCATTCTCAGAAACTTCTTTGGGATGTTTGCATTCAAGTCACAGAGTAGAACATTCCCTTTGGTAGAGCAGGTTTGAAACACTCTTTTTGTAGTATCTGGAAGTGGACATTTGGAGCGCTTTCAGGCCCATGTTGGAAAGGGAAATATCTTCCCGTAACAACTAGGCAGAAGCATTCTCAGAAACTTATTTGAGATGTGTGTACTCAACTAAGAGAATTGAACCACCGTTTTGAAGGAGCAGTTTTGAAACACTCTTTTTCTGGAATCTGCAAGAGGATATTTGCCTAGCCTTGAGGATTTCGTTGGAAACGGGATTGTCTTCAGAGAAAATCTAGACAGAAGCATTCTCAGAAACTTCTTTGGGATGTTTGCATTCAAGTCACAGAGTAGAACATTCCCTTTGGTAGAGCAGGTTTGAAACACTCTTTTTGTAGTGTGTGTAAGTGGACATTTGGAGCGCTTTCTGGCCTACGTTGGAAAAGGAAATATCTTCCCATAACAACTAGACAGAAGCATTCTCAGAAACTAGTTTCTGATGTGTGTCCTCAACTAACACAGTTGAACTTTTCTTTAGACAGAACAGTTTTGAAACACTCTTTTTGTGGAATCTGCAAGTGGATATTTGGCTAGATTTGAGGATTTCGTTGGAAACGGGATTACATATAAAAAGCAGACAGCAGCATTCTCAGAAACTTCTTTGTGATGATTGCATTCAAGTCACAGAATTGAACATTCCCTTTCACAGAGCAGGTTTGAAACACTCTTTTTGTAGTGTGTGTAAGTGGACATTTGGAGCGCTTTCCGGCCTAAGGTGAACAAGGAAATATCTTCCCATAAAAACTAGACAGAAGCATTCTCAGAAACTTACTCGTGATGTGTGTCCTCAACTAAAGGAGTAGAACCTTTCTTTTCATAGAGAAGTTTTGAAACGCTCTTTTTGTGGAATCTGCAAGTGGATATTTGGCTAGTTTGGAGGATTTCGTTGGAAGCGGGAATTCATACAAATTGCAGACTGCAGCGTTCTGAGAAACATCTTTGTGATGTTTGTATTCAGGACACAGAGTTGAACATTCCCTATCATAGAGCAGGTTTGAATCACTCCTTTTGTAGTATCTGGAAGTGGACATTTGGAGCGCTTTCAGGCCTATGTTGGAAAAGGAAATATCTTCCCATAACAACTAGACAGAAGCATTCTCAGAAACTTATTTGAGATGTGTGTACTCAACTAAGAGAATTGAACCACCGTTTTGAAGGAGCAGTTTTGAAACACTCTTTTTCTGGAATCTGCAAGTGGCTATTTGGCTAGCTTTGGGGATTTCGCTGGAAGCGGGAATACATATAAAAAGCACACAGCAGCGTTCTGAGAAACTGCTTTCTGATGTTTGCATTCAAGTCAAAAGTTGAACACTCCCTTTCATAGAGCAGTCCTGAAACACTCCTTTTGTAGTATCTGGAACTGGACTTTTGGAGCGCTTTCAGGGCTAAGGTGAAAAAGGAAATATCTTCCCATAAAAACTGGACAGAAGCATTCTCAGAAACTTGGTTATGCTGTATCTACTCAACTAACAAAGTTGAACCTTTCTTTTGATAGAGCAGTTTTGAAATGGTCTTTTTGTGGAATCTGCAAGTGGATATTTGGCTAGTTTTGAGGATTTCGTTGGAAGCGGGAATTCATACAAATTGCAGACTGCAGCGTTCTGAGAAACATCTTTGTGATGTTTGTATTCAGGACACAGAGTTGAACATTCCCTATCATAGAGCAGGTTGGAATCACTCCTTTTGTAGTATCTGGAAGTGGACATTTGGAGCGCTTTCAGGCCTATTTTGGAAAGGGAAATATCTTCCCGTAACAACTATGCAGAAGCATTCTCAGAAACTTGTTTGTGATGTGTGCCCTCTACTGACAGAGTTGAACCTTTCTTTTCATAGAGCAGTTTTGAAACACTCTTTTTGTAGAATCCGCAAGAGGATATTTGCATAGCTTTGAGGATTTCGTGGGAAACGGGATTGTCTTCAGGTAAAATCTAGACAGAAGCATTCTCAGAAACTTCTTTGGGATGTTTGCATTCAAGTCACAGAGTAGAACATTCCCTTTGGTAGAGCAGGTTTGAAACACTCTTTTTGTAGTATCTGGAAGTGGACATTTGGAGCGCTTTCAGGCCTATGTTGGAAAGGGAAATATCTTCCCGTAACAACTAGGCAGAAGCATTCTCAGAAACTTATTTGAGATGTGTGTACTCAACTAAGAGAATTGAACCACCGTTTTGAAGGAGCAGTTTTGAAACACTCTTTTTCTGGAATCTGCAAGAGTATATTTGCCTAGCCTTGAGGATTTCGTTGGAAACGGGATTGTCTTCAGATCAAATCTAGACAGAAGCATTCTCAGAAACTTCTTTGGGATGTTTGCATTCAAGTCACAGAGTAGAACATTCCCTTTGGTAGAGCAGGTTTGAAACACTCTTTTTTTAGTATATGGAAGTGGACATTTTGATCGCTTTCAGGCTTACGTTGGAAAAGGAAATATCTTCCCATAACAACTAGACAGAAGCATTCTCAGAAACTAGTTTCTGATGTGTGTCCTCAACTAACACAGTTGAACATTTCTTTAGACAGAACAGTTTTGAAACACTCTTTTTGTGGAATCTGCAAGTGGCTATTTGGCTAGATTTGAGGATTTCGTTGGAAACGGGATTACATATAAAAAGCAGTCAGCAGCAGTCTCAGAAAGTTCTTTTTGATGATTGCATTTAAGTCACAGAATTGAACATTCCCTTTCACAGAGCAGGTTTGAAACACTCTTTTTGTAGTGTGTGTAAGTGGACATTTGGAGCGCTTTCCGGCCTAAGGTGAAAAAGGAAATATCTTCCCATAAAAACTAGACAGAAGCATTCTCAGAAACTTACTCGTGATGTGTGTCCTCAACTAAAGGTGTAGAACCTTTCTTTTCATAGAGAAGTTTTGAAACTCTCTTTTTGTGGAATCTGCAAGTGGATATTTGGCTAGTTTTGATGATTTCGTTGGAAGCGGGAATTCATACAAATTGCAGACTGCAGCGTTCTGAGAAACATCTTTGTGATGTTTGTATTCAGGACACAGAGTTGAACATTCCCTATCATAGAGCAGGTTGGAATCACTCCTTTTGTAGTATCTGGAAGTGGACATTTGGAGCGCTTTCAGGCCTATGTTGGAAAAGGAAATATCTTCCCATAACAACTAGACAGAAACATTCTCAGAAACTTATTTGAGATGTGTGTACTCAACTAAGAGAATTGAACCACCGTTTTGAAGGAGCAGTTTTGAAACACTCTTTTTCTGGAATCTGTAAGTGGATATTTGGCTAGATTTGGGGATTTCGCTGGAAGCGGGAATACATATAAAAAGCACACAGCAGCGTTCTGAGAAAACTGCTTTCTGATGTTTGCATTCAAGTCAAAAGTTGAACACTCCCTTTCATAGGGCAGTCCTGAAACACCCCTTTTGTAGTATCTGGAACTGGACTTTTGGAGCGATTTCAGGGCTAAGGTGAAAAAGGAAATATCTTCCCATAAAAACTGGACAGAAGCATTCTCAGAAACTTGTTTATGCTGTATCTACTCAACTAACTAAGTTGAACCTTTCTTTTGATAGAGCAGTTTTGAAATGCTCTTTTTGTGGAATCTGCAAGTGGATATTTGGCTAGTTTTGAGGATTTCGTTGGAAGCGGGAATTCATACAAATTGCAGACTGCAGCGTTCTGAGAAACATCTTTGTGATGTTTGTATTCAGGACACAGAGTTGAACATTCCCTATCATAGAGCAGGTTGGGATCACTCCTTTTGTAGTATCTGGAAGTGGACATTTGGAGCGCTTTCAGGCCTATGTTGAAAAAGGAAAAATCTTCCCATAACAACTAGACAGAAGCATTCTCAGAAACTTGTTGGTGATGTGTTTCCTCTACTGACAGAGTTGAACCTTTCTTTTCATAGAGCAGTTTCGAAACACTCTTTTTGTAGAATCTGCAAGAGGATATTTGCATAGCTCTGAGGATTTCGTGGGAAACGGGATTGTCTTCAGGTAAAATCTAGACAGAAGCATTCTCAGAAACTTCTTTGGGATGTTTGCATTCAAGTCACAGAGTAGAACATTCCCTTTGGTAGAGCAGGTTTGAAACACTCTTTTTGTAGTATCTGGAAGTGGACATTTGGAGCGCTTTCAGGCCTATGTTGGAAAGGGAAATATCTTCCCGTAACAACTAGGCAGAAGCATTCTCAGAAACTTATTTGAGATGTGTGTACTCAACTAAGAGAATTGAACCACCGTTTTGAAGGAGCAGTTTTGAAACACTCTTTTTCTGGAATCTGCAAGAGTATATTTGCCTAGCCTTGAGGATTTCGTTGGAAACGGGATTGTCTTCAGATAAAATCTAGACAGAAGCATTCTCAGAAACTTCTTTGGGATGCTTGCATTCAAGTCACAGAGTAGAACATTCCCTTTGGTAGAGCAGGTTTGAAACACTCTTTTTGTAGTATCTGGAAGTGGACATTTGGAGCGCTTTCAGGCCTACGTTGGAAAAGGAAATATCTTCCCATAACAACTAGACAGAAGCATTCTCAGAAACTAGTTTCTGATGTGTGTCCTCAACTAACACAGTTGAACATTTCTTTAGACAGAACAGTTTTGAAACACTCTTTTTGTGGAATCTGCAAGTGGCTATTTGGCTAGATTTGAGGATTTCGTTGGAAACGGGATTACATATAAAAAGCAGTCAGCAGCATTCTCAGAAAGTTCTTTGTGATGATTGCATTCAAGTCACAGAATTGAACATTCCCTTTCACAGAGCAGGTTTGAAACACTCTTTTTATAGTGTGTGTAAGTGGACATTTGGAGCACTTTCCGGCCTAAGGTGAAAAAGGAAATATCTTCCCATAAAAACTAGACAGAAGCATTCTCAGAAACTTACTCGTGATGTGTGTACTCAACTAAAGGAGTAGAACCTTTCTTTTCATAGAGAAGTTTTGAAACGCTCTTTTTGTGGAATCTGCAAGTGGATATTTGGCTAGTTTTGAGGATTTCGTTGGAAGCGGGAATTCATACAAATTGCAGACTACAGCGTTCTGAGAAACATCTTTGTGATGTTTGTATTCAGGACACAGAGTTGAACATTCCCTATCATAGAGCAGGTTTGAATCACTCCTTTTGTAGTATCTGGAAGTGGACATTTGGAGCGCTTTCAGGCCTATGTTGGAAAAGGAAATATCTTCCCATAACAAATAGACAGAAGCATTCTCAGAAACTTATTTGAGATGTGTGTACTCAACTAAGAGAATTGAACCACCGTTTTGAAGGAGCAGTTTTGAAACACTCTTTTTCTGGAATCTGCAATTGGATATTTGGCTAGCTTTGGGGATTTCGCTGGAAGCGGGAATACATATAAAAAGCACACAGCAGCGTTCTGAGAAACTTCTTTCTGATGTTCGCATTCAAGTCAAAAGTTGAACACTCCCTTTCATAGAGCAGTCTTGAAACTCCCCTTTTGTGGTATCTGGAAGTGGACATTTGGAGTGCTTTCAGGGCTAAGGTGAAAAAGGAAATATCTTCCCATAAAAACTGGACAGAAGCATTCTCAGAAACTTGTTTATGCTGTATCTACTCAACTAACAAAGTTGAACCTTTCTTTTGATAGAGCAGTTTTGAAATGCTCTTTTTGTGGAATCTACAAGTGGATATTTGGCTAGGTTTGAGGATTTCGTTGGAAGCGGGAATTCATACAAATTGCAGACTGCAGCGTTCTGAGAAACATCTTTGTGATGTTTGTATTCAGGACAGAGAGTTGAACATTCCCTATCATAGAGCAGGTTGGAATCACTCCTTTTGTAGTATCTGGAAGTGGACATTTGGAGCGCTTTCTGGCCTATGTTGAAAAAGGAAATATCTTCCCATAACAACTAGACACAAGCATTCTCAGAAACTTGTTTGTGATGTGTGCCCTCTACTGACAGAGTTGAACCTTTCTTTTCATAGAGCAGTTTTGAAACACTCTTTTTGTAGAATCTGCAAGAGGATATTTGCATAGCTTTGAGGATTTCGTGGGAAACGGGATTGTCTTCAGGTAAAATCTAGACAGAAGCATTCTCAGAAACTTTTTTGGGATGTTTGCATTCAAGTCACAGAGTAGAACATTCCCTTTGGTAGAGCAGGTTTGAAACACTCTTTTTGTAGTATCTGGAAGTGGACATTTGGAGCACTATCAGGCCCATGTTGGAAAGGGAAATATCTTCCCGTAACAACTAGGCAGAAGCATTCTCAGAAACTTATTTGAGATGTGTGTACTCAACTAAGAGAATTGAACCACCGTTTTGAAGGTGCAGTTTTGAAACACTCTTTTTCTGGAATCTGCAAGAGTATATTTGCCTAGCCTTGAGGATTTCGTTGGAAACGGGATTGTCTTCAGATAAAATCTAGACAGAAGCATTCTCAGAAACTTCTTTGGGATGTTTGCATTCAAGTCACAGAGTAGAACATTCCCTTTGGTAGAGCAGGTTTGAAACACTCTTTTTGTAGTATCTGGAAGTGGACATTTGGAGCGCTTTCAGGCCTACGTTGGAAAAGGAAATATCTTCCCATAACAACTAGACAGAAGCATTCTCAGAAACTAGTTTCTGATGTGTGTCCTCAACTAACACAGTTGAACATTTCTTTAGACAGAACAGTTTTGAAACACTCTTTTTGTGGAATCTGCAAGTGGCTATTTGGCTAGATTTGAGGATTTCGTTGGAAACGGGATTACATATAAAAAGCAGACAGCAGCATTCTCAGAAAGTTCTTTGTGATGATTGCATTCAAGTCACAGAATTGAACATTCCCTTTCACAGAGCAGGTTTGAAACACTCTTTTTGTAGTGTGTGTAAGTGGACATTTGGAGCACTTACCGGCCTAAGGTGAAAAAGGAAATATCTTCCCATAAAAACTAGACAGAAGCATTCTCAGAAACTTACTCGTGATGTGTGTCCTCAACTAAAGGAGTAGAACCTTTCTTTTCATAGAGAAGTTTTGAAACGCTCTTTTTGTGGAATCTGCAAGTGGATATTTGGCTAGTTTTGAGGATTTCGTTGGAAGCGGGAATTCATACAAATTGCAGACTGCAGCGTTCTGAGAAACATCTTTGTGATGTTTGTATTCAGGACACAGAGTTGAACATTCCCTATCATAGAGCAGGTTGGAATCACTCCTTTTGTAGTATCTGGAAGTGGACATTTGGAGCGCTTTCAGGCCTATGTTGGAAAAGGAAATATCTTCCCATAACAACTAGACAGAAGCATTCTCAGAAACTTATTTGAGATGTGTGTACTCAACTAAGAGAATTGAACCACCGTTTTGAAGGAGCAGTTTTGAAACACTCTTTTTCTGGAATCTGCAAGTGGATATTTGGCTAGCTTTGGGGATTTCGCTGGAAGCGGGAATACATATAAAAAGCACACAGCAGCGTTCTGAGAAACTGCTTTCTGATGTTTGCATTCAAGTCAAAAGTTGAACACTCCCTTTCATAGAGCAGTCTTGAAACACCCCTTTTGTAGTATCTGGAACTGGACTTTTGGAGCGATTTCAGGGCTAAGGTGAAAAAGGAAATATCTTCCCATAAAAACTGGACAGAAGCATTCTCAGAAACTTGGTTATGCTGTATCTACTCAACTAACAAAGTTGAACCTTTCTTTTGATAGAGCAGTTTTGAAATGGTCTTTTTGTGGAATCTGCAAGTGGATATTTGGCTAGTTTTGAGGATTTCGTTGGAAGCGGGAATTCATACAAATTGCAGACTGCAGCGTTCTGAGAAACATCTTTGTGATGTTTGTATTCAGGACACAGAGTTGAACATTCCCTATCATAGAGCAGGTTGGAATCACTCCTTTTGTAGTATCTGGAAGTGGACATTTGGAGCGCTTTCAGGCCTATTTTGGAAAGGGAAATATCTTCCCGTAACAACTATGCAGAAGCATTCTCAGAAACTTGTTTGTGATGTGTGCCCTCTACTGACAGAGTTGAACCTTTCTTTTCATAGAGCAGTTTTGAAACACTCTTTTTGTAGAATCTGCAAGAGGATATTTGCATAGCTTTGAGGATTTCGTGGGAAACGGGATTGTCTTCAGGTAAAATCTAGACAGAAGCATTCTCAGAAACTTCTTTGGGATGTTTGCATTCAAGTCACAGAGTAGAACATTCCCTTTGGTAGAGCAGGTTTGAAACACTCTTTTTGTAGTATCTGGAAGTGGACATTTGGAGCGCTTTCAGGCCCATGTTGGAAAGGGAAATATCTTCCCGTAACAACTAGGCAGAAGCATTCTCAGAAACTTATTTGAGATGTGTGTACTCAACTAAGAGAATTGAACCACCGTTTTGAAGGAGCAGTTTTGAAACACTCTTTTTCTGGAATCTGCAAGAGTATATTTGCCTAGCCTTGAGGATTTCGTTGGAAACGGGATTGTCTTCAGAGAAAATCTAGACAGAAGCATTCTCAGAAACTTCTTTGGGATGTTTGCATTCAAGTCACAGAGTAGAACATTCCCTTTGGTAGAGCAGGTTTGAAACACTCTTTTTTTAGTATATGGAAGTGGACATTTGGAGCGCTTTCAGGCCTACGTTGGAAAAGGAAATATCTTCCCATAACAACTAGACAGAAGCATTCTCAGAAACTAGTTTCTGATGTGTGTCCTCAACTAACACAGTTGTACATTTCTTTAGACAGAACAGTTTTGAAACACTCTTTTTGTGGAATCTGCAAGTGGATATTGGGCTAGATTTGAGGATTTCGTTGGAAACGGGATTACATATAAAAAGCAGTCAGCAGCATTCTCAGAAAGTTCTTTGTGATGATTGCATTCAAGTCACAGAATTGAACATTCCCTTTCACAGAGCAGGTTTGAAACACTCTTTTTGTAGTGTGTGTAAGTGGACATTTGGAGCGCTTTCCGGCCTAAGGTGAAAAAGGAAATATCTTCCCATAAAAACTAGGCAGAAGCATTCTCAGAAACTTACTCGTGATGTGTGTCCTCAACTAAAGGAGTAGAACCTTTCTTTTCATAGAGAAGTTTTGAAACGCTCTTTTTGTGGAATCTGCAAGTGGATATTTGGCTAGTTTGGAGGATTTCGTTGGAAGCGGGAATTCATACAAATTGCAGACTGCAGCGTTCTGAGAAACATCTTTGTGATGTTTGTATTCAGGACACAGAGTTGAACATTCCCTATCATAGAGCAGGTTTGAATCACTCCTTTTGTAGTATCTGGAAGTGGACATTTGGAGCGCTTTCAGGCCTATGTTGGAAAAGGAAATATCTTCCCATAACAACTAGACAGAAGCATTCTCAGAAACTTATTTGAGATGTGTGTACTCAACTAAGAGAATTGAACCACCGTTTTGAAGGAGCAGTTTTGAAACTCTCTTTTTCTGGAATCTGCAAGTGGATATTTGGCTAGCTTTGGGGATTTCGCTGGAAGCGGGAATACATATAAAAAGCACACAGCAGCGTTCTGAGAAACTGCTTTCTGATGTTTGCATTCAAGTCAAAAGTTGAACACTCCCTTTCATAGAGCAGTCTTGAAACACCCCTTTTGTAGTATCTGGAACTGGACTTTTGGAGCGATTTCAGGGCTAAGGTGAAAAAGGAAATATCTTCCCATAAAAACTGGACAGAAGCATTCTCAGAAACTTGGTTATGCTGTATCTACTCAACTAACAAAGTTGAACCTTTCTTTTGATAGAGCAGTTTTGAAATGGTCTTTTTGTGGAATCTGCAAGTGGATATTTGGCTAGTTTTGAGGATTTCGTTGGAAGCGGGAATTCATACAAATTGCAGACTGCAGCGTTCTGAGAAACATCTTTGTGATGTTTGTATTCAGGACACAGAGTTGAACATTCCCTATCATAGAGCAGGTTGGAATCACTCCTTTTGTAGTATCTGGAAGTGGACATTTGGAGCGCTTTCAGGCCTATTTTGGAAAGGGAAATATCTTCCCGTAACAACTATGCAGAAGCATTCTCAGAAACTTGTTTGTGATGTGTGCCCTCTACTGACAGAGTTGAACCTTTCTTTTCTTAGAGCAGTTTTGAAACACTCTTTTTGTAGAATCTGCAAGAGGATATTTGCATAGCTTTGAGGATTTCGTGGGAAACGGGATTGTCTTCAGGTAAAATCTAGACAGAAGCATTCTCAGAAACTTCTTTGGGATGTTTGCATTCAAGATACAGAGTAGAACATTCCCTTTGGTAGAGCAGGTTTGAAACCCTCTTTTTGTAGTATCTGGAAGTGGACATTTGGAGCGCTTTCAGGCCCATGTTGGAAAGGGAAATATCTTCCCGTAACAACTAGGCAGAAGCATTCTCAGAAACTTATTTGAGATGTGTGTACTCAACTAAGAGAATTGAACCACCGTTTTGAAGGAGCAGTTTTGAAACACTCTTTTTCTGGAATCTGCAAGAGTATATTTGCCTAGCCTTGAGGATTTCGTTGGAAACGGGATTGTCTTCAGAGAAAATCTAGACAGAAGCATTCTCAGAAACTTCTTTGGGATGTTTGCATTCAAGTCACAGAGTAGAACATTCCCTTTGGTAGAGCAGGTTTGAAACACTCTTTTTTTAGTATATGGAAGTGGACATTTGGATCGCTTTCAGGCCTACGTTGGAAAAGGAAATATCTTCCCATAACAACTAGACAGAAGCATTCTCAGAAACTAGTTTCTGATGTGTGTCCTCAACTAACACAGTTGAACATTTCTTTAGACAGAACAGTTTTGAAACACTCTTTTTGTGGAATCTGCAAGTGGCTATTTGGCTAGATTTGAGGATTTCGTTGGAAACGGGATTACATATAAAAAGCAGACAGCAGCATTCTCAGAACGTTCTTTGTGATGATTGCATTCAAGTCACAGAATTGAACATTCCCTTTCACAGAGCAGGTTTGAAACACTCTTTTTGTAGTGTGTGTAAGTGGACATTTGGAGCACTTTCCGGCCTAAGGTGAAAAAGGAAATATCTTCCCATAAAAACTAGACAGAAGCATTCTCAGAAACTTACTCGGTGATGTGTGTCCTCAACTAAAGGATTAGAACCTTTCTTTTCATAGAGAAGTTTTGAAACGCTCTTTTTGTGGAATCTGCAAGTGGATATTTGGCTAGTTTGGAGGATTTCGTTGGAAGCGGGAATTCATACAAATTGCAGACTGCAGCTTTCTGAGAAACATCTTTGTGATGTTTGTATTCAGGACACAGAGTTGAACATTCCCTATCATAGAGCAGGTTTGAATCACTCCTTTTGTAGTATCTGGAAGTGGACATTTGGAGCGCTTTCAAGCCTATGTTGGAAAAGGAAATATCTTCCCATAACAACTAGACAGAAGCATTCTCAGAAACTTATTTGAGATGTGTGTACTCAACTAAGAGAATTGAACCACCGTTTTGAAGGAGCAGTTTTGAAACACTCTTTTTCTGGAATCTGCAAGTGGATATTTGGCTAGCTTTGGGGATTTCGCTGGAAGCGGGAATACATATAAAAAGCACACAGCAGCGTTCTGAGAAACTGCTTTCTGATGTTTGCATTCAAGTCAAAAGTTGAACACTCCCTTTCATAGAGCAGTCTTGAAACACCCCTTTTGTAGTATCTGGAACTGGACTTTTGGAGCGATTTCAGGGCTAAGGTGAAAAAGGAAATATCTTCCCATAAAAACTGGACAGAAGCATTCTCAGAAACTTGTTTATGCTGTATCTACTCAACTAACAAAGTTGAACCTTTCTTTTGATAGAGCAGTTTTGAAATGGTCTTTTTGTGGAATCTGCAAGTGGATATTTGGCTAGTTTTGAGGATTTCGTTGGAAGCGGGAATTCATACAAATTGCAGACTGCAGCGTTCTGAGAAACATCTTTGTGATGTTTGTATTCAGGACACAGAGATGAACATTCCCTATCATAGAGCAGGTTGGAATCACTCCTTTTGTAGTATCTGGAAGTGGACATTTGGAGCGCTTTCAGGCCTATGTTGAAAAAGGAAATATCTTCCCATAACAACTAGACACAAGCATTCTCAGAAACTTGTTTGTGATGTGTGCCTTCTACTGACACAGTTGAACCTTTCTTTTCATAGAGCAGTTTCGAAACACTCTTTTTGTAGAATCTGTAAGAGGATATTTGCATAGCTTTGAGGATTTCGTAGGAAACGGGATTGTCTTCACGTAAAATCTAGACAGAAGCATTCTCAGAAACTTCTTTGGGATGTTTGCATTCAAGTCACAGAGCAGAACATTCCCTTTGGTAGAGCAGGTTTGAAACACTCTTTTTGTAGTATCTGGAAGTGGACATTTGGAGCGCTTTCAGGCCTATGTTGGAAAGGGAAATATCTTCCCGTAACAACTAGGCAGAAGCATTGTCAGAAACTTATTTGAGATGTGTGTACTCAACTAAGAGAATTGAACCACCGTTTTGAAGGAGCAGTTTTGAAACACTCTTTTTCTGGAATCTGCAAGAGTATATTTGCCTAGCCTTGAAGATTTCGTTGGAAACGGGATTGTCTTCAGATAAAATCTAGACAGAAGCATTCTCAGAAACTTCTTTGGGATGTTTGCATTCAAGTCACAGAGTAGAACATTCCCTTTGGTAGAGCAGGTTTGAAACACTCTTTTTTTAGTATATGGAAGTGGACATTTGGAGCGCTTTCAGGCCTACGTTGGAAAAGGAAATATCTTCCCATAACAACTAGACAGAAGCATTCTCAGAAACTGGTTTCTGATGTGTGTCCTCAACTAACACAGTTGAACTTTTCTTTAGACAGAACAGTTTTGAAACACTCTTTTTGTGGAATCTGCAAGTGGATATTGGGCTAGATTTGAGGATTTCGTTGGAAACGGGATTACATATAAAAAGCAGACAGCAGCATTCTCAGAAAGTTCTTTGTGATGATTGCATTCAAGTCACAGAATTGAACATTCCCTTTCATAGAGCAGGTTTGAAACACTCTTTTTGTAGTGTGTGTAAGTGGACATTTGGAGCGCTTTCCGGCCTAAGGTGAAAAAGGACATATCTTCCCATAAAAACTAGACAGAAGCATTCTCAGAAACTTACTCGTGATGTGTGTCCTCAACTAAAGGAGTAGAACCTTTCTATTCATAGAGAAGTTTTGAAACGCTCTTTTTGTGGAATCTCCAAGTGGATATTTGGCTAGTTTTGAGGATTTCGTTGGAAGCGGGAATTCATACAAATTGCAGACTGCAGCATTCTCAGAAACTTATTTGAGATGTGTCTACTCAACTAAGAGAATTGAACCACCGTTTTGAAGGAGCAGTTTTGAAACACTCTTTTTCTGGAATCTGCAAGTGGATATTTGGCTAGCTTTGGGGATTTCGCTGGAAGCGGGAATACATATAAAAAGCACACAGCAGCGTTCTGAGAAACTGCTTTCTGATGTTTGCATTCAAGTCAAAAGTTGAACACTCCCTTTCATAGAGCAGTCCTGAAACACCCCTTTTGTAGTATCTGGAACTGGACTTTTGGAGCGATTTCAGGGCTAAGGTGAAAAAGGAAATATCTTCCCATAAAAACTGGACAGAAGCATTCTCAGAAACTTGTTTATGCTGTATCTACTCAACTAACAAAGTTGAACCTTTCTTTTGATAGAGCAGTTTTGAAATGCTCTTTTTGTGGAATCTGCAAGTGGATATTTGGCTAGTTTTGAGGATTTCGTTGGAAGCGGGAATTCATACAAATTGCAGACTGCAGCGTTCTGAGAAACATCTTTGTGATGTTTGTATTCAGGACTGAGAGTTGAACATTCCCTATCATAGAGCAGGTTGGAATCACTCCTTTTGTAGTATCTGGAAGTGGACATTTGGAGCGCTTTCAGGCCTATGTTGAAAAAGGAAATATCTTCCCATAACAACTAGACACAAGCATTCTCAGAAACTTGTTTGTGATGTGTGCCCTCTACTGACAGAGTTGAACCTTTCTTTTCATAGAGCAGTTTTGAAACACTCTTTTTGTAGAATCTGCAAGAGGATATTTGCATAGCTTTGAGGATTTCGTGGGAAACGGGATTGTCTTCAGGTAAAATCTAGACAGAAGCATTCTCAGAAACTTCTTTGGGATGTTTGCATTCAAGTCACAGAGTAGAACATTCCCTTTGGTAGAGCAGGTTTGAAACCCTCTTTTTGTAGTATCTGGAAGTGGACATTTGGAGCACTATCAGGCCCATGTTGGAAAGGGAAATATCTTCCCGTAACAACTAGGCAGAAGCATTCTCAGAAACTTATTTGAGATGTGTGTACTCCACTAAGAGAATTGAACCACCGTTTTGAAGGAGCAGTTTTGAAACACTCTTTTTCTGGAATCTGCAAGAGTATATTTGCCTAGCCTTGAAGATTTCGTTGGAAACGGGATTGTCTTCAGATAAAATCTAGACAGAAGCATTCTCAGAAACTTCTTTGGGATGTTTGCATTCAAGTCACAGAGTAGAACATTCCCTTTGGTAGAGCAGGTTTGAAACACTCTTTTTTTAGTATATGGAAGTGGACATTTGGAGCGCTTTCAGGCCTACGTTGGAAAAGGAAATATCTTCCCATAACAACTAGACAGAAGCATTCCCAGAAACTAGTTTCTGATGTGTGTCCTCAACTAACACAGTTGTACATTTCTTTAGACAGAACAGTTTTGAAACACTCTTTTTGTGGAATCTGCAAGTGGATATTGGGCTAGATTTGAGGATTTCGTTGGAAACGGGATTACATATAAAAAGCAGTCAGCAGCATTCTCAGAAAGTTCTTTGTGATGATTGCATTCAAGTCACAGAATTGAACATTCCCTTTCACAGAGCAGGTTTGAAACACTCTTTTTGTAGTGTGTGTAAGTGGACATTTGGAGCGCTTTCCGGCCTAAGGTGAAAAAGGACATATCTTCCCATAAAAACTAGACAGAAGCATTCTCAGAAACTTACTCGTGATGTGTGTCCTCAACTAAAGGAGTAGAACCTTTCTATTCATAGAGAAGTTTTGAAACGCTCTTTTTGTGGAATCTCCAAGTGGATATTTGGCTAGTGTTGAGGATTTCGTTGGAAGCGGGAATTCATACAAATTGCAGACTGCAGCGTTCTGAGAAACATCTTTGTGATGTTTGTATTCAGGACACAGAGTTGAACATTCCCTATCATAGAGCAGGTTTGAATCACTCCTTTTGTAGTATCTGGAAGTGGACATTTGGAGCGCTTTCAGGCCTATGTTGGAAAAGGAAATATCTTCCCATAACAACTAGACAGAAGCATTCTCAGAAACTTATTTGAGATGTGTGTACTCAACTAAGAGAATTGAACCACCGTTTTGAAGGAGCAGTTTTGAAACTCTCTTTTTCTGGAATCTGCAAGTGGATATTTGGCTAGCTTTGGGGATTTCGCTGGAAGCGGGAATACATATAAAAAGCACACAGCAGCGTTCTGAGAAACTGCTTTCTGATGTTTGCATTCAAGTCAAAAGTTGAACACTCCCTTTCATAGAGCAGTCTTGAAACACCCCTTTTGTAGTATCTGGAACTGGACTTTTGGAGCGATTTCAGGGCTAAGGTGAAAAAGGAAATATCTTCCCATAAAAACTGGACAGAAGCATTCTCAGAAACTTGTTTATGCTGTATCTACTCAACTAACAAAGTTGAACCTTTCTTTTGATAGAGCAGTTTTGAAATGGTCTTTTTGTGGAATCTGCAAGTGGATATTTGGCTAGTTTTGAGGATTTCGTTGGAAGCGGGAATTCATACAAATTGCAGACTGCAGCGTTCTGAGGAAACATCTTTGTGATGTTTGTATTCAGGACACAGAGTTGAACATTCCCTATCATAGAGCAGGTTGGAATCACTCCTTTTGTAGTATCTGGAAGTGGCCATTTCGAGCGCTTTCAGGCCTATGTTGAAAAAGGAAATATCTTCCCATAACAAGTAGACACAAGCATTCTCAGAAACTTGTTGGTGATGTGTTTCCTCTACTGACAGAGTTGAACCTTTCTTTTCATAGAGCAGTTTCGAAACACTCTTTTTGTAGAATCTGCAAGAGGATATTTGCATAGCTCTGAGGATTTCGTGGGAAACGGGATTGTCTTCAGGTAAAATCTAGACAGAAGCATTCTCAGAAACTTCTTTGTTATGTTTGCATTCAAGTCACAGCAGTAGAACATTCCCTTTGGTAGAGCAGGTTTGAAACCCTCTTTTTGTAGTATCTGGAAGTGGACATTTGGAGCGCATTCAGGCCCATGTTGGAAAGGGAAATATCTTCCCGTAACAACTATGCAGAAGCATTCTCAGAAACTTATTTGAGATGTGTGTACTCAACTAAGAGAATTGAACCACCGTTTTGAAGGAGCAGTTTTGAAACACTCTTTTTCTGGAATCTGCAAGAGTATATTTGCCTAGCCTTGAGGATTTCGTTGGAAACGGGATTGTCTTCAGAGAAAATCTAGACAGAAGCATTCTCAGAAACTTCTTTGGGATGTTTGCATTCAAGTCACAGAGTAGAACATTCCCTTTGGTAGAGCAGGTTTGAAACACTCTTTTTTTAGTATATGGAAGTGGACATTTGGAGCGCTTTCAGGCCTACGTTGGAAAAGGAAATATCTTCCCATAACAACTAGACAGAAGCATTCTCAGAAACTAGTTTCTGATGTGTGTCCTCAACTAACACAGTTGAACATTTCTTTAGACAGAACAGTTTTGAAACACTCTTTTTGTGGAATCTGCAAGTGGCTATTTGGCTAGATTTGAGGATTTCGTTGGAAACGGGATTACATATAAAAAGCAGACAGCAGCATTCTCAGAAAGTTCTTTGGGATGATTGCATTCAAGTCACAGAATTGAACATTCCCTTTCACAGAGCAGGTTTGAAACACTCTTTTTGTAGTGTGTGTAAGTGGACATTTGGAGCACTTTCCGGCCTAAGGTGAAAAAGGAAATATCTTCCCATAAAAACTAGACAGAAGCATTCTCAGAAACTTACTCGTGATGTGTGTCCTCAACTAAAGGAGTAGAACCTTTCTTTTCATAGAGAAGTTTTGAAACGCTCTTTTTGTGGAATCTGCAAGTGGATATTTGGCTAGTTTTGAGGATTTCGTTGGAAGCGGGAATTCATACAAATTGCAGACTGCAGCGTTCTGAGCAAACTGCTTTCTGATGTTTGCATTCAAGTCAAAAGTTGAACACTCCCTTTCATAGTGCAGTCCTGAAACACTCCTTTTGTAGTATCTGGAACTGGACTTTTGGAGCGCTTTCAGGGCTAAGGTGAAAAAGGAAATATCTTCCCATAAAAACTGGACAGAAGCATTCTCAGAAACTTGTTTATGCTGTATCTACTCAACTAACAAAGTTGAACCTTTCTTTTGATAGAGCAGTTTTGAAATGCTCTTTTTGTGGAATCTGCAAGTGGATATTTGGCTAGTTTTGAGGATTTCGTTGGAAGCGGGAATTCATACAAATTGCAGACTGCAGCGTTCTGAGAAACATCTTTGTGATGTTTGTATTCAGGACAGAGAGTTGAACATTCCCTATCATAGAGCAGGTTGGAATCACTCCTTTTGTAGTATCTGGAAGTGGACATTTGGAGCGCTTTCAGGCCTATGTTGAAAAAGGAAATATCTTCCCATAACAACTAGACACAAGCATTCTCAGAAACTTGTTTGTGATGTGTGCCCTCTAGTGACAGAGTTGAACCTTTCTTTTCAAAGAGCAGTTTTGAAACACTCTTTTTGTAGAATCTGCAAGAGGATATTTGCATAGCTTTGAGGATTTCGTGGGAAACGGGATTGTCTTCAGGTAAAATCTAGACAGAAGCATTCTCAGAAACTTCTTTAGGATGTTTGCATTCAAGTCACAGAGTAGAACATTCCCTTTGGTAGAGCAGGTTTGAAACACTCTTTTTGTAGTATCTGGAAGTGGACATTTGGAGCGCTTTCAGGCCTATGTTGGAAAGGGAAATATCTTCCGGTAACAACTAGGCAGAAGCATTCTCAGAAACTTATTTGAGATGTGTGTACTCAACTAAGAGAATTGAACCACCGTTTTGAAGGAGCAGTTTTGAAACACTCTTTTTCTGGAATCTGCAAGAGGATATTTGCCTAGCCTTGAGGATTTCGTTGGAAACGGGATTGTCTTCAGATCAAATCTAGACAGAAGCATTCTCAGAAACTTCTTTGGGATGTTTGCATTCAAGTCACAGAGTAGAACATTCCCTTTGGTAGAGCAGGTTTGAAACACTCTTTTTTTAGTATATGGAAGTGGACATTTGGAGCGCTTTCAGGCCTACGTTGGAAAAGGAAATATCTTCCCATAACAACTAGACAGAAGCATTCTCAGAAACTAGTTTCTGATGTGTGTCCTCAACTAACACAGTTGAACATTTCTTTAGACAGAACAGTTTTGAAACTCTCTTTTTGTGGAATCTGCAAGTGGCTATTTGGCTAGATTTGAGGATTTCGTTGGAAACGGGATTACATATAAAAAGCAGACAGCAGCATTCTCAGAAAGTTCTTTGTGATGATTGCATTCAAGTCACAGAATTGAACATTCCCTTTCACAGAGCAGGTTTGAAACACTCTTTTTATAGTGTGTGTAAGTGGACATTTGGAGCACTTTCCGGCCTAAGGTGAAAAAGGAAATATCTTCCCATAAAAACTAGACAGAAGCATTCTCAGAAACTTACTCGTGATGTGTGTCCTCAACTAAAGGAGTAGAACCTTTCTTTTCATAGAGAAGTTTTGAAACGCTCTTTTTGTGGAATCTGCAAGTGGATATTTGGCTAGTTTTGAGGATTTCGTTGGAAGCGGGAATTCATACAAATTGCAGACTGCAAGCATTCTCAGAAACTTGTTTATGCTGTATCTACTCAACTAACAAAGTTGAACCTTTCTTTTGATAGAGCAGTTTTGAAATGCTCTTTTTGTGGAATCTGCAAGTGGATATTTGGCTAGTTTTGAGGATTTCGTTGGAAGCGGGAATTCATACAAATTGCAGACTGAGCGTTCTGAGAAACATCTTTGTGATGTTTGTATTCAGGACAGAGAGTTGAACATTCCCTATCATAGAGCAGGTTGGAATCACTCCTTTTGTAGTATCTGGAAGTGGACATTTGGAGCGCTTTCAGGCCTATGTTGAAAAAGGAAATATCTTCCCATAACAACTAGACACAAGCATTCTCAGAAACTTGTTTGTGATGTGTGCCCTCTACTGACAGAGTTGAACCTTTCTTTTCATAGAGCAGTTTTGAAACACTCTTTTTGTAGAATCTGCAAGAGGATATTTGCATAGCTTTGAGGATTTCGTGGGAAACGGGATTGTCTTCAGGTAAAATCTAGACAGAAGCATTCTCAGAAACTTCTTTGGGATGTTTGCATTCAAGTCACAGAGTAGAACATTCCCTTTGGTAGAGCAGGTTTGAAACACTCTTTTTGTAGTATCTGGAAGTGGACATTTGGAGCGCTTTCAGGCCTATGTTGGAAAGGGAAATATCTTCCCGTAACAACTAGGCAGAAGCATTCTCAGAAACTTATTTGAGATGTGTGTACTCAACTAAGAGAATTGAACCACAGTTTTGAAGGAGCAGTTTTGAAACACTCTTTTTCTGGATTCTGCAAGAATATATTTGCCTAGCCTTGAGGATTTCGTTGGAAACTGGATTGTCTTCAGATAAAATCTAGACAGAAGCATTCTCAGAAACTTCTTTGAGATGTTTGCATTCAAGTCACAGAGTAGAACATTCCCTTTGGTAGAGCAGGTTTGAAACACTCTTTTTTTAGTATATGGAAGTGGACATTTGGAGCGCTTTCAGGCCTACGTTGGAAAAGGAAATATCTTCCCATAACAACTAGACAGAAGCATTCTCAGAAACTAGTTTCTGATGTGTGTCCTCAACTAACACAGTTGAACATTTCTTTAGACAGAACAGTTTTGAAACTCTCTTTTTGTGGAATCTGCAAGTGGCTATTTGGCTAGATTTGAGGATTTCGTTGGAAACGGGATTACATATAAAAAGCAGACAGCAGCATTCTCAGTAAAGTTCTTTGTGATGATTGCATTCAAGTCACAGAATTGAACATTCCCTTTCACAGAGCAGGTTTGAAACACTCTTTTTGTAGTGTGTGTAAGTGGACATTTGGAGCACTTTCCGGCCTAAGGTGAGAAAGGAAATATCTTCCCATAAAAACTAGACAGAAGCGTTCTGAGAAACTGCTTTCTGATATTTGCATTCAAGTCAAAAGTTGAACACTCCCTTTCATAGAACAGTCTTGAAACACCCCTTTTGTAGTATCTGGAACTGGACATTTGGAGCGCTTTCAGGGCTAAGGTGAAAAAGGAAATATCTTCCCATAAAAACTGGACAGAAGCATTCTCAGAAACTTGTTTATGCTGTATCTACTCAACTAACAATGTTGAACCTTTCTTTTGATAGAGCAGTTTTGAAATGCTCTTTTTGTGGAATCTGCAAGTGGATATTTGGCTAGGTTTGAGGATTTCGTTGGAAGCGGGAATTCATACAAATTGCAGACTGCAGCATTCTCAGAAACTTATTTGAGATGTGTGTACTCAACTAAGAGAATTGAACCACCGTTTTGAAGGAGCAGTTTTGAAACTCTCTTTTTCTGGAATCTGCAAGTGGATATTTGGCTAGCTTTGGGGATTTCGCTGGAAGCGGGAATACATATAAAAAGCACACAGCAGCGTTCTGAGAAACTGCTTTCTGATGTTTGCATTCAAGTCAAAAGTTGAACACTCCCTTTCATAGAGCAGTCTTGAAACACCCCTTTTGTAGTATCTGGAACTGGACTTTTGGAGCGATTTCAGGGCTAAGGTGAAAAAGGAAATATCTTCCCATAAAAACTGGACAGAAGCATTCTCAGAAACTTGGTTATGCTGTATCTACTCAACTAACAAAGTTGAACCTTTCTTTTGATAGAGCAGTTTTGAAATGGTCTTTTTGTGGAATCTGCAAGTGGATATTTGGCTAGTTTTGAGGATTTCGTTGGAAGCGGGAATTCATACAAATTGCAGACTGCAGCGTTCTGAGAAACATCTTTGTGATGTTTGTATTCAGGACAGAGAGTTGAACATTCCCTATCATAGAGCAGGTTGGAATCACTCCTTTTGTAGTATCTGGAAGTGGACATTTGGAGCGCTTTCAGGCCTATGTTGAAAAAGGAAATATCTTCCCATAACAACTAGACACAAGCATTCTCAGAAACTTGTTTGTGATGTGTGCCCTCTACTGACAGAGTTGAACCTTTCTTTTCATAGAGCAGTTTTGAAACACTCTTTTTGTAGAATCTGCAAGAGGATATTTGCATAGCTTTGAGGATTTCGTGGGAAACGGGATTGTCTTCAGGTAAAATCTAGACAGAAGCATTCTCAGAAACTTCTTTGGGATGTTTGCATTCAAGTCACAGAGCAGAACATTCCCTTTGGTAGAGCAGGTTTGAAACACTCTTTTTGTAGTATCTGGAAGTGGACATTTGGAGCGCTTTCAGGCCTATGTTGGAAAGGGAAATATCTTCCCGTAACAACTAGGCAGAGCATTCTCAGAAACTTATTTGAGATGTGTGTACTCAACTAAGAGAATTGAACCACCGTTTTGAAGGAGCAGTTTTGAAACACTCTTTTTCTGGAATCTGCAAGAGGATATTTGCCTAGCCTTGAGGATTTCGTTGGAAACGGGATTGTCTTCAGATCAAATCTAGACAGAAGCATTCTCAGAAACTTCTTTGGGATGTTTGCATTCAAGTCACAGAGTAGAACATTCCCTTTGGTAGAGCAGGTTTGAAACACTCTTTTTTTAGTATATGGAAGTGGAAATTTGGAGCGCTTTCAGGCCTACGTTGGAAAAGGAAATATCTTCCCATAACAACTAGACAGAAGCATTCTCAGAAACTGGTTTCTGATGTGTGTCCTCAACTAACACAGTTGAACATTTCTTTAGACAGAACAGTTTTGAAACACTCTTTTTGTGGAATCTGCAAGTGGCTATTTGGCTAGATTTGAGGATTTCTTTGGAAACGGGATTACATATAAAAAGCTGACAGCAGCATTCTCAGAAAGTTCTTTGTGATGATTGCATTCAAGTCACAGAATTGAACATTCCCTTTCACAGAGCAGGTTTGAAACACTCTTTTTGTAGTGTGTGTAAGTGGACATTTGGAGCGCTTTCCGGCCTAAGGTGAAAAAGGACATATCTTCCCATAAAAACTAGACAGAAGCATTCTGAGAAACTTACTCGTGATGTGTGTCCTCAACTAAAGGAGTAGAACCTTTCTATTCATAGAGGAGTTTTGAAACGCTCTTTTTGTGGAATCTCCAAGTGGATATTTGGCTAGTGTTGAGGATTTCGTAGGAAGCGGGAATTCATACAAATTGCAGACTGCAGCGTTCTGAGAAACATCTTTGTGATGTTTGTATTCAGGACACAGACATGAACATTCCCTATCATAGAGCAGGTTGGAATCACTCCTTTTGTAGTATCTGGAAGTGGACATTTGGAGCGCTTTCAGGCCTATGTTGAAAAAGGAAATATCTTCCCATAACAACTAGACACAAGCATTCTCAGAAACTTGTTTGTGATGTGTGCCCTCTACTGACAGAGTTGAACCTTTCTTTTCATAGAGCAGTTTTGAAACACTCTTTTTGTAGAATCCGCAAGAGGATATTTGCATAGCTTTGAGGATTTCGTGGGAAACGGGATTGTCTTCAGGTAAAATCTAGACAGAAGCATTCTCAGAAACTTCTTTGGGATGTTTGCCTTCAAGTCACAGAGTAGAACATTCCCTTTGGTAGAGCAGGTTTGAAACACTCTTTTTGTAGTATCTGGAAGTGGACATTTGGAGCGCTTTCAGGCCCATGTTGGAAAGGGAAATATCTTCCCGTAACAACTAGGCAGAAGCATTCTCAGAAACTTATTTGAGATGTGTGTACTCAACTAAGAGAATTGAACCACCGTTTTGAAGGAGCAGTTTTGAAACCCTCTTTTTCTGGAATCTGCAAGAGTATATTTGCCTAGCCTTGAGGATTTCGTTGGAAACGGGATTGTCTTCAGATAAAATCTAGACAGAAGCATTCTCAGAAACTTCTTTGGGATGTTTGCATTCAAGTCACAGAGTAGAACATTCCCTTTGGTAGAGCAGGTTTGAAACACTCTTTTTTTAGTATATGGAAGTGGACATTTGGAGCGCTTTCAGGCCTACGTTGGAAAAGGAAATATCTTCCCATAACAACTAGACAGAAGCATTCTCAGAAACTAGTTTCTGATGTGTGTCCTCAACTAACACAGTTGAACATTTCTTTAGACAGAACAGTTTTGAAACACTCTTTTTGTGGAATCTGCAAGTGGCTATTTGGCTAGATTTGAGGATTTCGTTGGAAACGGGATTACATATAAAAAGCAGACAGCAGCATTCTCAGAAACTTCTTTGTGATGATTGCATTCAAGTCACAGAATTGAACATTCCCTTTCACAGAGCAGGTTTGAAACACTCTTTTTGTAGTGTGTGTAAGTGGACATTTGGAGCGCTTTCCGGCCTAAGGTGAACAAGGAAATATCTTCCCATAAAAACTAGACAGAAGCATTCTCAGAAACTTACTCGTGATGTGTGTCCTCAACTAAAGGAGTAGAACCTTTCTTTTCATAGACAAGTTTTGAAACGCTCTTTTTGTGGAATCTGCAAGTGGATATTTGGCTAGTTTTGAGGATTTCGTTGGAAGCGGGAATTCATACAAATTGCAGACTGCAGCGTTCTGAGAAACATCTTTGTGATGTTTGTATTCAGGACACAGAGTTGAACATTCCCTATCATAGAGCAGGTTTGAATCACTCCTTTTGTAGTATCTGGAAGTGGACATTTGGAGCGCTTTCCGGCCTCAGGTGAAAAAGGAAATATCTTCCCATAAAAACTAGACAGAAGCATTCTCAGAAACTTATTTGAGATGTGTGTACTCAACTAAGAGAATTGAACCACCGTTTTGAAGGAGCAGTTTTGAAACACTCTTTTTCTGGAATCTGCAAGTGGATATTTGGCTAGCTTTGGGGATTTCGCTGGAAGCGGGAATACATATAAAAAGCACACAGCAGCGTTCTGAGAAACTGCTTTCTGATGTTTGCATTCAAGTCAAAAGTTGAACACTCCCTTTCATAGAGCAGTCTTGAAACACCCCTTTTGTAGTATCTGGAACTGGACTTTTGGAGCGATTTCAGGGCTAAGGTGAAAAAGGAAATATCTTCCCATAAAAACTGGACAGAAGCATTCTCAGAAACTTGTTTATGCTGTATCTACTCAACTAACAAAGTTGAACCTTTCTTTTGATAGAGCAGTTTTGAAATGGTCTTTTTGTGGAATCTGCAAGTGGATATTTGGCTAGTTTTGAGGATTTCGTTGGAAGCGGGAATTCATACAAATTGCAGACTGCAGCGTTCTGAGAAACATCTTTGTGATGTTTGTATTCAGGACACAGAGTTGAACATTCCCTATCATAGAGCAGGTTTGAATCACTCCTTTTGTAGTATCTGGAAGTGGACATTTGGAGCGCTTTCAGGCCTATGTTGGAAAAGGAAATATCTTCCCATAACAACTAGACAGAAGCATTCCCAGAAACTTATTTGAGATGTGTGTACTCAACTAAGAGAATTGAACCACCGTTTTGAAGGAGCAGTTTGGAAACACTCTTTTTCTGGAATCTGCAAGTGGATATTTGGCTAGCTTTGGGGATTTCGCTGGAAGCGGGAATATATATAAAAAGCACACAGCAGCATTCTCAGAAACTTATTTGAGATGTGTGTACTCAACTAAGAGAATTGAACCACCGTTTTGAAGGAGCAGTTTTGAAACTCTCTTTTTCTGGAATCTGCAAGTGGATATTTGGCTAGCTTTGGGGATTTCGCTGGAAGCGGGAATACATATAAAAAGCACACAGCAGCGTTCTGAGAAACTGCTTTCTGATGTTTGCATTCAAGTCAAAAGTTGAACACTCCCTTTCATAGAGCAGTCTTGAAACACCCCTTTTGTAGTATCTGGAACTGGACTTTTGGAGCGATTTCAGGGCTAAGGTGAAAAAGGAAATATCTTCCCATAAAAACTGGACAGAAGCATTCTCAGAAACTTGTTTATGCTGTATCTACTCAACT
This sequence comes from Homo sapiens, assembly GCF_000001405.40. NCBI lineage: Eukaryota > Metazoa > Chordata > Mammalia > Primates > Hominidae > Homo > Homo sapiens. Next base: position 20,040,557 of record NC_000018.10, read on the forward strand.
AACAAAGTTGAACCTTTCTTTTGATAGAGCAGTTTTGAAATGGTCTTTTTGTGGAATCTGCAAGTGGATATTTGGCTAGTTTTGAGGATTTCGTTGGAAGCGGGAATTCATACAAATTGCAGACTGCAGCGTTCTGAGAAACATCTTTGTGATGTTTGTATTCAGGACAGAGAGTTGAACATTCCCTATCATAGAGCAGGTTGGAATCACTCCTTTTGTAGTATCTGGAAGTGGACATTTGGAGCGCTTTCTGGCCTATGTTGAAAAAGGAAATATCTTCCCATAACAACTAGACACAAGCATTCTCAGAAACTTGTTTGTGATGTGTGCCCTCTACTGACAGAGTTGAACCTTTCTTTTCATAGAGCAGTTTTGAAACACTCTTTTTGTAGAATCTGCAAGAGGATATTTGCATAGCTTTGAGGATTTCGTGGGAAACGGGATTGTCTTCAGGTAAAATCTAGACAGAAGCATTCTCAGAAACTTCTTTGGGATGTTTGCATTCAAGTCACAGAGTAGAACATTCCCTTTGGTAGAGCAGGTTTGAAACACTCTTTTTGTAGTATCTGGAAGTGGACATTTGGAGCGCTTTCAGGCCCATGTTGGAAAGGGAAATATCTTCCCGTAACAACTAGGCAGAAGCATTCTCAGAAACTTATTTGAGATGTGTGTACTCAACTAAGAGAATTGAACCACCGTTTTGAAGGAGCAGTTTTGAAACACTCTTTTTCTGGAATCTGCAAGAGTATATTTGCCTAGCCTTGAGGATTTCGTTGGAAACGGGATTGTCTTCAGAGAAAATCTAGACAGAAGCATTCTCAGAAACTTCTTTGGGATGTTTGCATTCAAGTCACAGAGTAGAACATTCCCTTTGGTAGAGCAGGTTTGAAACACACTTTTTTTAGTATATGGAAGTGGACATTTGGAGCGCTTTCAGGCCTACGTTGGAAAAGGAAATATCTTCCCATAACAACTAGACAGAAGCATTCTCAGAAACTAGTTTCTGATGTGTGTCCTCAACTAACACAGTTGAACTTTTCTTTACACAGAACAGTTTTGAAACACTCTTTTTGTGGAATCTGCAAGTGGATATTTGCCTAGATTTGAGGATTTCGTTGGAAACGGGATTACATATAAAAAGCAGACAGCAGCATTCTCAGAAAGTTCTTTGTGATGATTGCATTCAAGTCACAGAATTGAACATTCCCTTTCACAGAGCAGGTTTGAAACACTCTTTTTGTAGTGTGTGTAAGTGGACATTTGGAGCACTTTCCGGCCTAAGGTGAAAAAGGAAATATCTTCCCATAAAAACTAGACAGAAGCATTCTCAGAAACTTACTCGTGATGTGTGTCCTCAACTAAAGGAGTAGAACCTTTCTTTTCATAGAGAAGTTTTGAAACGCTCTTTTTGTGGAATCTGCAAGTGGATATTTGGCTAGTTTGGAGGATTTCGTTGGAAGCGGGAATTCATACAAATTGCAGACTGCAGCGTTCTGAGAAACATCTTTGTGATGTTTGTATTCAGGACACAGAGTTGAACATTCCCTATCATAGAGCAGGTTTGAATCACTCCTTTTGTAGTATCTGGAAGTGGACATTTGGAGCGCTTTCAGGCCTATGTTGGAAAAGGAAATATCTTCCCATAACAACTAGACAGAAGCATTCTCAGAAACTTATTTGAGATGTGTGTACTCAACTAAGAGAATTGAACCACCGTTTTGAAGGAGCAGTTTTGAAACACTCTTTTTCTGGAATCTGCAAGTGGATATTTGGCTAGCTTTGGGGATTTCGCTGGAAGCGGGAATACATATAAAAAGCACACAGCAGCGTTCTGAGAAACTGCTTTCTGATGTTTGCATTCAAGTCAAAAGTTGAACACTCCCTTTCATAGAGCAGTCCTGAAACACTCCTTTTGTAGTATCTGGAACTGGACTTTTGGAGCGCTTTCAGGGCTAAGGTGAAAAAGGAAATATCTTCCCATAAAAACTGGACAGAAGCATTCTCAGAAACTTGTTTATGCTGTATCTACTCTACTAACAAAGTTGAACCTTTCTTTTGATAGAGCAGTTTTGAAATGCTCTTTTTGTGGAATCTGCAAGTGGATATTTGGCTAGTTTTGAGGATTTCGTTGGAAGCTGGAATTCATGCAAATTGCAGACTGCAGCGTTCTGAGAAACATCTTTGTGATGTTTGTATTCAGGACACAGAGTAGAACATTCCCTATCATAGAGCAGGTTGGAATCACTCCTTTTGTAGTATCTGGAAGTGGACATTTGGAGCGCTTTCAGGCCTATGTTGAAAAAGGAAATACCTTCCCATAACAACTAGACAGAAGCATTCTCAGAAACTTGTTTGTGATGTGTGCCCTCTACTGACAGAGTTGAACCTTTCTTTTCATAGAGCAGTTTTGAAACACTCTTTTTGTAGAATCTGCAAGAGGATATTTGCATAGCTTTGAGGATTTCGTGGGAAACGGGATTGTCTTCAGGTAAAATCTAGACAGAAGCATTCTCAGAAACTTCTTTGGGATGTTTGCATTCAAGTCACAGAGTAGAACATTCCCTTTGGTAGAGCAGGTTTGAAACACTCTTTTTGTAGTATCTGCAAGTGGACATTTGGAGCGCTTTCAGGCCTATGTTGGAAAGGGAAATATCTTCCCGTAACAACTAGGCAGAAGCATTCTCAGAAACTTATTTGAGATGTGTGTACTCAACTAAGAGAATTGAACCACCGTTTTGAAGGAGCAGTTTTGAAACACTCTTTTTCTGGAATCTGCAAGAGTATATTTGCCTAGCCTTGAGGATTTCGTTGGAAACGGGATTGTCTTCAGAGAAAATCTAGACAGAAGCATTCTCAGAAACTTCTTTGGGATGTTTGCATTCAAGTCACAGAGTAGAACATTCCCTTTGGTAGAGCAGGTTTGAAACACTCTTTTTTTAGTATATGGAAGTGGACATTTGGAGCGCTTTCAGGCCTACGTTGGAAAAGGAAATATCTTCCCATAACAACTAGACAGAAGCATTCTCAGAAACTACTTTCTGATATGTGTCCTCAACTAACACAGTTGAACTTTTCCTTAGACAGAACAGTTTTGAAACACTCTTTTTGTGGAATCTGCAAGTGGATATTGGGCTAGATTTGAGGATTTCGTTGGAAACGGGATTACATATAAAAAGCAGACAGCAGCATTCTCAGAAAGTTCTTTGTGATGATTGCATTCAAGTCACAGAATTGAACATTCCCTTTCACAGAGCAGGTTTGAAACACTCTTTTTGTAGTGTGTGTAAGTGGACATTTGGAGCACTTTCCGGCCTAAGGTGAAAAAGGAAATATCTTCCCATAAAAACTAGACAGAAGCATCCTCAGAAACTTACTCGTGATGTGTGTCCTCAACTAAAGGAGTAGAACCTTTCTATTCATAGAGAAGTTTTGAAACGCTCTTTTTGTGGAATCTCCAAGTGGATATTTGGCTAGTTTTGAGGATTTCGTTGGAAGCGGGAATTCATACAAATTGCAGACTGCAGCGTTCTGAGAAACATCTTTGTGATGTTTGTATTCAGGACACAGAGTTGAACATTCCCTATCATAGAGCAGGTTTGAATCACTCCTTTTGTAGTATCTGGAAGTGGACATTTGGAGCGCTTTCAGGCCTATGTTGGAAAAGGAAATATCTTCCCATAACAACTAGACAGAAGCATTCCCAGAAACTTATTTGAGATGTGTGTACTCAACTAAGAGAATTGAACCACCGTTTTGAAGGAGCAGTTTGGAAACACTCTTTTTCTGGAATCTGCAAGTGGATATTTGGCTAGCTTTGGGGATTTCGCTGGAAGCGGGAATACATATAAAAAGCACACAGCAGCGTTCTGAGAAACTGCTTTCTGATGTTTGCATTCAAGTCAAAAGTTGAACACTCCCTTTCATAGAGCAGTCTTGAAACACCCCTTTTGTAGTATCTGGAACTGGACTTTTGGAGCGATTTCAGGGCTAAGGTGAAAAAGGAAATATCTTCCCATAAAAACTGGACAGAAGCATTCTCAGAAACTTGTTTATGCTGTATCTACTCAACTAACAAAGTTGAACCTTTCTTTTGATAGAGCAGTTTTGAAATGGTCTTTTTGTGGAATCTGCAAGTGGATATTTGGCTAGTTTTGAGGATTTCGTTGGAAGCGGGAATTCATACAAATTGCAGACTGCAGCGTTCTGAGAAACATCTTTGTGATGTTTGTATTCAGGACACAGACATGAACATTCCCTATCATAGAGCAGGTTGGAATCACTCCTTTTGTAGTATCTGGAAGTGGACATTTGGAGCGCTTTCAGGCCTATGTTGAAAAAGGAAATATCTTCCCATAACAACTAGACACAAGCATTCTCAGAAACTTGTTTGTGATGTGTGCCCTCTACTGACAGAGTTGAACCTTTCTTTTCATAGAGCAGTTTTGAAACACTCTTTTTGTAGAATCTGCAAGAGGATATTTGCATAGCTTTGAGGATTTCGTGGGAAACGGGATTGTCTTCAGGTAAAATCTAGACAGAAGCATTCTCAGAAACTTCTTTGGGATGTTTGCATTCAAGTCACAGAGTAGAACATTCCCTTTGGTAGAGCAGGTTTGAAACACTCTTTTTGTAGTATCTGGAAGTGGACATTTGGAGCGCTTTCAGGCCCATGTTGGAAAGGGAAATATCTTCCCGTAACAACTAGGCAGAAGCATTCTCAGAAACTTATTTGAGATGTGTGTACTCAACTAAGAGAATTGAATCACCGTTTTGAAGGAGCAGTTTTGAAACACTCTTTTTCTGGAATCTGCAAGAGGATATTTGCCTAGCCTTGAGGATTTCGTTGGAAACGGGATTGTCTTCAGATCAAATCTAGACAGAAAGCATTCTCAGAAACTTCTTTGGGATGTTTGCATTCAAGTCACAGAGTAGAACATTCCCTTTGGTAGAGCAGGTTTGAAACACTCTTTTTTTAGTATATGGAAGTGGACATTTGGAGCGCTTTCAGGCCTACGTTGGAAAAGGAAATATCTTCCCATAACAACTAGACAGAGCATTCTCAGAAACTAGTTTCTGATGTGTGTCCTCAACTAACACAGATGAACATTTCTTTAGACAGAACAGTTTTGAAACACTCTTTTTGTGGAATCTGCAAGTGGCTATTTGGCTAGATTTGAGGATTTCGTTGGAAACGGGATTACATATAAAAAGCAGTCAGCAGCATTCTCAGAAAGTTCTTTGTGATGATTGCATTCAAGTCACAGAATTGAACATTCCCTTTCACAGAGCAGGTTTGAAACACTCTTTTTGTAGTGTGTGTAAGTGGACATTTGGAGCACTTACCGGCCTAAGGTGAAAAAGGAAATATCTTCCCATAAAAACTAGACAGAAGCATTCTCAGAAACTTACTCGTGATGTGTGTCCTCAACTAAAGGAGTAGAACATTTCTATTCATAGAGAAGTTTTGAAACGCTCTTTTTGTGGAATCTCCAAGTGGATATTTGGCTAGTTTTGAGGATTTCGTTGGAAGCGGGAATTCATACAAATTGCAGACTGCAGCGTTCTGAGAAACATCTTTGTGATGTTTGTATTCAGGACACAGAGTTGAACATTCCCTATCATAGAGCAGGTTGGAATCACTCCTTTTGTAGTATCTGGAAGTGGACATTTGGAGCGCTTTCAGGCCTATGTTGGAAAAGGAAATATCTTCCCATAACAACTAGACAGAAGCATTCTCAGAAACTTATTTGAGATGTGTGTACTCAACTAAGAGAATTGAACCACCGTTTTGAAGGAGCAGTTTTGAAACACTCTTTTTCTGGAATCTGCAAGTGGATATTTGGCTAGCTTTGGGGATTTCGCTGGAAGCGGGAATACATATAAAAAGCACACAGCAGCGTTCTGAGAAACTGCTTTCTGATGTTTGCATTCAAGTCAAAAGTTGAACACTCCCTTTCATAGAGCAGTCCTGAAACACCCCTTTTGTAGTATCTGGAACTGGACTTTTGGAGCGATTTCAGGGCTAAGGTGAAAAAGGAAATATCTTCCCATAAAAACTGGACAGAAGCATTCTCAGAAACTTGTTTATGCTGTATCTACTCAACTAACAAAGTTGAACCTTTCTTTTGATAGAGCAGTTTTGAAATGGTCTTTTTGTGGAATCTGCAAGTGGATATTTGGCTAGTTTTGAGGATTTCGTTGGAAGCGGGAATTCATACAAATTGCAGACTGCAGCGTTCTGAGAAACATCTTTGTGATGTTTGTATTCAGGACAGAGAGTTGAACATTCCCTATCATAGAGCAGGTTGGAATCACTCCTTTTGTAGTATCTGGAAGTGGACATTTGGAGCGCTTTCAGGCCTATGTTGAAAAAGGAAATATCTTCCCATAACAACTAGACACAAGCATTCTCAGAAACTTGTTTGTGATGTGTGCCCTCTACTGACAGAGTTGAACCTTTCTTTTCATAGAGCAGTTTTGAAACATTCTTTTTGTAGAATCTGCAAGAGGATATTTGCATAGCTTTGAGGATTTCGTGGGAAACGGGATTGTCTTCAGGTAAAATCTAGACAGAAGCATTCTCAGAAACTTCTTTGGGATGTTTGCATTCAAGTCACAGAGTAGAACATTCCCTTTGGTAGAGCAGGTTTGAAACCCTCTTTTTGTAGTATCTGGAAGTGGACATTTGGAGCGCTTTCAGGCCCATGTTGGAAAGGGAAATATCTTCCCGTAACAACTAGGCAGAAGCATTCTCAGAAACTTATTTGAGATGTGTGTACTCAACTAAGAGAATTGAACCACCGTTTTGAAGGAGCAGTTTTGAAACCCTCTTTTTCTGGAATCTGCAAGAGTATATTTGCCTAGCCTTGAGGATTTCGTTGGAAACGGGATTGTCTTCAGATAAAATCTAGACAGAAGCATTCTCAGAAACTTCTTTGGGATGTTTGCATTCAAGTCACAGAGTAGAACATTCCCTTTGGTAGAGCAGGTTTGAAACACTCTTTTTTTAGTATATGGAAGTGGACATTTGGAGCGCTTTCAGGCCTACGTTGGAAAAGGAAATATCTTCCCATAACAACTAGACAGAAGCATTCTCAGAAACTAGTTTCTGATGTGTGTCCTCAACTAACACAGTTGTACATTTCTTTAGACAGAACAGTTTTGAAACACTCTTTTTGTGGAATCTGCAAGTTGATATTGGGCTAGATTTGAGGATTTCGTTGGAAACGGGATTACATATAAAAAGCAGTCAGCAGCATTCTCAGAAAGTTCTTTGTGATGATTGCATTCAAGTCACAGAATTGAACATTCCCTTTCACAGAGCAGGTTTGAAACACTCTTTTTGTAGTGTGTGTAAGTGGACATTTGGAGCACTTACCGGCCTAAGGTGAAAAAGGAAATATCTTCCCATAAAAACTAGACAGAAGCATTCTCAGAAACTTACTCGTGATGTGTGTCCTCAACTAAAGGAGTAGAACCTTTCTTTTCATAGAGAAGTTTTGAAACGCTCTTTTTGTGGAATCTGCAAGTGGATATTTGGCTAGTTTTGAGGATTTCGTTGGAAGCGGGAATTCATACAAATTGCAGACTGCAGCATTCTCAGAAACTTGTTTATGCTGTATCTACTCAACTAACAAAGTTGAACCTTTCTTTTGATAGAGCAGTTTTGAAATGCTCTTTTTGTGGAATCTGCAAGTGGATATTTGGCTAGTTTTGAGGATTTCGTTGGAAGCGGGAATTCATACAAATTGCAGACTGCAGCGTTCTGAGAAACATCTTTGTGATGTTTGTATTCAGGACAGAGAGTTGAACATTCCCTATCATAGAGCAGGTTGGAATCACTCCTTTTGTAGTATCTGGAAGTGGACATTTGGAGCGCTTTCAGGCCTATGTTGAAAAAGGAAATATCTTCCCATAACAACTAGACACAAGCATTCTCAGAAACTTGTTTGTGATGTGTGCCCTCTACTGACAGAGTTGAACCTTTCTTTTCATAGAGCAGTTTTGAAACACTCTTTTTGTAGAATCTGCAAGAGGATATTTGCATAGCTTTGAGGATTTCGTGGGAAACGGGATTGTCTTCAGGTAAAATCTAGACAGAAGCATTCTCAGAAACTTCTTTGGGATGTTTGCATTCAAGTCACAGAGTAGAACATTCCCTTTGGTAGAGCAGGTTTGAAACACTCTTTTTGTAGTATCTGGAAGTGGACATTTGGAGCGCTTTCAGGCCCATGTTGGAAAGGGAAATATCTTCCCGTAACAACTAGGCAGAAGCATTCTCAGAAACTTATTTGAGATGTGTGTACTCAACTAAGAGAATTGAACCACCGTTTTGAAGGAGCAGTTTTGAAACACTCTTTTTCTGGAATCTGCAAGAGGATATTTGCCTAGCTTTGAGGATTTCGTTGGAAACGGGATTGTGTTCAGATCAAATCTAGACAGAAGCATTCTCAGAAACTTCTTTGGGATGCTTGCATTCAAGTCACAGAGTAGAACATTCCCTTTGGTAGAGCAGGTTTGAAACACTCTTTTTGTAGTATCTGGAAGTGGACATTTGGAGCGCTTTCAGGCCTACGTTGGAAAAGGAAATATCTTCCCATAACAACTAGACAGAAGCATTCTCAGAAACTAGTTTCTGATGTGTGTCCTCAACTAACACAGTTGAACATTTCTTTAGACAGAACAGTTTTGAAACTCTCTTTTTGTGGAATCTGCAAGTGGCTATTTGGCTAGATTTGAGGATTTCGTTGGAAACGGGATTACATATAAAAAGCAGACAGCAGCATTCTCAGAACGTTCTTTGTGATGATTGCATTCAAGTCACAGAATTGAACATTCCCTTTCACAGAGCAGGTTTGAAACACTCTTTTTGTAGTGTGTGTAAGTGGACATTTGGAGCACTTTCCGGCCTAAGGTGAAAAAGGAAATATCTTCCCATAAAAACTAGACAGAAGCATTCTCAGAAACTTACTCGTGATGTGTGTCCTCAACTAAAGGAGTAGAACCTTTCTTTTCATAGAGAAGTTTTGAAACGCTCTTTTTGTGGAATCTGCAAGTGGATATTTGGCTAGTTTGGAGGATTTCGTTGGAAGCGGGAATTCATACAAATTGCAGACTGCAGCGTTCTGAGAAACTGCTTTCTGATGTTTGCATTCAAGTCAAAAGTTGAACACTCCCTTTCATAGAGCAGTCCTGAAACACCCCTTTTGTAGTATCTGGAACTGGACTTTTGGAGCGATTTCAGGGCTAAGGTGAAAAAGGAAATATCTTCCCATAAAAACTGGACAGAAGCATTCTCAGAAACTTGTTTATGCTGTATCTACTCTACTAAAAAAGTTGAACCTTTCTTTTGATAGAGCAGTTTTGAAATGCTCTTTTTGTGGAATCTGCAAGTGGATATTTGGCTAGATTTGAGGATTTCGTTGGAAGCTGGAATACATACAAATTGCAGACTGCAGCGTTCTGAGAAACATCTTTGTGATGTTTGTATTCAGGACACAGAGTTGAACATTCCCTATCATAGAGCAGGTTGGAATCACTCCTTTTGTAGTATCTGGAAGTGGACATTTGGAGCGCTTTCAGGCCTATGTTGAAAAAGGAAATATCTTCCCATAACAACTAGACACAAGCATTCTCAGAAACTTGTTTGTGATGTGTGCCCTCTACTGACAGAGTTGAACCTTTCTTTTCATAGAGCAGTTTTGAAACACTCTTTTTGTAGAATCTGCAAGAGGATATTTGCATAGCTTTGAGGATTTCGTGGGAAACGGGATTGTCTTCAGGTAAAATCTAGACAGAAGCATTCTCAGAAACTTCTTTGGGATGTTTGCATTCAAGTCACAGAGTAGAACATTCCCTTTGGTAGAGCAGGTTTGAAACACTCTTTTTGTAGTATCTGGAAGTGGACATTTGGAGCGCTTTCAGGCCTATGTTGGAAAGGGAAATATCTTCCCGTAACAACTAGGCAGAAGCATTCTCAGAAACTTATTTGAGATGTGTGTACTCAACTAAGAGAATTGAACCACCGTTTTGAAGGAGCAGTTTTGAAACACTCTTTTTCTGGAATCTGCAAGAGTATATTTGCCTAGCCTTGAGGATTTCGTTGGAAACGGGATTGTCTTCAGAGAAAATCTAGACAGAAGCATTCTCAGAAACTTCTTTGGGATGTTTGCATTCAAGTCACAGAGTAGAACATTCCCTTTGGTAGAGCAGGTTTGAAACACTCTTTTTTTAGTATATGGAAGTGGACATTTGGATCGCTTTCAGGCCTACGTTGGAAAAGGAAATATCTTCCCATAACAACTAGACAGAAGCATTCTCAGAAACTAGTTTCTGATGTGTGTCCTCAACTAACACAGTTGAACATTTCTTTAGACAGAACAGTTTTGAAACACTCTTTTTGTGGAATCTGCAAGTGGCTATTTGGCTAGATTTGAGGATTTCGTTGGAAACGGGATTACATATAAAAAGCAGTCAGCAGCATTCTCAGAAAGTTCTTTGTGATGATTGCATTCAAGTCACAGAATTGAACATTCCCTTTCACAGAGCAGGTTTGAAACACTCTTTTTGTAGTGTGTGTAAGTGGACATTTGGAGCACTTACCGGCCTAAGGTGAAAAAGGAAATATCTTCCCATAAAAACTAGACAGAAGCATTCTCAGAAACTTACTCGTGATGTGTGTCCTCAACTAAAGGAGTAGAAACTTTCTTTTCATAGAGAAGTTTTGAAACGCTCTTTTTGTGGAATCTGCAAGTGGATATTTGGCTAGTTTGGAGGATTTCGTTGGAAGCGGGAATTCATACAAATTGCAGACTGCAGCGTTCTGAGAAACATCTTTGTGATGTTTGTATTCAGGACACAGAGTTGAACATTCCCTATCATAGAGCAGGTTTGAATCACTCCTTTTGTAGTATCTGGAAGTGGACATTTGGAGCGCTTTCAGGCCTATGTTGGAAAAGGAAATATCTTCCCATAACAACTAGACAGAAGCATTCCCAGAAACTTATTTGAGATGTGTGTACTTAACTAAGAGAATTGAACCACCGTTTTGAAGGAGCAGTTTGGAAACACTCTTTTTCTGGAATCTGCAAGTGGATATTTGGCTAGCTTTGGGGATTTCGCTGGAAGCGGGAATACATATAAAAAGCACACAGCAGCGTTCTGAGAAACTGCTTTCTGATGTTTGCATTCAAGTCAAAAGTTGAACACTCCCTTTCATAGAGCAGTCCTGAAACACTCCTTTTGTAGTATCTGGAACTGGACTTTTGGAGCGCTTTCAGGGCTAAGGTGAAAAAGGAAATATCTTCCCATAAAAACTGGACAGAAGCATTCTCAGAAACTTGTTTATGCTGTATCTACTCAACTAACAAAGTTGAACCTTTCTTTTGATAGAGCAGTTTTGAAATGGTCTTTTTGTGGAATCTGCAAGTGGATATTTGGCTAGTTTTGAGGATTTCGTTGGAAGCGGGAATTCATACAAATTGCAGACTGCAGCGTTCTGAGAAACATCTTTGTGATGTTTGTATTCAGGACACAGAGTTGAACATTCCCTATCATAGAGCAGGTTGGAATCACTCCTTTTGTAGTATCTGGAAGTGGACATTTGGAGCGCTTTCAGGCCTATTTTGGAAAGGGAAATATCTTCCCGTAACAACTATGCAGAAGCATTCTCAGAAACTTGTTTGTGATGTGTGCCCTCTACTGACAGAGTTGAACCTTTCTTTTCATAGAGCAGTTTTGAAACACTCTTTTTGTAGAATCTGCAAGAGGATATTTGCATAGCTTTGAGGATTTCGTGGGAAACGGGATTGTCTTCAGGTAAAATCTAGACAGAAGCATTCTCAGAAACTTATTTGAGATGTGTGTACTGAACTAAGAGAATTGAACCACCGTTTTGAAGGAGCAGGTTTGAAACACTCTTTTTGTAGTATCTGGAAGTGGACATTTGGAGCGCTTTCAGGCCTATGTTGGAAAGGGAAATATCTTCCCGTAACAACTAGGCAGAAGCATTCTCAGAAACTTATTTGAGATGTGTGTACTCAACTAAGAGAATTGAACCACCGTTTTGAAGGAGCAGTTTTGAAACCCTCTTTTTCTGGAATCTGCAAGAGTATATTTGCCTAGCCTTGAGGATTTCGTTGGAAACGGGATTGTCTTCAGATAAAATCTAGACAGAAGCATTCTCAGAAACTTCTTTGGGATGTTTGCATTCAAGTCACAGAGTAGAACATTCCCTTTGGTAGAGCAGGTTTGAAACACTCTTTTTTTAGTATATGGAAGTGGACATTTGGAGCACTTTCAGGCCTACGTTGGAAAAGGAAATATCTTCCCATAACAACTAGACAGAGAGCATTCTCAGAAACTAGTTTCTGATGTGTGTCCTCAACTAACACAGTTGTACATTTCTTTAGACAGAACAGTTTTGAAACACTCTTTTTGTGGAATCTGCAAGTGGATATTGGGCTAGATTTGAGGATTTCGTTGGAAACGGGATTACATATAAAAAGCAGACAGCAGCATTCTCAGAAAGTTCTTTGTGATGACTGCATTCAAGTCACAGAATTGAACATTCCCTTTCACAGAGCAGGTTTGAAACCCTCTTTTTGTAGTGTGTGTAAGTGGACATTTGGAGCGCTTTCCGGCCTAAGGTGAAAAAGGAAATATCTTCCCATAAAAACTAGACAGAAGCATTCTCAGAAACTTACTCGTGATGTGTGTCCTCAACTAAAGGAGTAGAACCTTTCTTTTCATAGAGAAGTTTTGAAACGCTCTTTTTGTGGAATCTGCAAGTGGATATTTGGCTAGTTTTGAGGATTTCGTTGGAAGCGGGAATTCATACAAATTGCAGACTGCAGCATTCTCAGAAACTTATTTGAGATGTGTGTACTCAACTAAGAGAATTGAACCACCGTTTTGAAGGAGCAGTTTTGAAACACTCTTTTTCTGGAATCTGCAAGTGGATATTTGGCTAGCTTTGGGGATTTCGCTGGAAGCGGGAATACATATAAAAAGCACACAGCAGCATTCTCAGAAACTTATTTGAGATGTGTGTACTCAACTAAGAGAATTGAACCACCGTTTTGAAGGAGCAGTTTTGAAACACTCTTTTTCTGGAATCTGCAAGTGGATATTTGGCTAGCTTTGGGGATTTCGCTGGAAGCGGGAATACATATAAAAAGCACACAGCAGCGTTCTGAGTAAACTGCTTTCTGATGTTTGCATTCAAGTCAAAAGTTGAACACTCCCTTTCATAGAGCAGTCCTGAAACACTCCTTTTGTAGTATCTGGAACTGGACTTTTGGAGCGCTTTCAGGGCTAAGGTAAAAAAGGAAATATCTTCCCATAAAAACTGGACAGAAGCATTCTCAGAAACTTGTTTATGCTGTATCTACTCAACTAACAAAGTTGAACCTTTCTTTTGATAGAGCAGTTTTGAAATGGTCTTTTTGTGGAATCTGCAAGTGGATATTTGGCTAGTTTTGAGGATTTCGTTGGAAGCGGGAATTCATACAAATTGCAGACTGCAGCGTTCTGAGAAACATCTTTGTGATGTTTGTATTCAGGACAGAGAGTTGAACATTCCCTATCATAGAGCAGGTTGGAATCACTCCTTTTGTAGTATCTGGAAGTGGACATTTGGAGCGCTTTCAGGCCTATTTTGGAAAGGGAAATATCTTCCCGTAACAACTATGCAGAAGCATTCTCAGAAACTTGTTTGTGATGTGTGCCCTCTACTGACAGAGTTGAACCTTTCTTTTCATAGAGCAGTTTTGAAACACTCTTTTTGTAGAATCTGCAAGAGGATATTTGCATAGCTTTGAGGATTTCGTGGGAAACGGGATTGTCTTCAGGTAAAATCTAGACAGAAGCATTCTCAGAAACTTCTTTGGGATGTTTGCATTCAAGTCACAGAGTAGAACATTCCCTTTGGTAGAGCAGGTTTGAAACACTCTTTTTGTAGTATTTGGAAGTGGACATTTGGAACGCTTTCAGGCCTATGTTGGAAAGGGAAATATCTTCCCTTAACAACTAGGCAGAAGCATTCTCAGAAACTTATTTGAGATGTGTGTACTCAACTAAGAGAATTGAACCACCGTTTTGAAGGAGCAGTTTTGAAACACTCTTTTTCTGGAATCTGCAAGAGTATATTTGCCTAGCCTTGAGGATTTCGTTGGAAACCGGATTGTCTTCAGATAAAATCTAGACAAAAGCATTCTCAGAAACTTCTTTGGGATGTTTGCATTCAAGTCACAGAGTAGAACATTCCCTTTGGTAGAGCAGGTTTGAAACACTCTTTTTTTAGTATATGGAAGTGGACATTTGGAGCGCTTTCAGGCCTACGTTGGAAAAGGAAATATCTTCCCATAACAACTAGACAGAAGCATTCTCAGAAACTAGTTTCTGATGTGTGTCCTCAACTAACACAGTTGAACATTTCTTTAGACAGAACAGTTTTGAAACTCTCTTTTTGTGGAATCTGCAAGTGGCTATTTGGCTAGATTTGAGGATTTCGTTGGAAACGGGATTACATATAAAAAGCAGACAGCAGCATTCTCAGAAAGTTCTTTGTGATGATTGCATTCAAGTCACAGAATTGAACATTCCCTTTCACAGAGCAGGTTTGAAACACTCTTTTTATAGTGTGTGTAAGTGGACATTTGGAGCACTTTCCGGCCTAAGGTGAAAAAGGAAATATCTTCCCATAAAAACTAGACAGAAGCATTCTCAGAAACTTACTCGTGATGTGTGTCCTCAACTAAAGGAGTAGAACCTTTCTTTTCATAGAGAAGTTTTGAAACGCTCTTTTTGTGGAATCTGCAAGTGGATATTTGGCTAGTTTGGAGGATTTCGTTGGAAGCGGGAATTCATACAAATTGCAGACTGCAGCATTCTCAGAAACTTATTTGAGATGTGTGTACTCAACTAAGAGAATTGAACCACCGTTTTGAAGGAGCAGTTTTGAAACACTCTTTTTCTGGAATCTGCAAGTGGATATTTGGCTAGCTTTGGGGATTTCGCTGGAAGCGGGAATACATATAAAAAGCACACAGCAGCATTCTCAGAAACTTATTTGAGATGTGTGTACTCAACTAAGAGAATTGAACCACCGTTTTGAAGGAGCAGTTTTGAAACACTCTTTTTCTGGAATCTGCAAGTGGATATTTGGCTAGCTTTGGGGATTTCGCTGGAGGCGGGAATACATATAAAAAGCACACAGCAGCGTTCTGAGAAACTGCTTTCTGATGTTTGCATTCAAGTCAAAAGTTGAACACTCCCTTTCATAGAGCAGTCCTGAAACACTCCTTTTGTAGTATCTGGAACTGGACTTTTGGAGCGCTTTCAGGGCTAAGGTGAAAAAGGAAATATCTTCCCATAAAAACTGGACAGAAAGCATTCTCAGAAACTTGTTTATGCTGTATCTACTCAACTAACAAAGTTGAACCTTTCTTTTGATAGAGCAGTTTTGAAATGGTCTTTTTGTGGAATCTGCAAGTGGATATTTGGCTAGTTTTGAGGATTTCGTTGGAAGCGGGAATTCATACAAATTGCAGACTGAGCGTTCTGAGAAACATCTTTGTGATGTTTGTATTCAAGACACAGAGATGAACATTCCCTATCATAGAGCATGTTGGAATCACTCCTTTTGTAGTATCTGGAAGTGGACATTTGGAGCGCTTTCAGGCCCACGTTGGAAAGGGAAATATCTTCCCGTAACAACTAGGCAGAAGCATTCTCAGAAACTTGTTTGTGATGTGTGCCCTCTACTGACAGAGTTGAACCTTTCTTTTCATAGAGCAGTTTTGAAACACTCTTTTTGTAGAATCTGCAAGAGGATATTTGCATAGCTTTGAGGATTTCGTGGGAAACGGGATTGTCTTCAGGTAAAATCTAGACAGAAGCATTCTCAGAAACTTCTTTGGGATGTTTGCATTCAAGTCACAGAGTAGAACATTCCCTTTGGTAGAGCAGGTTTGAAACACTCTTTTTGTAGTATCTGGAAGTGGACATTTGGAGCGCTTTCAGGCCCATGTTGGAAAGGGAAATATCTTCCCGTAACAACTAGGCAGAAGCATTCTCAGAAACTTATTTGAGATGTGTGTACTCAACTAAGAGAATTGAACCACCGTTTTGAAGGAGCAGTTTTGAAACACTCTTTTTCTGGAAACTGCAAGAGTATATTTGCCTAGCCTTGAAGATTTCGTTGGAAACGGGATTGTCTTCAGATAAAATCTAGACAGAAGCATTCTCAGAAACTTCTTTGGGATGTTTGCATTCAAGTCACAGAGTAGAACATTCCCTTTGGTAGAGCAGGTTTGAAACACTCTTTTTTTAGTATATGGAAGTGGACATTTGGAGCGCTTTCAGGCCTACGTTGGAAAAGGAAATATCTTCCCATAACAACTAGACAGAAGCATTCTCAGAAACTAGTTTCTGATGTGTGTCCTCAACTAACACAGTTGAACTTTTCTTTAGACAGAACAGTTTTGAAACACTCTTTTTGTGGAATCTGCAAGTGGCTATTTGGCTAGATTTGAGGATTTCGTTGGAAACGGGATTACATATAAAAAGCAGACAGCAGCATTCTCAGAAAGTTCTTTGTGATGATTGCATTCAAGTCACAGAATTGAACATTCCCTTTCACAGAGCAGGTTTGAAAGACTCTTTTTGTAGTGTGTGTAAGTGGACATTTGGAGCACTTACCGGCCTAAGGTGAAAAAGGAAATATCTTCCCATAAAAACTAGACAGAAGCATTCTCAGAAACTTACTCGTGATGTGTGTCCTCAACTAAAGGAGTAGAACCTTTCTATTCATAGAGAAGTTTTGAAACGCTCTTTTTGTGGAATCTCCAAGTGGATATTTGGCTAGTTTTGAGGATTTCGTTGGAAGCGGGAATTCATACAAATTGCAGACTGCAGCGTTCTGAGAAACATCTTTGTGATGTTTGTATTCAGGACACAGAGATGAACATTCCCTATCATAGAGCAGGTTGGAATCACTCCTTTTGTAGTATCTGGAAGTGGACATTTGGAGCGCTTTCAGGCCTATGTTGAAAAAGGAAATATCTTCCCATAACAACTAGACACAAGCATTCTCAGAAACTTATTTGAGATGTGTGTACTCAACTAAGAGAATTGAACCACCGTTTTGAAGGAGCAGTTTTGAAACACTCTTTTTCTGGAATCTGCAAGTGGATATTTGGCTAGCTTTGGGGATTTCGCTGGAAGCGGGAATACATATAAAAAGCACACAGCAGCGTTCTGAGAAACTGCTTTCTGATGTTTGCATTCAAGTCAAAAGTTGAACACTCCCTTTCATAGAGCAGTCTTGAAACACCCCTTTTGTAGTATCTGGAACTGGACTTTTGGAGCGATTTCAGGGCTAAGGTGAAAAAGGAAATATCTTCCCATAAAAACTGGACAGAAGCATTCTCAGAAACTTGTTTATGCTGTATCTACTCAACTAACAAAGTTGAACCTTTCTTTTGATAGAGCAGTTTTGAAATGGTCTTTTTGTGGAATCTGCAAGTGGATATTTGGCTAGTTTTGAGGATTTCGTTGGAAGCGGGAATTCATACAAATTGCAGACTGCAGCGTTCTGAGAAACATCTTTGTGATGTTTGTATTCAGGACACAGAGTTGAACATTCCCTATCATAGAGCAGGTTGGAATCACTCCTTTTGTAGTATCTGGAAGTGGACATTTGGAGCGCTTTCAGGCCTATGTTGAAAAAGGAAATATCTTCCCATAACAACTAGACACAAGCATTCTCAGAAACTTGTTTGTGATGTGTGCCCTCTACTGACAGAGTTGAACCTTTCTTTTCATAGAGCAGTTTCGAAACACTCTTTTTGTAGAATCTGCAAGAGGATATTTGCATAGCTTTGAGGATTTCGTGGGAAACGGGATTGTCTTCAGGTAAAATCTAGACAGAAGCATTCTCAGAAACTTCTTTGGGATGTTTGCATTCAAGTCACAGAGTAGAACATTCCCTTTGGTAGAGCAGGTTTGAAACACTCTTTTTGTAGTATCTGGAAGTGGACATTTGGAGCGCTTTCAGGCCCATGTTGGAAAGGGAAATATCTTCCCGTAACAACTAGGCAGAAGCATTCTCAGAAACTTATTTGAGATGTGTGTACTCAACTAAGAGAATTGAACCACCGTTTTGAAGGAGCAGTTTTGAAACACTCTTTTTCTGGAATCTGCAAGAGTATATTTGCCTAGCCTTGAGGATTTCGTTGGAAACGGGATTGTCTTCAGAGAAAATCTAGACAGAAGCATTCTCAGAAACTTCTTTGGGATGTTTGCATTCAAGTCACAGAGTAGAACATTCCCTTTGGTAGAGCAGGTTTGAAACACTCTTTTTTTAGTATATGGAAGTGGACATTTGGAGCGCTTTCAGGCCTACGTTGGAAAAGGAAATATCTTCCCATAACAACTAGACAGAAGCATTCTCAGAAACTAGTTTCTGATATGTGTCCTCAACTAACACAGTTGTACATTTCTTTAGACAGAACAGTTTTGAAACACTCTTTTTGTGGAATCTGCAAGTGGCTATTTGGCTAGATTTGAGGATTTCGTTGGAAACGGGATTACATATAAAAAGCAGACAGCAGCATTCTCAGAAAGTTCTTTGTGATGATTGCATTCAAGTCACAGAATTGAACATTCCCTTTCACAGAGCAGGTTTGAAACACTCTTTTTGTAGTGTGTGTAAGTGGACATTTGGAGCACTTACCGGCCTAAGGTGAAAAAGGAAATATCTTCCCATAAAAACTAGACAGAAGCATTCTCAGAAACTTACTCGTGATGTGTGTCCTCAACTAAAGGAGTAGAACCTTTCTTTTCATAGAGAAGTTTTGAAACGCTCTTTTTGTGGAATCTGCAAGTGGATATTTGGCTAGTTTTGAGGATTTCGTTGGAAGCGGGAATTCATACAAATTGCAGACTGCAGCATTCTCAGAAACTTATTTGAGATGTGTGTACTCAACTAAGAGAATTGAACCACCGTTTTGAAGGAGCAGTTTTGAAACACTCTTTTTCTGGAATCTGCAAGTGGATATTTGGCTAGCTTTGGGGATTTCGCTGGAAGCGGGAATACATATAAAAAGCACACAGCAGCATTCTCAGAAACTTATTTGAGATGTGTGTACTCAACTAAGAGAATTGAACCACCGTTTTGAAGGAGCAGTTTTGAAACACTCTTTTTCTGGAATCTGCAAGTGGATATTTGGCTAGCTTTGGGGATTTCGCTGGAAGCGGGAATACATATAAAAAGCACACAGCAGCGTTCTGAGAAACTGCTTTCTGATGTTTGCATTCAAGTCAAAAGTTGAACACTCCCTTTCATAGAGCAGTCTTGAAACACCCCTTTTGTAGTATCTGGAACTGGACTTTTGGAGCGATTTCAGGGCTAAGGTGAAAAAGGAAATATCTTCCCATAAAAACTGGACAGAAGCATTCTCAGAAACTTGTTTATGCTGTATCTACTCAACTAACAAAGTTGAACCTTTCTTTTGATAGAGCAGTTTTGAAATGGTCTTTTTGTGGAATCTGCAAGTGGATATTTGGCTAGTTTTGAGGATTTCGTTGGAAGCGGGAATTCATACAAATTGCAGACTGCAGCGTTCTGAGAAACATCTTTGTGATGTTTGTATTCAGGACACAGAGTTGAACATTCCCTATCATAGAGCAGGTTGGAATCACTCCTTTTGTAGTATCTGGAAGTGGACATTTGGAGCGCTTTCAGGCCTATTTTGGAAAGGGAAATATCTTCCCGTAACAACTATGCAGAAGCATTCTCAGAAACTTGTTTGTGATGTGTGCCCTCTACTGACAGAGTTGAACCTTTCTTTTCATAGAGCAGTTTTGAAACACTCTTTTTGTAGAATCTGCAAGAGGATATTTGCATAGCTTTGAGGATTTCGTGGGAAACGGGATTGTCTTCAGGTAAAATCTAGACAGAAGCATTCTCAGAAACTTCTTTGGGATGTTTGCATTCAAGTCACAGAGTAGAACATTCCCTTTGGTAGAGCAGGTTTGAAACACTCTTTTTGTAGTATCTGGAAGTGGACATTTGGAGCGCTTTCAGGCCCATGTTGGAAAAGGAAATATCTTCCCGTAACAACTAGGCAGAAGCATTCTCAGAAACTTATTTGAGATGTGTGTACTCAACTAAGAGAATTGAACCACCGTTTTGAAGGAGCAGTTTTGAAACACTCTTTTTCTGGAATCTGCAAGAGGATATTTGCATAGATTTGAGGGTTTCGTTGGAAACGGGATTGTCTTCAGATCAAATCTAGACAGAAGCATTCTCAGAAACTTCTTTGGGATGTTTGCATTCAAGTCACAGAGTAGAACATTCCCTTTGGTAGAGCAGGTTTTAAACACTCTTTTTTTAGTATATGGAAGTGGACATTTGGAGCGCTTTCAGGCCTACGTTGGAAAAGGAAATATCTTCCCATAACAACTAGACAGAAGCATTCTCAGAAACTAGTTTCTGATGTGTGTCCTCAACGAACACAAGTGAACATTTCTTTAGACAGAACAGTTTTGAAACACTCTCTTTGTGGAATCTGCAAGTGGATATTTGGCTAGATTTGAGGATTTCGTTGGAAACGGGATTACGTATAAAAAGCAGACAGCAGCATTCTCAGAAACTTCTTTGTGATGATTGCATTCAAGTCACAGAATTGAACATTCCCTTTCACAGAGCAGGTTTGAAACACTCTTTTTGTAGTGTGTGTAAGTGGACATTTGGAGCGCTTTCCGGCCTAAGGTGAACAAGGAAATATCTTCCCATAAAAACTAGACAGAAGCATTCTCAGAAACTTACTCGTGATGTGTGTCCTCAACTAAAGGAGTAGAACCTTTCTTTTCATAGAGAAGTTTTGAAACGCTCTTTTTGTGGAATCTGCAAGTGGATATTTGGCTAGTTTTGAGGATTTCGTTGGAAGCGGGAATTCATACAAATTGCAGACTGCAGCGTTCTGAGAAACATCTTTGTGATGTTTGTATTCAGGACAGAGAGTTGAACATTCCCTATCATAGAGCAGGTTGGAATCACTCCTTTTGTAGTATCTGGAAGTGGACATTTGGAGCGCTTTCAGGCCTATGTTGAAAAAGGAAATATCTTCCCATAACAACTAGACACAAGCATTCTCAGAAACTTGTTTGTGATGTGTGCCCTCTACTGACAGAGTTGAACCTTTCTTTTCATAGAGCAGTTTTGAAACACTCTTTTTGTAGAATCTGCAAGAGGATATTTGCATAGCTTTGAGGATTTCGTAGGAAACGGGATTGTCTTCAGGTAAAATCTAGACAGAAGCATTCTCAGAAACTTCTTTGGGATGTTTGCATTCAAGTCACAGAGTAGAACATTCCCTTTGGTAGAGCAGGTTTGAAACACTCTTTTTGTAGTATCTGGAAGTGGACATTTGGAGCGCTTTCAGGCCTATGTTGGAAAAGGAAATATCTTCCCATAACAACTAGACAGAAGCATTCTCAGAAACTAGTTTCTGATGTGTGTCCTCAACTAACACAGTTGTACATTTCTTTACACAGAACAGTTTTGAAACACTCTTTTTGTGGAATCTGCAAGTGGATATTGGGCTAGATTTGAGGATTTCGTTGGAAACGGGATTACATATAAAAAGCAGTCAGCAGCATTCTCAGAAAGTTCTTTGTGATGATTGCATTCAAGTCACAGAATTGAACATTCCCTTTCACAGAGGAGGTTTGAAACACTCTTTTTGTAGTGTGTGTAAGTGGACATTTGGAGCGCTTTCTGGCCTAAGGTGAAAAAGGACATATCTTCCCATAAAAACTAGACAGAAGCATTCTCAGAAACTTACTCGTGATGTGTGTCCTCAACTAAAGGAGTAGAACCTTTCTATTCATAGAGAAGTTTTGAAACGCTCTTTTTGTGGAATCTCCAAGTGGATATTTGGCTAGTTTTGAGGATTTCGTTGGAAGCGGGAATTCATACAAATTGCAGACTGCAGCATTCTCAGAAACTTGTTTATGCTGTATCTACTCAACTAACAAAGTTGAACCTTTCTTTTGATAGAGCAGTTTTGAAATGCTCTTTTTGTGGAATCTGCAAGTGGATATTTGGCTAGTTTTGAGGATTTCGTTGGGAGCGGGAATTCATACAAATTGCAGACTGCAGCGTTCTGAGAAACATCTTTGTGATGTTTGTATTCAGGACAGAGAGTTGAACATTCCCTATCATAGAGCAGGTTGGAATCACTCCTTTTGTAGTATCTGGAAGTGGACATTTGGAGCGCTTTCAGGCCTATGTTGAAAAAGGAAATATCTTCCCATAACAACTAGACACAAGCATTCTCAGAAACTTGTTTGTGATGTTGTGCCCTCTACTGACAGAGTTGAACCTTTCTTTTCATAGAGCAGTTTTGAAACACTCTTTTTGTAGAATCTGCAAGAGGATATTTGCATAGCTTTGAGGATTTCGTGGGAAACGGGATTGTCTTCAGGTAAAATCTAGACAGAAGCATTCTCAGAAACTTCTTTGGGATGTTTGCATTCAAGTCACAGAGTAGAACATTCCCTTTGGTAGAGCAGGTTTGAAACACTCTTTTTGTAGTATCTGGAAGTGGACATTTGGAGCGCTTTCAGGCCCATGTTGGAAAGGGAAATATCTTCCCGTAACAACTAGGCAGAAGCATTCTCAGAAACTTATTTGAGATGTGTGTACTCAACTAAGAGAATTGAACCACCGTTTTGAAGGAGCAGTTTTGAAACACTCTTTTTCTGGAATCTGCAAGAGGATATTTGCCTAGCCTTGAGGATTTCGTTGGAAACGGGATTGTCTTCAGAGAAAATCTAGACAGAAGCATTCTCAGAAACTTCTTTGGGATGTTTGCATTCAAGTCACAGAGTAGAACATTCCCTTTGGTAGAGCAGGTTTGAAACACTCTTTTTTTAGTATATGGAAGTGGACATTTGGAGCGCTTTCAGGCCTACGTTGGAAAAGGAAATATCTTCCCATAACAACTAGACAGAAGCATTCTCAGAAACTAGTTTCTGATGTGTGTCCTCAACTAACACAGTTGAACATTTCTTTAGACAGAACAGTTTTGAAACACTCTCTTTGTGGAATCTGCAAGTGGATATTTGGCTAGATTTGAGGATTTCGTTGGAAACGGGATTACATATAAAAAGCAGACAGCAGCATTCTCAGAAAGTTCTTTGTGATGATTGCATTCAAGTCACAGAATTGAACATTCCCTTTCACAGAGCAGGTTTGAAACACTCTTTTTGTAGTGTGTGTAAGTGGACATTTGGAGCACTTACCGGCCTAAGGTGAAAAAGGAAATATCTTCCCATAAAAACTAGACAGAAGCATTCTCAGAAACTTACTCGTGATGTGTGTCCTCAACTAAAGGAGTAGAACCTTTCTATTCATAGAGAAGGTTTGAAACGCTCTTTTTGTGGAATCTCCAAGTGGATATTTGGCTAGTTTTGAGGATTTCGTTGGATGTGGGAATTCATACAAATTGCAGACTGCAGCGTTCTGAGAAACATGTTTGTGATGTTTGTATTCAGGACACAGAGATGAACATTACCTATCATAGAGCAGGTTGGAATCACTCCTTTTGTAGTATCTGGAAGTGGACATTTGGAGCGCTTTCAGGCCTATGTTGAAAAAGGAAATATCGTCCCATAACAACTAGACACAAGCATTCTCAGAAACTTGTTTGTGATGTGTGCCCTCTGCTGACAGAGTTGAACCTTTCTTTTCATAGAGCAGTTTTGAAACACTCTTTTTGTAGAATCTGCAAGAGGATATTTGCATAGCTTTGAGGATTTCGTGGGAAACGGGATTGTCTTCAGGTAAAATCTAGACAGAAGCATTCTCAGAAACTTCTTTGGGATGTTTGCATTCAAGTCACAGAGTAGAACATTCCCTTTGGTAGAGCAGGTTTGAAACACTCTTTTTGTAGTATCTGGAAGTGGACATTTGGAGCGCTTTCAGGCCTATGTTGGAAAGGGAAATATCTTCCCGTAACAACTAGGCAGAAGCATTCTCAGAAACTTATTTGAGATGTGTGTACTCAACTAAGAGAATTGAACCACCGTTTTGAAGGAGCAGTTTTGAAACACTCTTTTTCTGGAATCTGCAAGAGGATATTTGCCTAGCCTTGAGGATTTCGTTGGAAACGGGATTGTCTTCAGATCAAATCTAGACAGAAGCATTCTCAGAAACTTCTTTGGGATGTTTGCATTCAAGTCACAGAGTAGAACATTCCCTTTGGTAGAGCAGGTTTGAAACACTCTTTTTTTAGTATATGGAAGTGGACATTTGGAGCGCTTTCAGGCCTACGTTGGAAAAGGAAATATCTTCCCATAACAACTAGACAGAAGCATTCTCAGAAACTAGTTTCTGATGTGTGTCCTCAACTAACACAGTTGTACATTTCTTTAGACAGAACAGTTTTGAAACACTCTTTTTGTGGAATCTGCAAGTGGATATTGGGCTAGATTTGAGGATTTCGTTGGAAACGGGATTACATATAAAAAGCAGTCAGCAGCATTCTCAGAAAGTTCTTTGTGATGATTGCATTCAAGTCACAGAATTGAACATTCCCTTTCACAGAGCAGGTTTGAAACACTCTTTTTGTAGTGTGTGTAAGTGGACATTTGGAGCGCTTTCCGGCCTAAGGTGAAAAAGGAAATATCTTCCCATAAAAACTAGACAGAAGCATTCTCAGAAACTTACTCGTGATGTGTGTCCTCAACTAAAGGAGTAGAACCTTTCTTTTCATAGAGAAGTTTTGAAACGCTCTTTTTGTGGAATCTGCAAGTGGATATTTGGCTAGTTTTGAGGATTTCGTTGGAAGCGGGAATTCATACAAATTGCAGACTGCAGCGTTCTGAGAAACATCTTTGTGATGTTTGTATTCAGGACACAGAGTTGAACATTCCCTACCATAGAGCAGGTTGGAATCACTCCTTTTGTCGTATCTGGAAGTGGACATTTGGAGCGCTTTCAGGCCTATGTTGGAAAAGGAAATATCTTCCCATAACAGCTAGACAGAAGCATTCCCAGAAACCTATTTGAGACGTGTGTACTCAACTAGGAGAATTGAAGCACCGTTTTGAAGGAGCAGTTTTGAAACACTCTTTTTCTGTAATCTGCAAGTGGATATTTGGCTAGCTTTGGGGATTTCGCTGGAAGCGGGAATACATATAAAAAGCACACAGCAGCGTTCTGAGAAACTGCTTTCTGATGTTTGCATTCAAGTCAAAAGTTGAACACTCCCTTTCATAGAGCGGGCTTGAAACACCCCTTTTCTAATATCTGGAACTGGACATTTGGAGCGCTTGCAGGGCTAAGGTGAAAAAGGAAATATCTTCCCATAAAAACTGGACAGAAGCATTCTCAGAAACTTGTTCATGCTGTATCTACTCAACTAACAAAGTTGAACCTTTCTTTTGATAGAGAAGTTTTGAAATGCTCTTTTTGTGGAATCTGCAAGTGGATATTTGGCTAGTTTTGAGGATTTCGTTGGAAGCGGGAATTCATACAAATTGCAGACTGCAGCGTTCTGAGAAACATCTTTGTGATGTTTGTATTCAGGACACAGAGTTGAACATTCCCTATCATAGAGCAGGTTGGAATCACTCCTTTTGTAGTATCTGGAAGTGGACATTTGGAGCGCTTTCAGGCCTATGTTGAAAAAGGAAATATCTTCCCATAACAACTAGACACAAGCATTCTCAGAAACTTGTTTGTGATGTGTGCCCTCTACTGACAGAGTTGAACCTTTCTTTTCATAGAGCAGTTTTGAAACACTCTTTTTGTAGAATCTGCAAGAGGATATTTGCATAGCTTTGAGGATTTCGTGGGAAACGGGATTGTCTTCAGGTAAAATCTAGACAGAAAGCATTCTCAGAAAATTCTTCGGGATGTTTGCATTCAAGTCACAGAGTAGAACATTCCCTTTGGTAGAGCAGGTTTGAAACACTCTTTTTGTAGTATCTGGAAGTGGACATTTGGAGCGCTTTCAGGCCTATGTTGGAAAGGGAAATATCTTCCCGTAACAACTAGGCAGAAGCATTCTCAGAAACTTATTTGAGATGTGTGTACTCAACTAAGAGAATTGAACCACCGTTTTGAAGGAGCAGTTTTGAAACACTCTTTTTCTGGAATCTGCAAGAGGATATTTGCATAGATTTGAGGATTTCGTTGGAAACGGGATTGTCTTCAGATCCAATCTAGACAGAAGCATTCTCAGAAACTTCTTTGGGATGTTTGCATTCAAGTCACAGAGTAGAACATTCCCTTTGGTAGAGCAGGTTTGAAACACTCTTTTTTTAGTATATGGAAGTGGACATTTTGATCGCTTTCAGGGCCTACGTTGGAAAAGGAAATATCTTCCCATAACAACTAGACAGAAGCATTCTCAGAAACTAGTTTCTGATGTGTGTCCTCAACTAACACAGTTGAACATTTCTTTAGACAGAACAGTTTTGAAACACTCTTTTTGTGGAATCTGCAAGTGGCTATTTGGCTAGATTTGAGGATTTCGTTGGAAACGGGATTACATATAAAAAGCAGTCAGCAGCATTCTCAGAAACTTCTTTGTGATGATTGCATTCAAGTCACAGAATTGAACATTCCCTTTCACAGAGCAGGTTTGAAACACTCTTTTTGTAGTGTGTGTAAGTGGACATTTGGAGCACTTTCCGGCCTAAGGTGAAAAAGGAAATATCTTCCCATAAAAACTAGACAGAAGCACTCTCAGAAACTTACTCGTGATGTGTGTCCTCAACTAAAGGAGTAGAACCTTTCTTTTCATAGAGAAGTTTTGAAACGCTCTTTTTGTGGAATCTGCAAGTGGATATTTGGCTAGTTTGGAGGATTTCGTTGGAAGCGGGAATTCATACAAATTGCAGACTGCAGCGTTCTGAGAAACATCTTTGTGATGTTTGTATTCAGGACACAGAGTTGAACATTCCCTATCATAGAGCAGGTTGGAATCACTCCTTTTGTAGTATCTGGAAGTGGACATTTGGAGCGCTTTCAGGCCTATGTTGGAAAAGGAAATATCTTCCCATAACAACTAGACAGAAGCATTCTCAGAAACTTATTTGAGATGTGTGTACTCAACTAAGAGAATTGAACCACCGTTTTGAAGGAGCAGTTTTGAAACACTCTTTTTCTGGAATCTGCAAGTGGATATTTGGCTAGCTTTGGGGATTTCGCTGGAAGCGGGAATACATATAAAAAGCACACAGCAGCGTTCTGAGAAACTGCTTTCTGATGTTTGCATTCAAGTCAAAAGTTGAACACTCCCTTTCATAGAGCAGTCCTGAAACACTCCTTTTGTAGTATCTGGAACTGGACTTTTGGAGCGCTTTCAGGGCTAAGGTGAAAAAGGAAATATCTTCCCATAAAAACTGGACAGAAGCATTCTCAGAAACTTGGTTATGCTGTATCTACTCAACTAACAAAGTTGAACCTTTCTTTTGATAGAGCAGTTTTGAAATGGTCTTTTTGTGGAATCTGCAAGTGGATATTTGGCTAGTTTTGAGGATTTCGTTGGAAGCGGGAATTCATACAAATTGCAGACTGCAGCGTTCTGAGAAACATCTTTGTGATGTTTGTATTCAGGACACAGAGTTGAACATTCCCTATCATAGAGCAGGTTGGAATCACTCCTTTTGTAGTATCTGGAAGTGGACATTTGGAGCGCTTTCAGGCCTATGTTGAAAAAGGAAATATCTTCCCATAACAAGTAGACACAAGCATTCTCAGAAACTTGTTTGTGATGTGTGCCCTCTACTGACAGAGTTGAACCTTTCTTTTCATAGAGCAGTTTTGAAACACTCTTTTTGTAGAATCTGCAAGAGGATATTTGCATAGCTTTGAGGATTTCGTGGGAAACGGGATTGTCTTCAGGTAAAATCTAGACAGAAGGATTCTCAGAAACTTCTTTGGGATGTTTGCATTCAAGTCACAGAGCAGAACATTCCCTTTGGTAGAGCAGGTTTGAAACACTCTTTTTGTAGTATCTGGAAGTGGACATTTGGAGCGTTTTCAGGCCTATGTTGGAAAGGGAAATATCTTCCCGTAACAACTAGGCAGAAGCATTCTCAGAAACTTATTTGAGATGTGTGTACTCAACTAAGAGAATTGAACCACCGTTTTGAAGGAGCAGTTTTGAAACACTCTTTTTCTGGACTCTGCAAGAGGATATTTGCCTAGCCTTGAGGATTTCGTTGGAAACGGGATTGTCTTCAGATCAAATCTAGACAGAAGCATTCTCAGAAACTTCTTTGGGATGTTTGCATTCATGTCACAGAGTAGAACATTCCCTTTGGTAGAGCAGGTTTGAAACACTCTTTTTTTAGTATATGGAAGTGGACATTTGGAGCGCTTTCAGGCCTACGTTGGAAAAGGAAATATCTTCCCATAACAACTAGACAGAAGCATTCTCAGAAACTAGTTTCTGATGTCTGTCCTCAACTAACACAGTTGAACATTTCTTTAGACAGAACAGTTTTGAAACACTCTTTTTGTGGAATCTGCAAGTGGCTATTTGGCTAGATTTGAGGATTTCGTTGGAAACGGGATTACATATAAAAAGCAGACAGCAGCATTCTCAGAAAGTTCTTTGTGATGATTGCATTCAAGTCACAGAATTGAACATTCCCTTTCACAGAGCAGGTTTGAAACACTCTTTTTGTAGTGTGTGTAAGTGGACATTTGGAGCACTTTCCGGCCTAAGGTGAAAAAGGAAATATCTTCCCATAAAAACTAGACAGAAGCATTCTGAGAAACTTATTTGAGATGTGTGTACTCAACTAAGAGAATTGAACCACCGTTTTGAAGGAGCAGTTTTGAAACACTCTTTTTCTGGAATCTGCAAGTGGATATTTGGCTAGCTTTGGGGATTTCGCTGGAAGCGGGAATACATATAAAAAGCACACAGCAGCGTTCTGAGAAACAGCTTTCTGATGTTTGCATTCAAGTCAAAAGTTGAACACTCCCTTTGATAGAGCAGTCTTGAAACACCCCTTTTGTAGTATCTGGAACTGGACATTTGGAGCGCTTTCAGGGCTAAGGTGAAAAAGGAAATATCTTCCCATAAAAACTGGACAGAAGCATTCTCAGAAACTTATTTGAGATGTGTGTACTCAACTAAGAGAATTGAACCACCGTTTTGAAGGAGCAGTTTTGAAACACTCTTTTTCTGGAATCTGCAAGTGGATATTTGGCTAGCTTTGGGGATTTCGCTGGAAGCGGGAATACATATAAAAAGCACACAGCAGCGTTCTGAGAAACTGCTTTCTGATGTTTGCATTCAAGTCAAAAGTTGAACACTCCCTTTCATAGAGCAGTCCTGAAACACTCCTTTTGTAGTATCTGGAACTGGACTTTTGGAGCGCTTTCAGGGCTAAGGTGAAAAAGGAAATATCTTCCCATAAAAACTGGACAGAAGCATTCTCAGCAAACTTGTTTATGCTGTATCTACTCAACTAACAAAGTTGAACCTTTCTTTTGATAGAGCAGTTTTGAAATGCTCTTTTTGTGGAATCTGCAAGTGGATATTTGGCTAGTTTTGAGGATTTCGTTGGAAGCGGGAATTCATACAAATTGCAGACTGCAGCGTTCTGAGAAACATCTTTGTGATGTTTGTATTCAGGACACAGAGTTGAACATTCCCTATCATAGAGCAGGTTGGAATCACTCCTTTTGTAGTATCTGGAAGTGGACATTTGGAGCGCTTTCAGGCCTATTTTGGAAAGGGAAATATCTTCCCGTAACAACTATGCAGAAGCATTCTCAGAAACTTGTTTGTGATGTGTGCCCTCTACTGACAGAGTTGAACCTTTCTTTTCATAGAGCAGTTTTGAAACACTCTTTTTGTAGAATCTGCAAGAGGATATTTGCATAGCTTTGAGGATTTCGTGGGAAACGGGATTGTCTTCAGGTAAAATCTAGACAGAAGCATTCTCAGAAACTTCTTTGGGATGTTTGCATTCAAGTCACAGAGTAGAACATTCCCTTTGGTAGAGCAGGTTTGAAACACTCTTTTTGTAGTATCTGGAAGTGGACATTTGGAGCGCTTTCAGGCCCATGTTGGAAAGGGAAATATCTTCCCGTAACAACTAGGCAGAAGCATTCTCAGAAACTTATTTGAGATGTGTGTACTCAACTAAGAGAATTGAACCACCGTTTTGAAGGAGCAGTTTTGAAACACTCTTTTTCTGGAATCTGCAAGAGTATATTTGCCTAGCCATGAGGATTTCGTTGGAAACGGGATTGTCTTCAGAGAAAATCTAGACAGAAGCATTCTCAGAAACTTCTTTGGGATGTTTGCATTCAAGTCACAGAGTAGAACATTCCCTTTGGTAGAGCAGGTTTGAAACACTCTTTTTTTAGTATATGGAAGTGGACATTTGGAGCGCTTTCAGGCCTACGTTGGAAAAGGAAATATCTTCCCATAACAACTAGACAGAAGCATTCTCAGAAACTAGTTTCTGATGTGTGTCCTCAACTAACACAGTTGAACATTTCTTTAGACAGAACAGTTTTGAAACACTCTTTTTGTGGAATCTGCAAGTGGCTATTTGGCTAGATTTGAGGATTTCGTTGGAAACGGGATTACATATAAAAAGCAGTCAGCAGCATTCTCAGAAAGTTCTTTGTGATGATTGCATTCAAGTCACAGAATTGAACATTCCCTTTCACAGAGCAGGTTTGAAACACTCTTTTTGTAGTGTGTGTAAGTGGACATTTGGAGCACTTACCGGCCTAAGGTGAAAAAGGAAATATCTTCCCATAAAAACTAGACAGAAGCATTCTCAGAAACTTACTCGTGATGTGTGTCCTCAACTAAAGGAGTAGAACATTTCTATTCATAGAGAAGTTTTGAAACGCTCTTTTTGTGGAATCTCCAAGTGGATATTTGGCTAGTTTTGAGGATTTCGTTGGAAGCGGGAATTCATACAAATTGCAGACTGCAGCATTCTCAGAAACTTATTTGAGATGTGTGTACTCAACTAAGAGAATTGAACCACCGTTTTGAAGGAGCAGTTTTGAAACTCTCTTTTTCTGGAATCTGCAAGTGGATATTTGGCTAGCTTTGGGGATTTCGCTGGAAGCGGGAATACATATAAAAAGCACACAGCAGCGTTCTGAGAAACTGCTTTCTGATGTTTGCATTCAAGTCAAAAGTTGAACACTCCCTTTCATAGAGCAGTCTTGAAACACCCCTTTTGTAGTATCTGGAACTGGACTTTTGGAGCGATTTCAGGGCTAAGGTGAAAAAGGAAATATCTTCCCATAAAAACTGGACAGAAGCATTCTCAGAAACTTGTTTATGCTGTATCTACTCAACTAACAAAGTTGAACCTTTCTTTTGATAGAGCAGTTTTGAAATGGTCTTTTTGTGGAATCTGCAAGTGGATATTTGGCTAGTTTTGAGGATTTCGTTGGAAGCGGGAATTCATACAAATTGCAGACTGCAGCGTTCTGAGAAACATCTTTGTGATGTTTGTATTCAGGACACAGAGTTGAACATTCCCTATCATAGAGCAGGTTGGAATCACTCCTTTTGTAGTATCTGGAAGTGGACATTTGGAGCGCTTTCAGGCCTATTTTGGAAAGGGAAATATCTTCCCGTAACAACTATGCAGAAGCATTCTCAGAAACTTGTTTGTGATGTGTGCCCTCTACTGACAGAGTTGAACCTTTCTTTTCATAGAGCAGTTTTGAAACACTCTTTTTGTAGAATCTGCAAGAGGATATTTGCATAGCTTTGAGGATTTCGTGGGAAACGGGATTGTCTTCAGGTAAAATCTAGACAGAAGCATTCTCAGAAACTTCTTTGGGATGTTTGCATTCAAGTCACAGAGTAGAACATTCCCTTTGGTAGAGCAGGTTTGAAACACTCTTTTTGTAGTATCTGGAAGTGGACATTTGGAGCGCTTTCAGGACCATGTTGGAAAGGGAAATATCTTCCCGTAACAACTAGGCAGAAGCATTCTCAGAAACTTATTTGAGATGTGTGTACTCAACTAAGAGAATTGAACCACCGTTTTGAAGGAGCAGTTTTGAAACACTCTTTTTCTGGAATCTGCAAGAGTATATTTGCCTAGCCTTGAGGATTTCGTTGGAAACGGGATTGTCTTCAGAGAAAATCTAGACAGAAGCATTCTCAGAAACTTCTTTGGGATGTTTGCATTCAAGTCACAGAGTAGAATATTCCCTTTGGTAGAGCAGGTTTGAAACACTCTTTTTTTAGTATATGGAAGTGGACATTTGGAGCGCTTTCAGGCCTACGTTGGAAAAGGAAATATCTTCCCATAACAACTAGACAGAAGCATTCTCAGAAACTAGTTTCTGATGTGTGTCCTCAACTAACACAGTTGTACATTTCTTTAGACAGAACAGTTTTGAAACACTCTTTTTGTGGAATCTGCAAGTGGATATTGGGCTAGATTTGAGGATTTCGTTGGAAACGGGATTATATATAAAAAGCAGACAGCAGCATTCTCAGAACTTTCTTTGTGATGATTGCATTCAAGTCACAGAATTGAACATTCCCTTTCACAGAGCAGGTTTGAAACACTCTTTTTGTAGTGTGTGTAAGTGGACATTTGGAGCACTTTCCGGCCTAAGGTGAAAAAGGAAATATCTTCCCATAAAAACTAGACAGAAGCATTCTCAGAAACTTACTCGTGATGTGTGTCCTCAACTAAAGGAGTAGAACCTTTCTTTTCATAGAGAAGTTTTGAAACGCTCTTTTTGTGGAATCTGCAAGTGGATATTTGGCTAGTTTGGAGGATTTCGTTGGAAGCGGGAATTCATACAAATTGCAGACTGCAGCGTTCTGAGAAACATCTTTGTGATGTTTGTATTCAGGACAGAGAGTTGAACATTCCCTATCATAGAGCAGGTTGGAATCACTCCTTTTGTAGTATCTGGAAGTGGACATTTGGAGCGCTTTCAGGCCTATGTTGAAAAAGGAAATATCTTCCCATAACAACTAGACACAAGCATTCTCAGAAACTTATTTGAGATGTGTGTACTCAACTAAGAGAATTGAACCACCGGTTTGAAGGAGCAGTTTTGAAACACTCTTTTTCTGGAATCTGCAAGTGGATATTTGGCTAGCTTTGGGGATTTCGCTGGAAGCGGGAATACATATAAAAAGCACACAGCAGCGTTCTGAGAAACTGCTTTCTGATGTTTGCATTCAAGTCAAAAGTTGAACACTCCCTTTCATAGAGCAGTCCTGAAACACTCCTTTTGTAGTATCTGGAACTGGACTTTTGGAGCGCTTTCAGGGCTAAGGTGAAAAAGGAAATATCTTCCCATAAAAACTGGACAGAAGCATTCTCAGAAACTTGGTTATGCTGTATCTACTCAACTAACAAAGTTGAACCTTTCTTTTGATAGAGCAGTTTTGAAATGGTCTTTTTGTGGAATCTGCAAGTGGATATTTGGCTAGTTTTGAGGATTTCGTTGGAAGCGGGAATTCATACAAATTGCAGACTGCAGCGTTCTGAGAAACATCTTTGTGATGTTTGTATTCAGGACACAGAGATGAACATTCCCTATCATAGAGCAGGTTGGAATCACTCCTTTTGTAGTATCTGGAAGTGGACATTTGGAGCGCTTTCAGGCCTATGTTGAAAAAGGAAATATCTTCCCATAACAACTAGACACAAGCATTCTCAGAAACTTGTTTGTGATGTGTGCCCTCTACTGACAGAGTTGAACCTTTCTTTTCATAGAGCAGTTTTGAAACACTCTTTTTGTAGAATCTGCAAGAGGATATTTGCATAGCTTTGAGGATTTCGTGGGAAACGGGATTGTCTTCAGGTAAAATCTAGACAGAAGCATTCTCAGAAACTTCTTTGGGATGTTTGCATTCAAGTCACAGAGTAGAACATTCCCTTTGGTAGAGCAGGTTTGAAACACTCTTTTTGTAGTATCTGGAA
Source organism: Homo sapiens (assembly GCF_000001405.40). NCBI lineage: Eukaryota > Metazoa > Chordata > Mammalia > Primates > Hominidae > Homo > Homo sapiens. The sequence continues at coordinate 20,074,535 of NC_000018.10, forward strand.
GTGGACATTTGGAGCGCTTTCAGGCCTATGTTGGAAAGGGAAATATCTTCCCGTAACAACTAGGCAGAAGCATTCTCAGAAACTTATTTGAGATGTGTGTACTCAACTAAGAGAATTGAACCACCGTTTTGAAGGAGCAGTTTTGAAACACTCTTTTTCTGGAATCTGCAAGAGTATATTTGCCTAGCCTTGAGGATTTCGTTGGAAACGGGATTGTCTTCAGATAAAATCTAGACAGAAGCATTCTCAGAAACTTCTTTGGGATGTTTGCATTCAAGTCACAGAGTAGAACATTCCCTTTGGTAGAGCAGGTTTGAAACACTCTTTTTTTAGTATATGGAAGTGGACATTTGGATCGCTTTCAGGCCTACGTTGGAAAAGGAAATATCTTCCCATAACAACTAGACAGAAGCATTCTCAGAAACTAGTTTCTGATGTGTGTCCTCAACTAACACAGTTGTATATTTCTTTAGACAGAACAGTTTTGAAACACTCTTTTTGTGGAATCTGCAAGTGGATATTGGGCTAGATTTGAGGATTTCGTTGGAAACGGGATTACATATAAAAAGCAGTCAGCAGCATTCTCAGAAAGTTCTTTGTGATGATTGCATTCAAGTCACAGAATTGAACATTCCCTTTCACAGAGCAGGTTTGAAAGACTCTTTTTGTAGTGTGTGTAAGTGGACATTTGGAGCACTTACCGGCCTAAGGTGAAAAAGGAAATATCTTCCCATAAAAACTAGACAGAAGCATTCTCAGAAACTTACTCGTGATGTGTGTCCTCAACTAAAGGAGTAGAACCTTTCTATTCATAGAGAAGTTTTGAAACGCTCTTTTTGTGGAATCTCCAAGTGGATATTTGGCTAGTTTTGAGGATTTCGTTGGAAGCGGGAATTCATACAAATTGCAGACTGCAGCGTTCTCAGAAACATCGTTGTGATGTTTGTATTCAGGACACAGAGCATGAACATTCCCTATCATAGAGCAGGTTGGAATCACTCCTTTTGTAGTATCTGGAAGTGGACATTTGGAGCGCTTTCAGGCCTATGTTGAAAAAGGAAATATCTTCCCATAACAACTAGACACAAGCATTCTCAGAAACTTATTTGAGATGTGTGTACTCAACTAAGAGAATTGAACCACCGTTTTGAAGGAGCAGTTTTGAAACACTCTTTTTCTGGAATCTGCAAGTGGATATTTGGCTAGCTTTGGGGATTTCGCTGGAAGCGGGAATACATATAAAAAGCACACAGCAGCGTTCTGAGAAACTGCTTTCTGATGTTTGCATTCAAGTCAAAAGTTGAACACTCCCTTTCATAGAGCAGTCTTGAAACACCCCTTTTGTAGTATCTGGAACTGGACTTTTGGAGCGATTTCAGGGCTAAGGTGAAAAAGGAAATATCTTCCCATAAAAACTGGACAGAAGCATTCTCAGAATCTTGTTTATGCTGTATCTACTCAACTAACAAAGTTGAACCTTTCTTTTGATAGAGCAGTTTTGAAATGGACTTTTTGTGGAATCTGCAAGTGGATATTTGGCTAGTTTTGAGGATTTCGTTGGAAGCGGGAATTCATACAAATTGCAGACTGCAGCGTTCTGAGAAACGTCTTTGTGATGTTTGTATTCAGGACACAGAGTTGAACATTCCCTATCATAGAGAAGGCTGGAATCACTCCTTTTGTACTATCTGGAAGTGGACATTTGGAGCGCTTTCAGGCCTATGTTGAAAAAGGAAATATCTTCCCATAACAACTAGACAGAAGCATTCTCAGAAACTTGTTTGTGATGTGTGCCCTCTACTGACACAGTTGAACCTTTCTTTTCATAGAGCAGTTTCGAAACACTCTTTTTGTAGAATCTGCAACAGGATATTTGCATAGCTTTGAGGATTTCGTGGGAAACGGGATTGTCTTCAGGTAAAATCTAGACAGAAGCATTCTCAGAAACTTCTTTGGGATGTTTGCATTCAAGTCACAGAGTAGAACATTCCCTTTGGTAGAGCAGGTTTGAAACACTCTTTTTGTAGTGTGTGTAAGTGGACATTTGGAGCGCTTTCAGGCCTACGTTGGAAAAGGAAATATCTTCCCATAACAACTAGACAGAAGCATTCTCAGAAACTAGTTTCTGATGTGTGTCCTCAACTAACACAGTTGAACATTTCTTTAGACAGAACAGTTTTGAAACACTCTTTTTGTGGAATCTGCAAGTTGATATTTGGCTAGATTTGAGGATTTCGTTGGAAACGGGATTACATATAAAAAGCAGACAGCAGCATTCTCAGAACGTTCTTTGTGATGATTGCATTCAAGTCACAGAATTGAACATTCCCTTTCACAGAGCAGGTTTGAAACACTCTTTTTGTAGTGTGTGTAAGTGGACATTTGGAGCACTTTAAGGCCTAAGGTGAAAAAGGAAATATCTTCCCATAAAAACTAGACAGAAGCATTCTCAGAAACTTACTCGTGATGTGTGTCCTCAACTAAAGGAGTAGAACCTTTCTTTTCATAGAGAAGTTTTGAAACGCTCTTTTTGTGGAATCTGCAAGTGGATATTTGGCTAGTTTTGAGGATTTCGTTGGAAGCGGGAATTCATACAAATTGCAGACTGCAGCGTTCTGAGAAACTGCTTTCTGATGTTTGCATTCAAGTCAAAAGTTGAACACTCCCTTTCATAGAGCAGTCCTGAAACACTCCTTTTGTAGTATCTGGAACTGGACTTTTGGAGCGCTTTCAGGGCTAAGGTGAAAAAGGAAATATCTTCCCATAAAAACTGGACAGAAGCATTCTCAGAAACTTGTTTATGCTGTATCTACTCAACTAACAAAGTTGAACCTTTCTTTTGATAGAGCAGTTTTGAAATGCTCTTTTTGTGGAATCTGCAAGTGGATATTTGGCTAGTTTTGAGGATTTCGTTGGAAGCCGGAATTCATACAAATTGCAGACTGCAGCGTTCTGAGAAACATCTTTGTGATGTTTGTATTCAGGACACAGAGTTGAACATTCCCTATCATAGAGCAGGTTTGAATCACTCCTTTTGTAGTATCTGGAAGTGGACATTTGGAGCGCCTTCAGGCCTATGTTGGAAAAGGAAATATCTTCCCATAACAACTAGACAGAAGCATTCTCAGAAACTTATTTGAGATGTGTCTACTCAACTAAGAGAATTGAACCACCGTTTTGAAGGAGCAGTTTTGAAACACTCTTTTTCTGGAATCTGCAAGTGGATATTTGGCTAGCTTTGGGGATTTCGCTGGAAGCGGGAATACATATAAAAAGCACACAGCAGCGTTCTGAGAAACTGCTTTCTGATGTTTGCATTCAAGTCAAAAGTTGAACACTCCCTTTCATAGAGCAGTCCTGAAACACTCCTTTTGTAGTATCTGGAACTGGACTTTTGGAGCGCTTTCAGGGCTAAGGTGAAAAAGGAAATATCTTCCCATAAAAACTGGACAGAAGCATTCTCAGAAACTTGTTTATGCTGTATCTACTCAACTAACAAAGTTGAACCTTTCTTTTGATAGAGCAGTTTTGAAATGCTCTTTTTGTGGAATCTGCAAGTGGATATTTGGCTAGTTTTGAGGATTTCGTTGGAAGCGGGAATTCATACAAATTGCAGACTGCAGCGTTCTGAGAAACATCTTTGTGATGTTTGTATTCAGGACAGAGAGTTGAACATTCCCTATCATAGAGCAGGTTGGAATCACTCCTTTTGTAGTATCTGGAAGTGGACATTTGGAGCGCTTTCAGGCCTATGTTGAAAAAGGAAATATCTTCCCATAACAACTAGACACAAGCATTCTCAGAAACTTGTTTGTGATGTGTGCCCTCTACTGACAGAGTTGAACCTTTCTTTTCATAGAGCAGTTTTGAAACACTCTTTTTGTAGAATCTGCAAGAGGATATTTGCATAGCTTTGAGGATTTCGTGGGAAACGGGATTGTCTTCAGGTAAAATCTAGACAGAAGCATTCTCAGAAACTTCTTTGGGATGTTTGCATTCAAGTCACAGAGTAGAACATTCCCTTTGGTAGAGCAGGTTTGAAACACTCTTTTTGTAGTATCTGGAAGTGGACATTTGGAGCGCTTTCAGGCCTATGTTGGAAAGGGAAATATCTTCCGGTAACAACTAGGCAGAAGCATTCTCAGAAACTTATTTGAGATGTGTGTACTCAACGAAGAGAATTGAACCACAGTTTTGAAGGAGCAGTTTTGAAACACTCTTTTTCTGGAATCTGAAAGAGTATATTTGCCTAGCCTTGAGGATTTCGTTGGAAACGGGATTGTCTTCAGATAAAATCTAGACAGAAGCATTCTCAGAAACTTCTTTGGGATGTTTGCATTCAAGTCACAGAGTAGAACATTCCCTTTGGTAGAGCAGGTTTGAAACACTCTTTTTGTAGTATCTGGAAGTGGACATTTGGAGCGCTTTCAGGCCTACGTTGGAAAAGGAAATATCTTCCCATAACAACTAGACAGAAGCATTCTCAGAAACTAGTTTCTGATGTGTGTCCTCAACTAACACAGTTGCACATTTCTTTAGACAGAACAGTTTTGAAACACTCTTTTTGTGGAATCTGCAAGTGGCTATTTGGCTAGATTTGAGGATTTCGTTGGAAACGGGATTACATATAAAAAGCAGTCAGCAGCATTCTCAGAAAGTTCTTTGTGATGATTGCATTCAAGTCACAGAATTGAACATTCCCTTTCACAGAGCAGGTTTGAAACACTCTTTTTGTAGTGTGTGTAAGTGGACATTTGGAGCACTTTCCGGCCTAAGGTGAAAAAGGAAATATCTTCCCATAAAAACTAGACAGAAGCATTCTCAGAAACTTACTCGTGATGTGTGTCCTCAACTAAAGGAGTAGAACCTTTCTATTCATAGAGAAGTTTTGAAATGCTCTTTTTGTGGAATCTCCAAGTGGATATTTGGCTAGTTTTGAGGATTTCGTTGGAAGCAGGAATTCATACAAATTGCAGACTGCAGCGTTCTGAGAAACATCTTTGTGATGTTTGTATTCAGGACACAGAGTTGAACATTCCCTATCATAGAGCAGGTTTGAATCACTCCTTTTGTAGTATCTGGAAGTGGACATTTGGAGCGCTTTCAGGCCTATGTTGGAAAAGGAAATATCTTCCCATAACAACTAGACAGAAGCATTCTCAGAAACTTATTTGAGATGTGTGTACTCAACTAAGAGAATTGAACCACCGTTTTGAAGGAGCAGTTTTGAAACACTCTTTTTCTGGAATCTGCAAGTGGATATTTGGCTAGCTTTGGGGATTTCGCTGGAAGCGGGAATACATATAAAAAGCACACAGCAGCGTTCTGAGAAACTGCTTTCTGATGTTTGCATTCAAGTCAAAAGTTGAACACTCCCTTTCATAGAGCAGTCCTGAAACACTCCTTTTGTAGTATCTGGAACTGGACTTTTGGAGCGCTTTCCGGGCTAAGGTGAAAAAGGAAATATCTTCCCATAAAAACTGGACAGAAAGCATTCTCAGAAACTTGTTTATGCTGTATCTACTCTACTAACAAAGTTGAACCTTTCTTTTGATAGAGCAGTTTTGAAATGCTCTTTTTGTGGAATCTGCAAGTGGATATTTGGCTAGTTTTGAGGATTTCGTTGGAAGCTGGAATTCATGCAAATTGCAGACTGCAGCGTTCTGAGAAACATCTTTGTGATGTTTGTATTCAGGACACAGAGTTGAACATTCCCTATCATAGAGCAGGTTGGAATCACTCCTTTTGTAGTATCTGGAAGTGGACATTTGGAGCGCTTTCAGGCCTATTTTGGAAAGGGAAATATCTTCCCGTAACAACTATGCAGAAGCATTCTCAGAAACTTGTTTGTGATGTGTGCCCTCTACTGACAGAGTTGAACCTTTCTTTTCATAGAGCAGTTTTGAAACACTCTTTTTGTAGAATCTGCAAGAGGATATTTGCATAGTTTTGAGGATTTCGTGGGAAACGGGATTGTCTTCAGGTAAAATCTAGACAGAAGCATTCTCAGAAACTTCTTTGGGATGTTTGCATTCAAGTCACAGAGTAGAACATTCCCTTTGGTAGAGCAGGTTTGAAACACTCTTTTTATAGTATCTGGAAGTGGACATTTGGAGCGCTTTCAGGCCTATGTTGGAAAGGGAAATATCTTCCCGTAACAACTAGGCAGAAGCATTCTCAGAAACTTATTGGAGATGTGTGTACTCAACTAAGAGAATTGAACCACCGTTTTGAAGGAGCAGTTTTGAAACACTCTTTTTCTGGAATCTGCAAGAGGATATTTGCCTAGCTTTGAGGATTTCGTTGGAAACGGGATTGTCTTCAGATCAAATCTAGACAGAAGCATTCTCAGAAACTTCTTTGGGATGTTTGCATTCAAGTCACAGAGTAGAACATTCCCTTTGGTAGAGCAGGTTTGAAACACTCTTTTTTTAGTATATGGAAGTGGACATTTGGAGCGCTTTCAGGCCTACGTTGGAAAAGGAAATATCTTCCCATAACAATTAGACAGAAGCATTCTCAGAAACTAGTTCCTGATGTGTGTCCTCAACTAACACAGTTGAACATTTCTTTATACAGAAGAGTTTTGAAACACTCTTTTTGTGGAATCTACAAGTGGATATTTGGCTAGATTTGAGGATTTCGTTGGAAACGGGATTACATATAAAAAGCAGACAGCAGCATTCTCAGAAAGTTCTTTGTGATGATTGCATTCAAATCACAGAATTGAACATTCCCTTTCACAGAGGAGGTTTGAAACACTCTTTTTGTAGTGTGTGTAAGTGGACATTTGGAGCGCTTTCCGGCCTAAGGTGAAAAAGGAAATATCTTCCCATAAAAACTAGACAGAAGCATTCTCAGAAACTTACTCGTGATGTGTGTCCTCAACTAAAGGAGTAGAACCTTTCTATTCATAGAGAAGTTTTGAAACGCTCTTTTTGTGGAATCTCCAAGTGGATATTTGGCTAGTTTTGAGGATTTCGTTGGAAGCGGGAATTCATGCAAATTGCAGACTGCAGCGTTCTGAGAAACTTCTTTCTGATGTTCGCATTCAAGTCAAAAGTTGAACACTCCCTTTCGTAGAGCAGTCTTGAAACTCCCCTTTTGTGGTATCTGGAAGTGGACATTTGGAGTGCTTTCAGGGCTAAGGTGAAAAAGGAAATATCTTCCCATAAAAACTGGACAGAAGCATTCTCAGAAACTTATTTGAGATGTGTGTACTCAACTAAGAGAATTGAACCACCGTTTTGAAGGAGCAGTTTTGAAACTCTCTTTTTCTGGAATCTGCAAGTGGATATTTGGCTAGCTTTGGGGATTTCGCTGGAAGCGGGAATACATATAAAAAGCACACAGCAGCGTTCTGAGAAACTGCTTTCTGATGTTTGCATTCAAGTCAAAAGTTGAACACTCCCTTTCATAGAGCAGTCCTGAAACACTCCTTTTGTAGTATCTGGAACTGGACTTTTGGAGCGCTTTCAGGGCTAAGGTGAAAAAGGAAATATCTTCCCATAAAAACTGGACAGAAGCATTCTCAGAAACTTGTTTATGCTGTATCTACGCTACTAACAAAGTTGAACATTTCTTTTGATAGAGCAGTTTTGAAATGCTCTTTTTGTGGAATCTCCAAGTGGATATTTGGCTAGTTTTGAGGATTTCGTTGGAAGCGGGAATTCATACAAATTGCAGACTGCAGCGTTCTGAGAAACATCTTTGTGATGTTTGTATTCAGGACACAGAGATGAACATTCCCTATCATAGAGCAGGTTGGAATCACTCCTTTTGTAGTATCTGGAAGTGGACATTTGGAGCGCTTTCAGGCCTATGTTGAAAAAGGAAATATCTTCCCATAACAACTAGACACAAGCATTCTCAGAAACTTGTTTGTGATGTGTGCCCTCTACTGACAGAGTTGAACCTTTCTTTTCATAGAGCAGTTTTGAAACACTCTTTTTGTAGAATCTGCAAGAGGATATTTGCATAGCTTTGAGGATTTCGTGGGAAACGGGATTGTCTTCAGGTAAAATCTAGACAGAAGCATTCTCAGAAACTTCTCTGGGATGTTTGCATTCAAGTCACACAGTAGAACATTCCCTTTGGTAGAGCAGGTTTGAAACACTCTTTTTGTAGTATCTGGAAGTGGACAATTTGGAGCGCTTTCAGGCCCATGTTGGAAAGGGAAATATTCTTTCCCGTAACAACTAGGCAGAGCATTCTCAGAAACTTATTTGAGATGTGTGTACTCAACTAAGAGAATTGAACCACCGTTTTGAAGGAGCAGTTTTGAAACACTCTTTTTCTGGAATCTGCAAGAGTATATTTGCCTAGCCTTGAGGATTTCGTTGGAAACGGGATTGTCTTCAGATCAAATCTAGACAGAAGCATTCTCAGAAACTTCTTTGGGATGTTTGCATTCAAGTCACAGAGTAGAACATTCCCTTTGGTAGAGCAGGTTTGAAACACTCTTTTTTTAGTATATGGAAGTGGACATTTGGAGCGCTTTCAGGCCTACGTTGGAAAAGGAAATATCTTCCCATAACAACTAGACAGAAGCATTCTCAGAAACTAGTTTCTGATGTGTGTCCTCAACTAACACAGTTGAACTTTTCTTTAGACAGAACAGTTTTGAAACACTCTTTTTGTGGAATCTGCAAGTGGATATTTGGCTAGCCTTGAGAATTTCGTTGGAAACGGGATTGTCTTCAGATCAAATCTAGACAGAAGCATTCTCAGAAAGTTCTTTGTGATGATTGCATTCAAGTCACAGAATTGAACATTCCCTTTCACAGAGCAGGTTTGAAACACTCTTTTTGTAGTGTGTGTAAGTGGACATTTGGAGCGCTTTCTGGCCTAAGGTGAACAAGGAAATATCTTCCCATAAAAACTAGACAGAAGCATCCTCAGAAACTTACTCGTGATGTGTGTCCTCAACTAAAGGAGTAGAACCTTTCTATTCATAGAGAAGTTTTGAAATGCTCTTTTTGTGGAATCTCCAAGTGGATATTTGGCTAGTTTTGAGGATTTCGTTGGAAGCAGGAATTCATACAAATTGCAGACTGCAGCGTTCTGAGAAACATCTTTGTGATGTTTGTATTCAGGACACAGAGATGAACATTCCCTATCATAGAGCAGGTTGGAATCACTCCTTTTGTAGTATCTGGAAGTGGACATTTGGAGCGCTTTCAGGCCTATGTTGTAAAAGGAAATATCTTCCCATAACAACTAGATACAAGCATTTTCAGAAACTTATTTGAGATGTGTGTACTCAACTAAGAGAATTGAACCACCGTTTTGAAGGAGCAGTTTTGAAACACTCTTTTTGTGGAATCTGCAAGTGGATATTTGGCTAGCTTTGGGGATTTCGCTGGAAGCGGGAATACATATAAAAAGCACACAGCAGCGTTCTGAGAAACTGCTTTCTGATGTTTGCATTCAAGTCAAAAGTTGAACACTCCCTTTCATAGAGCAGTCTTGAAACACCCCTTTTGTAGTATCTGGAACTGGACTTTTGGAGCGATTTCAGGGCTAAGGTGAAAAAGGAAATATCTTCCCATAAAAACTGGACAGAAGCATTCTCAGAAACTTGGTTATGCTGTATCTACTCAACTAACAAAGTTGAACCTTTCTTTTGATAGAGCAGTTTTGAAATGGTCTTTTTGTGGAATCTGCAAGTGGATATTTGGCTAGTTTTGAGGATTTCGTTGGAAGCGGGAATTCATACAAATTGCAGACTGCAGCGTTCTGAGAAACATCTTTGTGATGTTTGTATTCAGGACACAGAGTTGAACATTCCCTATCATAGAGCAGGTTGGAATCACTCCTTTTGTAGTATCTGGAAGTGGACATTTGGAGCGCTTTCAGGCCTATTTTGGAAAGGGAAATATCTTCCCGTAACAACTATGCAGAAGCATTCTCAGAAACTTGTTTGTGATGTGTGCCCTCTACTGACAGAGTTGAACCTTTCTTTTCATAGAGCAGTTTTGAAACACTCTTTTTGTAGAATCTGCAAGAGGATATTTGCATAGCTTTGAGGATTTCGTGGGAAACGGGATTGTCTTCAGGTAAAATCTAGACAGAAGCATTCTCAGAAACTTCTTTGGGATGTTTGCATTCAAGTCACAGAGTAGAACATTCCCTTTGGTAGAGCAGGTTTGAAACACTCTTTTTGTAGTATCTGGAAGTGGACATTTGGAGCGCTTTCAGGCCTATGTTGGAAAGGGAAATATCTTCCCGTAACAACTAGGCAGAAGCATTCTCAGAAACTTATTTGAGATGTGTGTACTCAACTAAGAGAATTGAACCACCGTTTTCAAGGAGCAGTTTTGAAACACTCTTTTTCTGGAATCTGCAAGAGTATATTTGCCTAGCCTTGAGGATTTCGTTGGAAACGGGATTGTCTTCAGATAAAATCTAGACAGAAGCATTCTCAGAAACTTCTTTGGGATGTTTGCATTCAAGTCACAGAGTAGAACATTCCCTTTGGTAGAGCAGGTTTGAAACACTCTTTTTTTAGTATATGGAAGTGGACATTTGGAGCGCTTTCAGGCCTACGTTGGAAAAGGAAATATCTTCCCATAACAACTAGACAGAAGCATTCTCAGAAACTAGTTTCTGATGTGTGTCCTCAACTAACACAGTTGAACTTTTCTTTAGACAGAACAGTTTTGAAACACTCTTTTTGTGGAATCTGCAAGTGGATATTGGGCTAGATTTGAGGATTTCGTTGGAAACGGGATTACATATAAAAAGCAGACAGCAGCATTCTCAGAAAGTTCTTTGTGATGATTGCATTCAAGTCACAGAATTGAACATTCCCTTTCACAGAGCAGGTTTGAAACACTCTTTTTGTAGTGTGTGTAAGTGGACATTTGGAGCGCTTTCCGGCCTAAGGTGAAAAAGGAAATATCTTCCCATAAAAACTAGACAGAAGCATTCTCAGAAACTTACTCGTGATGTGTGTCCTCAACTAAAGGAGTAGAACCTTTCTTTCATAGAGAAGTTTTGAAACGCTCTTTTTGTGGAATCTGCAAGTGGATATTTGGCTAGTTTGGAGGATTTCGTTTTAAGCGGGAATTCATACAAATTGCAGACTGCAGCGTTCTGAGAAACATCTTTGTGATGTTTGTATTCAGGACACAGAGTTGAACATTCCCTATCATAGAGCAGGTTGGAATCACTCCTTTTGTAGTATCTGGAAGTGGACATTTGGAGTGCTTTCAGGCCTATGTTGGAAAAGGAAATATCTTCCCATAACAACTAGACAAAAGCATTCTCAGAAACTTATTTGAGATGTGTGTACTCAACTAAGAGAATTGAACCACCGTTTTGAAGGAGCAGTTTTGAAACTCTCTTTTTCTGGAATCTGCAAGTGGATATTTGGCTAGCTTTGGGGATTTCGCTGGAAGCGGGAATACATATAAAAAGCACACAGCAGCGGTTCTGAGAAACTGCTTTCTGATGTTTGCATTCAAGTCAAAAGTTGAACACTCCCTTTCATAGAGCAGTCCTGAAACACTCCTTTTGTAGTATCTGGAACTGGACTTTTGGAGCGCTTTCAGGGCTAAGGTGAAAAAGGAAATATCTTCCCATAAAAACTGGACAGAAGCATTCTCAGAAACTTGTTTATGCTGTATCTACTCAACTAACAAAGTTGAACCTTTCTTTTGATAGAGCAGTTTTGAAATGGTCTTTTTGTGGAATCTGCAAGTGGATATTTGGCTAGTTTTGAGGATTTCGTTGGAAGCGGGAATTCATACAAATTGCAGACTGCAGCGTTCTGCGTAAACATCTTTGTGATGTTTGTATTCAGGACACAGTAGTTGAACATTCCCTATCATACAGCAGGTTGGGATCACTCCTTTTGTAGTATCTGGAAGTGGACATTTGGAGCGCTTTCAGGCCTATGTTGAAAAAGGAAAAATCTTCCCATAACAACTAGACAGAAGCATTCTCAGAAACTTGTTGGTGATGTGTTTCCTCTACTGACAGAGTTGAACCTTTCTTTTCATAGAGCAGTTTCGAAACACTCTTTTTGTAGAATCTGCAAGAGGATATTTGCATAGCTCTGAGGATTTCGTGGGAAACGGGATTGTCTTCAGGTAAAATCTAGACAGAAGCATTCTCAGAAACTTCTTTGGGATGTTTGCATTCAAGTCACAGAGTAGAACATTCCCTTTGGTAGAGCAGGTTTGAAACACTCTTTTTGTAGTATCTGGAAGTGGACATTTGGAGCGCTTTCAGGCCCATGTTGGAAAGGGAAATATCTTCCCGTAACAACTAGGCAGAAGCATTCTCAGAAACTTATTTGAGATGTGTGTACTCAACTAAGAGAATTGAACCACCGTTTTGAAAGAGCAGTTTTGAAACACTCTTTTTCTGGAATCTGCAAGAGTATATTTGCCTAGCCTTGAGGATTTCGTTGGAAACGGGATTGTCTTCAGATAAAATCTAGACAGAAGCATTCTCAGAAACTTCTTTGGGATGTTAGCATTCAAGTCACAGAGTAGAACATTCCCTTTGGTAGAGCAGGTTTGAAACACTCTTTTTTTAGTATATGGAAGTGGACATTTGGAGCGCTTTCAGGCCTACGTTGGAAAAGGAAATATCTTCCCATAACAACTAGAAAGAAGCATTCTCAGAAACTAGTTTCTGATGTGTGTCCTCAACTAACACAGTTGTACATTTCTTTATACAGAACAGTTTTGAAACACTCTTTTTGTGGAATCTGCAAGTGGATATTGGGCTAGATTTGAGGATTTCGTTGGAAACGGGATTACATATAAAAAGCAGACAGCAGAATTCTCAGAAAGTTCTTTGTGATGATTGCATTCAAGTCACAGAATTGAACATTCCCTTTCACAGAGCAGGTTTGAAACAGTCTTTTTGTAGTGTGTGTAAGTGGACATTTGGAGCGCTTTCCGGCCTAAGGTGAAAAAGGAAATATCTTCCCATAAAAACTAGACAGAAGCATTCTCAGAAACTTACTCGTGATGTGTGTCCTCAACTAAAGGAGTAGAACCTTTCTATTCATAGAGAAGTTTTGAAACGCTCTTTTTGTGGAATCTCCAAGTCGATATTTGGCTAGTTTTGAGGATTTCGTTGGAAGCGGGAATTCATACAAATTGCAGACTGCAGCGTTCTGAGAAACATCTTTGTGATGTTTGTATTCAAGACACAGAGATGAACATTCCCTATCACAGAGCATGTTGGAATCACTCCTTTTGTAGTATCTGGAAGTGGACATTTGGAGCGCTTTCAGGCCTATGTTGAAAAAGGAAATATCTTCCCATAACAACTAGTCACAAGCATTCTCAGAAACTTATTTGAGATGTGTGTACTCAACTAAGAGAATTGAACCACCGTTTTGAAGGAGCAGTTTTGAAACTCTCTTTTTCTGGAATCTGCAAGTGGATATTTGGCTAGCTTTGGGGATTTCGCTGGAAGCGGGAATACATATAAAAAGCACACAGCAGCGTTCTGAGAAACTGCTTTCTGATGTTTGCATTCAAGTCAAAAGTTGAACACTCCCTTTCATAGAGCAGTCTTGAAACACCCCTTTTGTAGTATCTGGAACTGGACTTTTGGAGCGATTTCAGGGCTAAGGTGAAAAAGGAAATATCTTCCCATAAAAACTGGACAGAAGCATTCTCAGAAACTTGTTTATGCTGTATCTACTCAACTAACAAAGTTGAACCTTTCTTTTGATAGAGCAGTTTTGAAATGCTCTTTTTGTGGAATCTGCAAGTGGATATTTGGCTAGTTTTGAGGATTTCGCTGGAAGCGGGAATTCATACAAATTGCAGACTGCAGCGTTCTGAGAAACATCTTTGTGATGTTTGTATTCAGGACACAGAGTTGAACATTCCCTATCATAGAGCAGGTTGGAATCACTCCTTTTGTAGTATCTGGAAGTGGACATTTGGAGCGCTTTCAGGCCTATGTTGATAAAGGAAATATCTTCCCATAACAACTAGACACAAGCATTCTCAGAAACTTGTTTGTGATGTGTGCCCTCTACTGACAGAGTTGAACCTTTCTTTTCATAGAGCAGTTTTGAAACACTCTTTTTGTAGAATCTGCAAGAGGATATTTGCATAGCTTTGAGGATTTCGTGGGAAACGGGATTGTCTTCAGGTAAAATCTAGACAGAAGCATTCTCAGAAACTTCTTTGGGATGTTTGCATTCAAGTCACAGAGTAGAACATTCCCTTTGGTAGAGCAGGTTTGAAACACTCTTTTTGTAGTATCTGGAAGTGGACATTTGGAGCGCTTTCAGGCCCATGTTGGAAAGGGAAATATCTTCCCGTAACAACTAGGCAGAAGCATTCTCAGAAACTTATTTGAGATGTGTGTACTCAACTAAGAGAATTGAACCACCGTTTTGAAGGAGCAGTTTTGAAACCCTCTTTTTCTGGAATCTGCAAGAGTATATTTGCCTAGCCTTCAGGATTTCGTTGGAAACGGGATTGTCTTCAGATAAAATCTAGACAGAAGCATTCTCAGAAACTTCTTTGGGATGTTTGCATTCAAGTCACAGAGTAGAACATTCCCTTTGGTAGAGCAGGTTTGAAACACTCTTTTTTTAGTATATGGAAGTGGACATTTGGAGCGCTTTCAGGCCTACGTTGGAAAAGGAAATATCTTCCCATAACAACTAGACAGAAGCATTCTCAGAAACTAGTTTCTGATGTGTGTCCTCAACTAACACAGTTGAACATTTCTTTAGACAGAACAGTTTTGAAACACTCTTTTTGTGGAATCTGCAAGTGGATATTTGGCTAGATTTGAGCATTTCGTTGGAAACGGGATTACATATAAAAAGCAGACAGCGGCATTCTCAGAAAGTTCTTTGTGATGATTGCATTCAAGTCACAGAATTGAACATTCCCTTTCACAGAGCAGGTTTGAAACACTCTTTTTGTAGTGTGTGTAAGCGGACATTTGGAGCGCTTTCCGGCCTAAGGTGAAAAAGGAAATATCTTCCCATAAAAACTAGACAGAAGCATTCTCAGAAACTTACTCGTGATGTGTGTACTCAACTAAAGGAGTAGAAACTTTCTTTTCATAGAGAAGTTTTGAAACGCTCTTTTTGTGGAATCTGCAAGTGGATATTTGGCTAGTTTTGAGGATTTCGTTGGAAGCGGGAATGCATACAAATTGCAGACTGCAGCGTTCTGAGAAACATCTTTGTGATGTTTGTATTCAGGACACAGAGTTGAACATTCCCTATCATAGAGCAGGTTTGAATCACTCCTTTTGTAGTATCTGGAAGTGGACATTTGGAGCGCTTTCAGGCCTATGTTGGAAAAGGAAATATCTTCCCATAACAACTAGACAGAAGCATTCTCAGAAACTTATTTGAGATGTGTGTACTCAACTAAGAGAATTGAACCACCGTTTTGAAGGAGCAGTTTTGAAACTCTCTTTTTCTGGAATCTGCAAGTGGATATTTGGCTAGCTTTGGGGATTTCGCTGGAAGCGGGAATACATATAAAAAGCACACAGCAGCGTTCTGAGAAACTGCTTTCTGATGTTTGCATTCAAGTCAAAAGTTGAACACTCCCTTTCATAGAGCAGTCCTGAAACACTCCTTTTGTAGTATCTGGAACTGGACTTTTGGAGCGCTTTCAGGGCTAAGGTGAAAAAGGAAATATCTTCCCATAAAAACTGGACAGAAGCATTCTCAGAAACTTGGTTATGCTGTATCTACTCAACTAACAAAGTTTAACCTTTCTTTTGATAGAGCAGTTTTGAAATGGTCTTTTTGTGGAATCTGCAAGTGGATATTTGGCTAGTTTTGAGGATTTCGTTGGAAGCGGGAATTCATACAAATTGCAGACTGCAGCGTTCTGAGAAACATCTTTGTGATGTTTGTATTCAGGACAGAGAGTTGAACATTCCCTATCATAGAGCAGGTTGGAATCACTCCTTTTGTAGTATCTGGAAGTGGACATTTGGAGCGCTTTCAGGCCTATGTTGAAAAAGGAAATATCTTCCCATAACAACTAGACACAAGCATTCTCAGAAACTTGTTTGTGATGTGTGCCCTCTACTGACAGAGTTGAACCTTTCTTTTCATAGAGCAGTTTTGAAACACTCTTTTTGTAGAATCCGCAAGAGGATATTAGCATAGCTTTGAGGATTTCGTGGGAAACGGGATTGTCTTCAGGTAAAATCTAGACAGAAGCATTCTCAGAAACTTCTTTGGGATGTTTGCATTCAAGTCACAGAGTAGAACATTCCCTTTGGTAGAGCAGGTTTGAAACACTCTTTTTGTAGTATCTGGAAGTGGACATTTGGAGCGCTTTCAGGCCCATGTTGGAAAGGGAAATATCTTCCCGTAACAACTAGGCAGAAGCATTCTCAGAAACTTATTTGAGATGTGTGTACTCAACTAAGAGAATTGAATCACCGTTTTGAAGGAGCAATTTTGAAACACTCTTTTTCTGGAATCTGCAAGAGGATATTTGCCTAGCCTTGAGGATTTCGTTGGAAACGGGATTGTCTTCAGATCAAATCTAGACAGAAGCATTCTCAGAAACTTCTTTGGGATGTTTGCATTCAAGTCACAGAGTAGAACATTCCCTTTGGTAGAGCAGGTTTGAAACACTCTTTTTTTAGTATATGGAAGTGGACATTTGGAGCGCTTTCAGGCCTACGTTGGAAAAGGAAATATCTTCCCATAACAACTAGACAGAAGCATTCTCAGAAACTAGTTTCTGATGTGTGTCCTCAACTAACACAGTTGAACATTTCTATAGACAGAACAGTTTTGAAACACTCTTTTTGTGGAATCTGCAAGTGGCTATTTGGCTAGATTTGAGGATTTCGTTGGAAACGGGATTACATATAAAAAGCAGTCAGCAGCATTCTCAGAAAGTTCTTTGTGATGATTGCATTCAAGTCACAGAATTGAACATTCCCTTTCACAGAGCAGGTTTGAAACACTCTTTTTGTAGTGTGTGTAAGTGGACATTTGGAGCGCTTTCCGGCCTAAGGTGAAAAAGGAAATATCTTCCCATAAAAACTAGACAGAAGCACTCTCAGAAACTTACTCGTGATGTGTGTCCTCAACTAAAGGAGTAGAACCTTTCTTTTCATAGAGAAGTTTTGAAACGCTCTTTTTGTGGAATCTGCAAGTGGATATTTGGCTAGTTTGGAGGATTTCGTTGGAAGCGGGAATTCATACAAATTGCAGACTGCAGCGTTCTGAGAAACATCTTTGTGATGTTTGTATTCAGGACACAGAGTTGAACATTCCCTATCATAGAGCAGGTTTGAATCACTCCTTTTGTAGTATCTGGAAGTGGACATTTGGAGCGCTTTCAGGCCTATGTTGGAAAAGGAAATATCTTCCCATAACAACTAGACAGAAGCATTCCCAGAAACTTATTTGAGATGTGTGTACTCAACTAAGAGAATTGAACCACCGTTTTGAAGGAGCAGTTTGGAAACACTCTTTTTCTGGAATCTGCAAGTGGATATTTGGCTAGCTTTGGGGATTTCGCTGGAAGCGGGAATACATATAAAAAGCACACAGCAGCGTTCTGAGAAACTGCTTTCTGATGTTTGCATTCAAGTCAAAAGTTGAACACTCCCTTTCATAGAGCAGTCTTGAAACACCCCTTTTGTAGTATCTGGAACTGGACATTTGGAGCGCTTTCAGGGCTAAGGTGAAAAAGGAAATATCTTCCCATAAAAACTGGACAGAAGCATTCTCAGAAACTTGTTTATGCTGTATCTACTCAACTAACAAAGTTGAACCTTTCTTTTGATAGAGCAGTTTTGAAATGCTCTTTTTGTGGAATCTGCAAGTGGATATTTGGCTAGTTTTGAGGATTTCGTTGGAAGCGGGAATTCATACAAATTGCAGACTGCAGCGTTCTGAGAAACATCTTTGTGATGTTTGTATTCAGGACAGAGAGTTGAACATTCCCTATCATAGAGCAGGTTGGAATCACTCCTTTTGTAGTATCTGGAAGTGGACATTTGGAGCGCTTTCTGGCCTATGTTGAAAAAGGAAATATCTTCCCATAACAACTAGACACAAGCATTCTCAGAAACTTGTTTGTGATGTGTGCCCTCTACTGACAGAGTTGAACCTTTCTTTTCATAGAGCAGTTTTGAAACACTCTTTTTGTAGAATCTGCAAGAGGATATTTGCATAGCTTTGAGGATTTCGTGGGAAACGGGATTGTCTTCAGGTAAAATCTAGACAGAAGCATTCTCAGAAACTTTTTTGGGATGTTTGCATTCAAGTCACAGAGTAGAACATTCCCTTTGGTAGAGCAGGTTTGAAACACTCTTTTTGTAGTATCTGGAAGTGGACATTTGGAGCACTATCAGGCCCATGTTGGAAAGGGAAATATCTTCCCGTAACAACTAGGCAGAAGCATTCTCAGAAACTTATTTGAGATGTGTGTACTCAACTAAGAGAATTGAACCACCGTTTTGAAGGAGCAGTTTTGAAACACTCTTTTTCTGGATTCTGCAAGAATATATTTGCCTAGCCTTGAGGATTTCGTTGGAAACGGGATTGTCTTCAGATAAAATCTAGACAGAAGCATTCTCAGAAACTTCTTTGGGATGTTTGCATTCAAGTCACAGAGTAGAACATTCCCCTTTGGTAGAGCAGGTTTGAAACACTCTTTTTTTAGTATATGGAAGTGGACATTTGGAGCGCTTTCAGGCCTACGTTGGAAAAGGAAATATCTTCCCATAACAACTAGACAGAAGCATTCTCAGAAACTAGTTTCTGATGTGTGTCCTCAACTAACACAGTTGAACATTTCTTTAGACAGAACAGTTTTGAAACACTCTTTTTGTGGAATCTGCAAGTGGCTATTTGGCTAGATTTGAGGATTTCGTTGGAAACGGGATTACATATAAAAAGCAGACAGCAGCATTCTCAGAAAGTTCTTTGTGATGATTGCATTCAAGTCACAGAATTGAACATTCCCTTTCACAGAGCAGGTTTGAAACACTCTTTTTGTAGTGTGTGTAAGTGGACATTTGGAGCACTTTCCGGCCTAAGGTGAAAAAGGAAATATCTTCCCATAAAAACTAGACAGAAGCATTCTCAGAAACTTACTCGTGATGTGTGTCCTCAACTAAAGGAGTAGAACCTTTCTATTCATAGAGAAGTTTTGAAACGCTCATTTTGTGGAATCTCCAAGTGGATATTTGGCTAGTTTTGAGGATTTCGTTGGAAGCGGGAATTCATACAAATTGCAGACTGCAGCATTCTCAGAAACTTGTTTATGCTGTATCTACTCAACTAACAAAGTTGAACCTTTCTTTTGATAGAGCAGTTTTGAAATGCTCTTTTTGTGGAATCTGCAAGTGGATATTTGGCTAGTTTTGAGGATTTCGTTGGAAGCGGGAATTCATACAAATTGCAGACTGCAGCGTTCTGAGAAACATCTTTGTGATGTTTGTATTCAGGACAGAGAGTTGAACATTCCCTATCATAGAGCAGGTTGGAATCACTCCTTTTGTAGTATCTGGAAGTGGACATTTGGAGCGCTTTCAGGCCTATGTTGAAAAAGGAAATATCTTCCCATAACAACTAGACACAAGCATTCTCAGAAACTTGTTTGTGATGTGTGCCCTCTACTGACAGAGTTGAACCTTTCTTTTCATAGAGCAGTTTTGAAACACTCTTTTTGTAGAATCTGCAAGAGGATATTTGCATAGCTTTGAGGATTTCGTGGGAAACGGGATTGTCTTCAGGTAAAATCTAGACAGAAGCATTCTCAGAAACTTCTTTGGGATGTTTGCATTCAAGTCACAGAGTAGAACATTCCCTTTGGTAGAGCAGGTTTGAAACACTCTTTTTGTAGTATCTGGAAGTGGACATTTGGAGCGCTTTCAGGCCCATGTTGGAAAGGGAAATATCTTCCCGTAACAACTAGGCAGAAGCATTCTCAGAAACTTATTTGAGATGTGTGTACTCAACTAAGAGAATTGAACCACCGTTTTGAAGGAGCAGTTTTGAAACACTCTTTTTCTGCAATCTGCAAGAGTATATTTGCCTAGCCTTGAGGATTTCGTTGGAAACGGGATTGTCTTCAGAGAAAATCTAGACAGAAGCATTCTCAGAAACTTCTTTGGGATGCTTGCATTCAAGTCACAGAGTAGAACATTCCCTTTGGTAGAGCAGGTTTGAAACACTCTTTTTGTAGTATCTGGAAGTGGACATTTGGAGCGCTTTCAGGCCTACGTTGGAAAAGGAAATATCTTCCCATAACAACTAGACAGAAGCATTCTCAGAAACTAGTTTCTGATGTGTGTCCTCAACTAACACAGTTGAACATTTCTTTAGACAGAACAGTTTTGAAACACTCTTTTTGTGGAATCTGCAAGTGGCTATTTGGCTAGATTTGAGGATTTCGTTGGAAACGGGATTACATATAAAAAGCAGTCAGCAGCATTCTCAGAAAGTTCTTTGTGATGATTGCATTCAAGTCACAGAATTGAACATTCCCTTTCACAGAGCAGGTTTGAAACACTCTTTTTGTTGTGTGTGTAAGTGGACATTTGGAGCGACTTTCCGGCCTAAGGTGAAAAAGGACATATCTTCCCATAAAAACTAGACAGAAGCATTCTCAGAAACTTACTCGTGATGTGTGTCCTCAACTAAAGGAGTAGAACCTTTCTTTTCATAGAGAAGTTTTGAAACGCTCTTTTTGTGGAATCTGCAAGTGGATATTTGGCTAGTTTGGAGGATTTCGTTGGAAGCGGGAATTCATACAAATTGCAGACTGCAGCGTTATGAGAAACATCTTTGTGATGTTTGTATTCAGGACACAGAGATGAACATTCCCTATCATAGAGCAGGTTGGAATCACTCCTTTTGTAGTATCTGGAAGTGGACATTTGGAGCGCTTTCAGGCCTATGTTGAAAAAGGAAATATCTTCCCATAACAACTAGACACAAGCATTCTCAGAAACTTATTTGAGATGTGTGTACTCAACTAAGAGAATTGAACCACCGTTTTGAAGGAGCAGTTTTGAAGCACTCTTTTTCTGGAATCTGCAAGTGGATATTTGGCTAGCTTTGGGGATTTCGCTGGAAGCGGGAATACATATAAAAAGCACACAGCAGCGTTCTGAGAAACTGCTTTCTGATGTTTGCATTCAAGTCAAAAGTTGAACACTCCCTTTCATAGAGCAGTCTTGAAACACCCCTTTTGTAGTATCTGGAACTGGACTTTTGGAGCGATTTCAGGGCTAAGGTGAAAAAGGAAATATCTTCCCATAAAAACTGGACAGAAGCATTCTCAGAAACTTGTTTATGCTGTATCTACTCAACTAACAAAGTTGAACCTTTCTTTTGATAGAGCAGTTTTGAAATGGTCTTTTTGTGGAATCTGCAAGTGGATATTTGGCTAGTTTTGAGGATTTCGTTGGAAGCGGGAATTCATACAAATTGCAGACTGCAGCGTTCTGAGAATCATCTTTGTGATGTTTGTATTCAGGACACAGAGATGAACATTCCCTATCATAGAGTAGGTTGGAATCACTCCTTTTGTAGTATCTGGAAGTGGACATTTGGAGCGCTTTCAGTCCTATGTTGAAAAAAGAAATATCTTCCCATAAGAACTAGACACAAGCATTCTCAGAAACTTGTTTGTGATGTGTGCCCTCTACTGACAGAGTTGAACCTTTCTTTTCATAGAGCAGTTTTGAAACACTCTTTTTGTAGAATCTGCAAGAGGATATTTGCATAGCTTTGAGGATTCCGTGGGAAACGGGATTGTCTTCAGGTAAAATCTAGACAGAAGCATTCTCAGAAACTTCTTTGGGATGTTTGCATTCAAGTCACAGAGTAGAACATTCCCTTTGGTAGAGCAGGTTTGAAACACTCTTTTTGTAGTATCTGGAAGTGGACATTTGGAGCACTTTCAGGCCCATGTTGGAAAGGGAAATATCTTCCCGTAACAACTAGGCAGAAGCATTGTCTGAAACTTTTTTGAGATGTGTGTACGCAACTAAGAGAATTGAACCACCGTTTTGAAGGAGCAGTTTTGAAACACTCTTTTTCTGGAATCTGCTAGACGATATTTGCCTAGCCTTGAGGATTTCGTTGGAAACGGGATTGTCTTCAGATAAAATCTAGACAGAAGCATTCTCAGAAACTTCTTTGGGATGTTTGTATTCAAGTCACAGAGTAGAACATTCCCTTTGGTAGAGCAGGTTTGAAACACTCTTTTTTTAGTATATGGAAATGGACATTTGGAGCGCTTTCAGGCCTACGTTGGAAAAGGAAATATCTTCCCATAACAACTAGACAGAAGCATTCTCAGAAACTAGTTTCTGATGTGTGTCCTCAACTAACACAGTTGAACATTTCTTTAGACAGAACAGTTTTGAAACACTCTTTTTGTGGAATCTGCAAGTGGCTATTTGGCTAGATTTGAGGATTTCGTTGGAAACGGGATTACATATAAAAAGCAGACAGCAGCATTCTCAGAAAGTTCTTTGTGATGATTGCATTCAAGTCACAAAATTGAACATTCCCTTTCACAGAGCAGGTTTGAAACACTCTTTTTGTAGTGTGTGTAAGTGGACATTTGGAGCACTTTCCGGCCTAAGGTGAAAAAGGAAATATCTTCCCATAAAAACTAGACAGAAGCATTCTCAGAAACTTACTCGTGATGTGTGTCCTCAACTAAAGGAGTAGAACCTTTCTTTTCATAGAGAAGTTTTGAAACGCTCTTTTTGTGGAATCTGCAAGTGGATATTTGGCTAGTTTGGAGGATTTCGTTGGAAGCGGGAATTCATACAAGATGCAGACTGCAGCGTTCTGAGAAACATCTTTGTGATGTTTGTATTCAGGACACAGAGTTGAACATTCCCTATCATAGAGCAGGTTTGAATCACTCCTTTTGTAGTATCTGGAAGTGGACATTTGGAGCGCTTTCAGGCCTATGTTGGAAAAGGAAATATCTTCCCATAACAACTAGACAGAAGCATTCTCAGAAACTTATTTGAGATGTGTGTACTCAACTAAGAGAATTGAACCACCGTTTTGAAGGAGCAGTTTTGAAACACTCTTTTTCTGGAATCTGCAAGTGGATATTTGGCTAGCTTTGGGGACTTCGCTGGAGGCGGGAATACATATAAAAAGCACACAGCAGCGTTCTGAGAAACTGCTTTCTGATGTTTGCATTCAAGTCAAAAGTTGAACACTCCCTTTCATAGAGCAGTCCTGAAACACTCCTTTTGTAGTATCTGGAACTGGACTTTTGGAGCGCTTTCAGGGCTAAGGTGAAAAAGGAAATATCTTCCCATAAAAACTGGACAGAAGCATTCTCAGAAACTTGTTTATGCTGTATCTACTCTACTAAAAAAGTTGAACCTTTCTTTTGATAGAGCAGTTTTGAAATGCTCTTTTTGTGGAATCTGCAAGTGGATATTTGGCTAGATTTGAGGATTTCGTTGGAAGCTGGAATACATACAAATTGCAGACTGCAGCGTTCTGAGAAACATCTTTGTGATGTTTGTATTCAGGACACAGAGTTGAACATTCCCTATCATAGAGCAGGTTGGAATCACTCCTTTTGTAGTATCTGGAAGTGGACATTTGGAGCGCTTTCTGGCCTATGTTGAAAAAGGAAATATCTTCCCATAACAACTAGACACAAGCATTCTCAGAAACTTGTTTGTGATGTGTGCCCTCTACTGACAGAGTTGAACCTTTCTTTTCATAGAGCAGTTTTGAAACACTCTTTTTGTAGAATCTGCAAGAGGATATTTGCATAGCTTTGAGGATTTCGTGGGAAACGGGATTGTCTTCAGGTAAAATCTAGACAGAAGCATTCTCAGAAACTTCTTTGGGATGTTTGCATTCAAGTCACAGAGTAGAACATTCCCTTTGGTAGAGCAGGTTTGAAACACTCTTTTTGTAGTATCTGGAAGTGGACATTTGGAGCGCTTTCAGGCCTATGTTGGAAAGGGAAATATCTTCCGGTAACAACTAGGCAGAAGCATTCTCAGAAACTTATTTGAGATGTGTGTACTCAACTAAGAGAATTGAACCACCGTTTTGAAGGAGCAGTTTTGAAACACTCTTTTTCTGGAATCTGCAAGAGGATATTTGCCTAGCCTTGAGGATTTCGTTGGAAACGGGATTGTCTTCAGATCAAATCTAGACAGAAGCATTCTCAGAAACTTCTTTGGGATGTTTGCATTCAAGTCACAGAGTAGAACATTCCCTTTGGTAGAGCAGGTTTGAAACACTCTTTTTTTAGTATATGGAAGTGGACATTTGGAGCGCTTTCAGGCCTACGTTGGAAAAGGAAATATCTTCCCATAACAACTAGACAGAAGCATTCTCAGAAACTAGTTTCTGATGTGTGTCCTCAACTAACACAGTTGAACATTTCTTTAGACAGAACAGTTTTGAAACACTCTTTTTGTGGAATCTGCAAGTGGCTATTTGGCTAGATTTGAGGATTTCGTTGGAAACGGGATTACATATAAAAAGCAGTCAGCAGCATTCTCAGAAAGTTCTTTGTGATGATTGCATTCAAGTCACAGAATTGAACATTCCCTTTCACAGAGCAGGTTTGAAACACTCTTTTTGTAGTGTGTGTAAGTGGACATTTGGAGCACTTTCCGGCCTAAGGTGAAAAAGGAAATATCTTCCCATAAAAACTAGACAGAAGCATTCTCAGAAACTTACTCGTGATGTGTGTCCTCAACTAAAGGAGTAGAACCTTTCTTTTCATAGAGAAGTTTTGAAACGCTCTTTTTGTGGAATCTGCAAGTGGATATTTGGCTAGTTTTGAGGATTTCGTTGGAAGCGGGAATTCATACAAATTGCAGACTGCAGCGTTCTGAGAAACATCTTTGTGATGTTTGTATTCAGGACACAGAGTTGAACATTCCCTATCATAGAGCAGGTTGGAATCACTCCTTTTGTAGTATCTGGAAGTGGACATTTGGAGCGCTTTCAGGCCTATGTTGGAAAAGGAAATATCTTCCCATAACAACTAGACAGAAGCATTCTCAGAAACTTATTTGAGATGTGTGTACTCAACTAAGAGAATTGAACCACCGTTTTGAAGGAGCAGTTTTGAAACTCTCTTTTTCTGGAATCTGCAAGTGGATATTTGGCTAGCTTTGGGGATTTCGCTGGAAGCGGGAATACATATAAAAAGCACACAGCAGCGTTCTGAGAAACTGCTTTCTGATGTTTGCATTCAAGTCAAAAGTTGAACACTCCCTTTCATAGAGCAGTCTTGAAACACCCCTTTTGTAGTATCTGGAACTGGACTTTTGGAGCGATTTCAGGGCTAAGGTGAAAAAGGAAATATCTTCCCATAAAAACTGGACAGAAGCATTCTCAGAAACTCGTCCATGCTGTATCTACTCAACTAACAAAGTTGAACCTTTCCTTTGATAGAGCAGTTTTGAAATGCTCTTTTTCTGGAATCTGCAAGTGGATATTTGGCTAGTTTTGAGGATTTCGTTGGAAGCGGGAATTCATACGAATTGCAGACTGCAAGCGTTCTGAGAAACATCTTTGTGATGTTTGTATTCAGGACACAGAGTTGAACATTCCCTATCGTAGAGCAGGTTGGAATCACTCCTTTTGTAGTATCTGGAAGTGGACATTTGGAGCGCTTTCAGGCCTATGTTGAAAAAGGAAATATCTTCCCAAAACAACTAGACAGAAGCATTCTCAGAAACTTGTTTGTGATGTGTGCCCTCTACTGACAGAGTTGAACCTTTCTTTTCATAGAGCAGTTTTGAAACACTCTTTTTGTAGAATCTGCAAGAGGATATTTGCATAGCTTTGAGGATTTCGTGGGAAACGGGATTGTCTTCAGGTAAAATCTAGACAGAAGCATTCTCAGAAACTTCTTTGGGATGTTTGCATTCAAGTCACAGAGTAGAACATTCCCTTTGGTAGAGCAGGTTTGAAACACTCTTTTTGTAGTATCTGGAAGTGGACATTTGGAGCGCTTTCAGGCCCATGTTGGAAAGGGAAATATCTTCCCGTAACAACTAGGCAGAAGCATTCTCAGAAACTTATTTGAGATGTGTGTACTCAACTAAGAGAATTGAACCACCGTTTTGAAGGAGCAGTTTTGAAACCCTCTTTTTCTGGAATCTGCAAGAGTATATTTGCCTAGCCTTGAGGATTTCGTTGGAAACGGGATTGTCTTCAGATAAAATCTAGACAGAAGCATTCTCAGAAACTTCTTTGGGATGTTTGCATTCAAGTCACTGAGTAGAACATTCCCTTTGGTAGAGCAGGTTTGAAACACTCTTTTTTTAGTATATGGAAGTGGACATTTGGAGCGCTTTCAGGCCTACGTTGTAAAAGGAAATATCTTCCCATAACAACTAGACAGAAGCATTCTCAGAAACTAGTTTCTGATGTGTGTCCTCAACTAACACAGTTGAACATTTCTTTAGACAGAACAGTTTTGAAACACTCTTTTTGTGGTATCTGCAAGTGGCTATTTGGCTAGATTTGAGGATTTCGTTGGAAACGGGATTACATATAAAAAGCAGACAGCAGCATTCTCAGAAAGTTCTTTGTGATGATTGCATTCAAGTCACAGAATTGAACATTCCCTTTCACAGAGCAGGTTTGAAACACTCTTTTTGTAGTGTGTGTAAGTGGACATTTGGAGCACTTTCCGGCCTAAGGTGAAAAAGGAAATATCTTCCCTTAAAAACTAGACAGAAGCATTCTCAGAAACTTACTCGTGATGTGTGTCCTCAACTAAAGGAGTAGAAACTTTCTTTTCATAGAGAAGTTTTGAAACGCTCTTTTTGTGGAATCTGCAAGTGGATATTTGGCTAGTTTGGAGGATTTCGTTGGAAGCGGGAATTCATACAAATTGCAGACTGCAGCGTTCTGAGAAACATCTTTGTGATGTTTGTATTCAGGACACAGAGTTGAACATTCCCTATCATAGAGCAGGTTGGAATCACTCCTTTTGTAGTATCTGGAAGTGGACATTTGGAGCGCTTTCAGGCCTATGTTGAAAAAGGAAATATCTTCCCATAACAACTAGACAGAAAGCATTCTCAGAAACTTATTTGAGATGTGCGTACTCAACTAAGCAGAATTGAACCACCGTTTTGAAGGAGCAGTTTTGAAACACTCTTTTTCTGGAATCTGCAAGTGGATATCTGGCTAGCTTTGGGGATTTCGCTGGAAGCGGGAATACATATAAAAAGCACACAGCAGCGTTCTGAGAAACTGCTTTCTGATGTTTGCATTCAAGTCAAAAGTTGAACACTCCCTTTCATAGAGCAGTCTTGAAACACCCCTTTTGTAGTATCTGGAACTGGACTTTTGGAGCGATTTCAGGGCTAAGGTGAAAAAGGAAATATCTTCCCATAAAAACTGGACAGAAGCATTCTCAGAAACTTGGTTATGCTGTATCTACTCAACTAACAAAGTTGAACCTTTCTTTTGATAGAGCAGTTTTGAAATGGTCTTTTTGTGGAATCTGCAAGTGGATATTTGGCTAGTTTTGAGGATTTCGTTGGAAGCGGGAATTCATACAAATTGCAGACTGCAGCGTTCTGAGAAACATCTTTGTGATGTTTGTATTCAGGACACAGAGTTGAACATTCCCTATCATAGAGCAGGTTTGAATCACTCCTTTTGTAGTATCTGGAAGTGGACATTTGGAGCGCTTTCAGGCCTATGTTGGAAAAGGAAATATCTTCCCATAACAACTAGACAGAAGCATTCTCAGAAACTTATTTGAGATGTGTGTACTCAACTAAGAGAATTGAACCACCGTTTTGAAGGAGCAGTTTTGAAACACTCTTTTTCTGGAATCTGCAAGTGGATATTTGGCTAGCTTTGGGGGATTTCGCTGGAAGCGGGAATACATATAAAAAGCACACAGCAGCGTTCTGAGAAACTGCTTTCTGATGTTTGCATTCAAGTCAAAAGTTGAACACTCCCTTTCATAGAGCAGTCTTGAAACACCCCTTTTGTAGTATCTGGAACTGGACATTTGGAGCGCTTTCAGGGCTAAGGTGAAAAAGGAAATATCTTCCCATAAAAACTGGACAGAAGCATTCTCAGAAACTTGTTTATGCTGTATCTACTCTACTAACAAAGTTGAACCTTTCTTTTGATAGAGCAGTTTTGAAATGCTCTTTTTGTGGAATCTGCAAGTGGATATTTGGCTAGTTTTGAGGATTTCGTTGGAAGCTGGAATTCATGCAAATTGCAGACTGCAGCGTTCTGAGAAACATCTTTGTGATGTTTGTATTCAGGACACAGAGATGAACATTCCCTATCATAGAGCAGGTTGGAATCACTCCTTTTGTAGTATCTGGAAGTGGACATTTGGAGCGCTTTCAGGCCTATGTTGAAAAAGGAAATATCTTCCCATAACAACTAGACACAAGCATTCTCAGAAACTTGTTTGTGATGTGTGCCCTCTACTGACAGAGTTGAACCTTTCTTTTCATAGAGCAGTTTTGAAACACTCTTTTTGTAGAATCTGCAAGAGGATATTTGCATAGCTTTGAGGATTTCGTGGGAAACGGGATTGTCTTCAGGTAAAATCTAGACAGAAGCATTCTCAGAAACTTTTTTGGGATGTTTGCATTCAAGTCACAGAGTAGAACATTCCCTTTGGTAGAGCAGGTTTGAAACACTCTTTTTGTAGTATCTGGAAGTGGACATTTGGAGCACTATCAGGCCCATGTTGGAAAGGGAAATATCTTCCCGTAACAACTAGGCAGAAGCATTCTCAGAAACTTATTTGAGATGTGTGTACTCAACTAAGAGAATTGAACCACCGTTTTGAAGGAGCAGTTTTGAAACCCTCTTTTTCTGGAATCTGCAAGAGTATATTTGCCTAGCCTTGAGGATTTCGTTGGAAACGGGATTGTCTTCAGATAAAATCTAGACAGAAGCATTCTCAGAAACTTCTTTGGGATGTTTGCATTCAAGTCACAGAGTAGAACATTCCCTTTGTTAGAGCAGGTTTGAAACACTCTTTTTTTAGTATATGGAAGTGGACATTTGGAGCGCTTTCAGGCCTACGTTGGAAAAGGAAATATCTTCCCATAACAACTAGACAGAAGCATTCTCAGAAACTAGTTTCTGATGTGTGTCCTCAACTAACACAGTTGAACATTTCTTTAGACAGAACAGTTTTGAAACACTCTTTTTGTGGAATCTGCAAGTGGCTATTTGGCTAGATTTGAGGATTTCGTTGGAAACGGGATTACATATAAAAAGCAGTCAGCAGCATTCTCAGAAAGTTCTTTGTGATGATTGCATTCAAGTCACAGAATTGAACATTCCCTTTCACAGAGCAGGTTTGAAACACTCTTTTTGTAGTGTGTGTAAGTGGACATTTGGAGCACTTACCGGCCTAAGGTGAAAAAGGAAATATCTTCCCATAAAAACTAGACAGAAGCATTCTCAGAAACTTACTCGTGATGTGTGTCCTCAACTAAAGGAGTAGAACCTTTCTATTCATAGAGAAGTTTTGAAACGCTCTTTTTGTGGAATCTCCAAGTGGATATTTGGCTAGTTTTGAGGATTTCGTTGGAAGCGGGAATTCATCCAAATTGCAGACTGCAGCGTTCTGAGAAACATCTTTGTGATGTTTGTACTCAGGACATAGAGTTGAACATTCCCTATCATCGAGCAGGTTGGAATCACTCCTTTTGTAGTATCTGGAAGTGGACATTTGGAGCGCTTTCAGGCCTATGTTGAAAAAGGAAATATCTTCCCATAAAAACTAGACACTAGCATTCTCAGAAACTTATTTGAGATGTGTGTACTCAACTAAGAGAATTGAACCACCGTTTTGAAGGAGCAGTTTTGAAACTCTCTTTTTCTGGAATCTGCAAGTGGATATTTGGCTAGCTTTGGGGATTTCGCTGGAAGCGGGAATACATATAAAAAGCACACAGCAGCGTTCTGAGAAACTGCTTTCTGATGTTTGCATTCAAGTCAAAAGTTGAACACTCCCTTTCATAGAGCAGTCCTGAAACACCCCTTTTGTAGTATCTGGAACTGGACTTTTGGAGCGATTTCAGGGCTAAGGTGAAAAAGGAAATATCTTCCCATAAAAACTGGACAGAAGCATTCTCAGAAACTTGTTTATGCTGTATCTACTCAACTAACAAAGTTGAACCTTTCTTTTGATAGAGCAGTTTTGAAATGGTCTTTTTGTGGAATCTGCAAGTGGATATTTGGCTAGTTTTGAGGATTTCGTTGGAAGCGGGAATTCATACAAATTGCAGACTGCAGCGTTCTGAGAAACATCTTTGTGATGTTTGTATTCAGGACACAGAGTTGAACATTCCCTATCATAGAGCAGGTTGGAATCACTCCTTTTGTAGTATCTGGAAGTGGACATTTGGAGCGCTTTCAGGCCTATTTTGGAAAGGGAAATATCTTCCCGTAACAACTATGCAGAAGCATTCTCAGAAACTTGTTTGTGATGTGTGCCCTCTACTGACAGAGTTGAACCTTTCTTTTCATAGAGCAGTTTTGAAACACTCTTTTTGTAGAATCTGCAAGAGGATATTTGCATAGCTTTGAGGATTTCGTGGGAAACGGGATTGTCTTCAGGTAAAATCTAGACAGAAGCATTCTCAGAAACTTCTTTGGGATGTTTGCATTCAAGTCACAGAGTAGAACATTCCCTTTGGTAGAGCAGGTTTGAAACACTCTTTTTGTAGTATCTGGAAGTGGACATTTGGAGCGCTTTCAGGCCTATGTTGGAAAGGGAAATATCTTCCCGTAACAACTAGGCAGAAGCATTCTCAGAAACTTATTTGAGATGTGTGTACTCAACTAAGAGAATTGAACCACCGTTTTGAAGGAGCAGTTTTGAAACACTCTTTTTCTGGAATCTGCAAGAGGATATTTGCCTAGCCTTGAGGATTTCGTTGGAAACGGGATTGTCTTCAGATCAAATCTAGACAGAAGCATTCTCAGAAACTTCTTTGGGATGTTTGCATTCAAGTCACAGAGTAGAACATTCCCTTTGGTAGAGCAGGTTTGAAACACTCTTTTTTTAGTATATGGAAGTGGACATTTGGAGCGCTTTCAGGCCTACGTTGGAAAAGGAAATATCTTCCCATAACAACTAGACAGAAGCATTCTCAGAAACTAGTTTCTGATGTGTGTCCTCAACTAACACAGTTGAACATTTCTTTAGACAGAACAGTTTTGAAACACTCTCTTTGTGGAATCTGCAAGTGGATATTTGGCTAGATTTGAGGATTTCGTTGGAAACGGGATTACATATAAAAAGCAGACAGCAGCATTCTCAGAAAGTTCTTTGTGATGATTGCATTCAAGTCACAGAATTGAACATTCCCTTTCACAGAGCAGGTTTGAAACACTCTTTCTGTAGTGTGTGTAAGTGGACATTTGGAGCGCTTTTCGGCCTAAGGTGAAAAAGGACATATCTTCCCATAAAAACTAGACAGAAGCATTCTCAGAAACTTACTCGTGATGTGTGTCCTCAACTAAAGGAGTAGAACCTTTGTTTTCATAGAGAAGTTTTGAAACGCTCTTTTTGTGGAATCTGCAAGTGGATATTTGGCTAGTTTGGAGGATTTCGTTGGAAGCGGGAATTCATACAAATTGCAGACTGCAGCGTTCTGAGAAACATCTTTGTGATGTTTGTATTCAGGACACAGAGTTGAACATTCCCTATCATAGAGCAGGTTTGAATCACTCCTTTTGTAGTATCTGGAAGTGGACATTTGGAGCGCTTTCAGGCCTATGTTGGAAAAGGAAATATCTTCCCATAACAACTAGACAGAAGCATTCTCAGAAACTTATTTGAGATGTGTGTACTCAACTAAGAGAATTGAACCACCGTTTTGAAGGAGCAGTTTTGAAACACTCTTTTTCTGGAATCTGCAAGTGGATATTTGGCTAGCTTTGGGGATTTCGCTGGAAGCGGGAATACATATAAAAAGCACACAGCAGCGTTCTGAGAAACTGCTTTCTGATGTTTGCATTCAAGTCAAAAGTTGAACACTCCCTTTCATAGAGCAGTCTTGAAACACCCCTTTTGTAGTATCTGGAACTGGACTTTTGGAGCGATTTCAGGGCTAAGGTGAAAAAGGAAATATCTTCCCATAAAAACTGGACAGAAGCATTCTCAGAAACTTGTTTATGCTGTATCTACTCAACTAACAAAGTTGAACCTTTCTTTTGATAGAGCAGTTTTGAAATGGTCTTTTTGTGGAATCTGCAAGTGGATATTTGGCTAGTTTTGAGGATTTCGTTGGAAGCGGGAATTCATACAAATTGCAGACTGCAGCGTTCTGAGAAACATCTTTGTGATGTTTGTATTCAGGACAGAGAGTTGAACATTCCCTATCATAGAGCAGGTTGGAATCACTCCTTTTGTAGTATCTGGAAGTGGACATTTGGAGCGCTTTCAGGCCTATTTTGGAAAGGGAAATATCTTCCCGTAACAACTATGCAGAAGCATTCTCAGAAACTTGTTTGTGATGTGTGCCCTCTACTGACAGAGTTGAACCTTTCTTTTCATAGAGCAGTTTTGAAACACTCTTTTTGTAGAATCTGCAAGAGGATATTTGCATAGCTTTGAGGATTTCGTGGGAAACGGGATTGTCTTCAGGTAAAATCTAGACAGAAGCATTCTCAGAAACTTCTTTGGGATGTTTGCATTCAAGTCACAGAGTAGAACATTCCCTTTGGTAGAGTAGGTTTGAAACACTCTTTTTGTAGTATCTGGAAGTGGACATTTGGAGCGCTTTCAGGCCTATGTTGGAAAGGGAAATACCTTCCCGTAACAACTAGGCAGAAGCATTCTCAGGAAACTTATTTGAGATGTGTGTACTCAACTAAGAGAATTGAACCACCGTTTTGAAGGAGCAGTTTTGAAACACTCTTTTTCTGGAATCTGCAAGAGGATATTTGCCTAGCCTTGAGGATTTCGTTGGAAACGGGATTGTCTTCAGATCAAATCTAGACAGAAGCATTCTCAGAAACTTCTTTGGGATGTTTGCATTCAAGTCACAGAGTAGAACATTCCCTTTGGTAGAGCAGGTTTGAAACACTCTTTTTTTAGTATATGGAAGTGGACATTTGGAGCGCTTTCAGGCCTACGTTGGAAAAGGAAATATCTTCCCATAACAACTAGACAGAAGCATTCTCAGAAACTAGTTTCTGATGTGTGTCCTCAACTAACACAGTTGAACTTTTCTTTAGACAGAACAGTTTTGAAACACTCTTTTTGTGGAATCTGCAAGTGGATATTTGGCTAGATTTGAGGATTTCGTTGGAAACGGGATTACATATAAAAAGCAGACAGCAGCATTCTCAGAAACTTCTTTGTGATGATTGCATTCAAGTCACAGAATTGAACATTCCCTTTCACAGAGCAGGTTTGAAACACTCTTTTTGTAGTGTGTGTAAGTGGACATTTGGAGCACTTTCCGGCCTAAGGTGAAAAAGGAAATATCTTCCCATAAAAACTAGACAGAAGCACTCTCAGAAACTTACTCGTGATGTGTGTCCTCAACTAAAGGAGTAGAACCTTTCTTTTCATAGAGAAGTTTTGAAACGCTCTTTTTGTGGAATCTGCAAGTGGATATTTGGCTAGTTTGGAGGATTTCGTTGGAAGCGGGAATTCATACAAATTGCAGACTGCAGCGTTCTGAGAAACATCTTTGTGATGTTTGTATTCAGGACACAGAGTTGAACATTCCCTATCATAGAACAGGTTGTAATCACTCCTTTTGTAGTATCTGGAAGTGGACATTTGGAGCGCTTTCAGGCCTATGTTGAAAAAGGATATATCTTCCCATAACAACTAGACACAAGCATTCTCAGAAACTTATTTGAGATGTGTGTACTCAACTAAGAGAATTGAACCACCGTTTTGAAGGAGCAGTTTTGAAACACTCTTTTTCTGGAATCTGCAAGTGGATATTTGGCTAGCTTTGGGGATTTCGCTGGAAGCGGGAATACATATAAAAAGCACACAGCAGCGTTCTGAGAAACTGCTTTCTGATGTTTGCATTCAAGTCAAAAGTTGAACACTCCCTTTCATAGAGCAGTCTTGAAACACCCCTTTTGTAGTATCTGGAACTGGACTTTTGGAGCGATTTCAGGGCTAAGGTGAAAAAGGAAATATCTTCCCATAAAAACTGGACAGAAGCATTCTCAGAAACTTGTTTATGCTGTATCTACTCAACTAACAAAGTTGAACCTTTCTTTTGATAGAGCAGTTTTGAAATGGTCTTTTTGTGGAATCTGCAAGTGGATATTTGGCTAGTTTTGAGGATTTCGTTGGAAGCGGGAATTCATACAAATTGCAGACTGCAGCGTTCTGAGAAACATCTTTGTGATGTTTGTATTCAGGACACAGAGATGAACATTCCCTATCATAGAGCAGGTTGGAATCACTCCTTTTGTAGTATCTGGAAGTGGACATTTGGAGCGCTTTCAGGCCTATGTTGAAAAAGGAAATATCTTCCCATAACAACTAGACACAAGCATTCTCAGAAACTTGTTTGTGATGTGTGCCCTCTACTGACAGAGTTGAACCTTTCTTTTCATAGAGCAGTTTTGAAACACTCTTTTTGTAGAATCTGCAAGAGGATATTTGCATAGCTTTGAGGATTTCGTGGGAAACGGGATTGTCTTCAGGTAAAATCTAGACAGAAGCATTCTCAGAAACTTCTTTGGGATGTTTGCATTCAAGTCACAGAGTAGAACATTCCCTTTGGTAGAGCAGGTTTGAAACACTCTTTTTGTAGTATCTGGAAGTGGACATTTGGAGCGCTTTCAGGCCCATGTTGGAAAGGGAAATATCTTCCCGTAACAACTAGGCAGAAGCATTCTCAGAAACTTATTTGAGATGTGTGTACTCAACTAAGAGAATTGAACCACCGTTTTGAAGGAGCAGTTTTGAAACCCTCTTTTTCTGGAATCTGCAAGAGTATATTTGCCTAGCCTTGAGGATTTCGTTGGAAACGGGATTGTCTTCAGATAAAATCTAGACAGAAGCATTCTCAGAAACTTCTTTGGGATGTTTGCATTCAAGTCAGAGAGTAGAACATTCCCTTTGGTAGAGCAGGTTTGAAACACTCTTTTTTTAGTATATGGAAGTGGACATTTGGAGCGCTTTCAGGCCTACGTTGGAAAAGGAAATATCTTCCCATAACAACTAGACAGAAGCATTCTCAGAAACTAGTTTCTGATGTGTGTCCTCAACTAACACAGTTGAACTTTTCTTTAGACAGAACAGTTTTGAAACACTCTTTTTGTGGAATCTGCAAGTGGATATTGGGCTAGATTTGAGGATTTCGTTGGAAACGGGATTACATATAAAAAGCAGACAGCAGCATTCTCAGAAAGTTCTTTGTGGTGATTGCATTCAAGTCACAGAATTGAACATTCCCTTTCACAGAGCAGGTTTGAAACACTCTTTTTGTAGTGTGTGTAAGTGGACATTTGGAGCGCTTTCCGGCCTAAGGTGAAAAAGGAAATATCTTCCCATAAAAACTAGACAGAAGCATTCTCAGAAACTTACTCGTGATGTGTGTCCTCAACTAAAGGAGTAGAACCTTTCTATTCATAGAGAAGTTTTGAAACGCTCTTTTTGTGGAATCTCCAAGTGGATATTTGGCTAGTTTTGAGGATTTCGTTGGAAGCGGGAATTCATACAAATTGCAGACTGCAGCGTTCTGAGAAACATCTTTGTGATGTTTGTATTCAAGACACAGAGATGAACATTCCCTATCATAGAGCATGTTGGAATCACTCCTTTTGTAGTATCTGGAAGTGGACATTTGGAGCGCTTTCAGGCCTATGTTGAAAAAGGAAATATCTTCCCATAACAGCTAGACACAAGCATTCTCAGAAACTTATTTGAGATGTGTGTACTCAACTAAGAGAATTGAACCACCGTTTTGAAGGAGCAGTTTTGAAACACTCTTTTTCTGGAATCTGCAAGTGGATATTTGGCTAGCTTTGGGGATTTCGCTGGAAGCGGGAATACATATAAAAAGCACACAGCAGCGTTCTGAGAAACTGCTTTCTGATGTTTGCATTCAAGTCAAAAGTTGAACACTCCCTTTCATAGAGCAGTCTTGAAACACCCCTTTTGTAGTATCTGGAACTGGACTTTTGGAGCGATTTCAGGGCTAAGGTGAAAAAGGAAATATCTTCCCATAAAAACTGGACAGAAGCATTCTCAGAAACTTGTTTATGCTGTATCTACTCAACTAACAAAGTTGAACCTTTCTTTTGATAGAGCAGTTTTGAAATGGTCTTTTTGTGGAATCTGCAAGTGGATATTTGGCTAGTTTTGAGGATTTCGTTGGAAGCGGGAATTCATACAAATTGCAGACTGCAGCGTTCTGAGAAACATCTTTGTGATGTTTGTATTCAGGACACAGAGTTGAACATTCCCTATCATAGAGCAGGTTGGAATCACTCCTTTTGTAGTATCTGGAAGTGGACATTTGGAGCGCTTTCAGGCCTATGTTGAAAAAGGAAATATCTTCCCATAACAACTAGGCAGAAGCATTCTCAGAAACTTGTTTGTGATGTGTGCCCTCTACTGACACAGTTGAACCTTTCTTTTCATAGAGCAGTTTCGAAACACTCTTTTTGTAGAATCTGCAAGAGGATATTTGCATAGCTTTGAGGATTTCGTGGGAAACGGGATTGTCTTCAGGTAAAATCTAGACAGAAGCATTCTCAGAAACTTCTTTGGGATGTTTGCATTCAAGTCACAGAGTAGAACATTCCCTTTGGTAGAGCAGGTTTGAAACACTCTTTTTGTAGTATCTGGAAGTGGACATTTGGAGCGCTTTCAGGCCCATGTTGGAAAGGGAAATATCTTCCCGTAACAACTAGGCAGAAGCATTCTCAGAAACTTATTTGAGATGTGTGTACTCAACTAAGAGAATTGAACCACCGTTTTGAAGGAGCAGTTTTGAAACACTCTTTTTCTGGAATCTGCAAGAGTATATTTGCCTAGCCTTGAGGATTTCGTTGGAAACGGGATTGTCTTCAGAGAAAATCTAGACAGAAGCATTCTCAGAAACTTCTTTGGGATGTTTGCATTCAAGTCACAGAGTAGAACATTCCCTTTGGTAGAGCAGGTTTGAAACACTCTTTTTTTAGTATATGGAAGTGGACATTTGGAGCGCTTTCAGGCCTACGTTGGAAAAGGAAATATCTTCCCATAACAACTAGACAGAAGCATTCTCAGAAACTAGTTTCTGATGTGTGTCCTCAACTAACACAGTTGAACTTTTCTTTAGACAGAACAGTTTTGAAACACTCTTTTTGTGGAATCTGCAAGTGGATATTTGGCTAGATTTGAGGATTTCGTTGGAAACAGGATTACATATAAAAAGCAGACAGCAGCATTCTCAGAAACTTCTTTGGGATGTTTGCATTCAAGTCACAGAGTAGAACATTCCCTTTCGTAGAGCAGGTTTGAAACACTCTTTTTGTAGTGTGTGTAAGTGGACATTTGGAGCGCTTTCCGGCCTAAGGTGAACAAGGAAATATCTTCCCATAAAAACTAGACAGAAGCATTCTCAGAAACTTACTCGTCATGTGTGTCCTCAACTAAAGGAGTAGAACCTTTCTTTTCATAGAGAAGTTTTGAAACGCTCTTTTTGTGGAATCTGCAAGTGGATATTTGGCTAGTTTTGAGGATTTCGTTGGAAGCGGGAATTCATACAAATTGCAGACTGCAGCGTTCTGAGAAACTGCTTTCTGATGTTTGCATTCAAGTCAAAAGTTGAACACTCCCTTTCATAGAGCAGTCCTGAAACACCCCTTTTGTAGTATCTGGAACTGGACTTTTGGAGCGATTTCACGGGCTAAGGTGAAAAAGGAAATATCTTCCCATAAAAACTGGACAGAAAGCATTCTCAGAAACTTATTTGAGATGTGTGTACTCAACTAAGAGAATTGAACCACCGTTTTGAAGGAGCAGTTTTGAAACACTCTTTTTCTGGAATCTGCAAGTGGATATTTGGCTAGCTTTGGGGATTTCGCTGGAAGCGGGAATACATATAAAAAGCACACAGAGCGTTCTGAGAAACTGCTTTCTGATGTTTGCATTCAAGTCAAAAGTTGAACACTCCCTTTCATAGAGCAGTCCTGAAACACTCCTTTTGTAGTATCTGGAACTGGACTTTTGGAGCGCTTTCAGGGCTAAGGTGAAAAAGGAAATATCTTCCCATAAAAACTGGACAGAAGCATTCTCAGAAACTTGTTTATGCTGTATCTACTCAACTAACAAAGTTGAACCTTTCTTTTGATAGAGCAGTTTTGAAATGGTCTTTTTGTGGAATCTGCAAGTGGATATTTGGCTAGTTTTGAGGATTTCGTTGGAAGCGGGAATTCATACAAATTGCAGACTGCAGCGTTCTGAGAAACATCTTTGTGATGTTTGTATTCAGGACACAGAGTTGAACATTCCCTATCATAGAGCAGGTTGGAATCACTCCTTTTGTAGTATCTGGAAGTGGACATTTGGAGCGCTTTCAGGCCTATTTTGGAAAGGGAAATATCTTCCCGTAACAACTATGCAGAAGCATTCTCAGAAACTTGTTTGTGATGTGTGCCCTCTACTGAGACAGTTGAACCTTTCTTTTCATAGAGCAGTTTCGAGACACTCTTTTTGTAGAATCTGCAAGAGGATATTTGCATAGCTTTGAGGATTTCGTGGGAAACGGGATTGTCTTCAGGTAAAATCTAGACAGAAGCATTCTCAGAAACTTCTTTGGGATGTTTGCATTCAAGTCACAGAGTAGAACATTCCCTTTGGTAGAGCAGGTTTGAAACACTCTTTTTGTAGTGTGTGTAAGTGGACATTTGGAGCGCTTTCAGGCCTACGTTGGAAAAGGAAATATCTTCCCATAACAACTAGACAGAAGCATTCTCAGAAACTAGTTTCTGATGTGTGTCCTCAACTAACACAGTTGAACATTTCTTTAGACAGAACAGTTTTGAAACACTCTTTTTGTGGAATCTGCAAGTGGCTATTTGGCTAGATTTGAGGATTTCGTTGGAAACGGGATTACATATAAAAAGCAGTCAGCAGCATTCTCAGAAAGTTCTTTGTGATGATTGCATTCAAGTCACAGAATTGAACATTCCCTTTCACAGAGCAGGTTTGAAACACTCTTTTTGTAGTGTGTGTAAGTGGACATTTGGAGCACTTACCGGCCTAAGGTGAAAAAGGAAATATCTTCCCATAAAAACTAGACAGATAAGCATTCTCAGCAAACTTACTCGTGATGTGTGTCCTCAACTAAAGGAGTAGAACCTTTCTTTTCATAGAGAAGTTTTGAAACGCTCTTTTTGTGGAATCTGCAAGTGGATATTTGGCTAGTTTTGAGGATTTCGTTGGAAGCGGGAATTCATACAAATTGCAGACTGCAGCGTTCTGAGAAACATCTTTGTGATGTTTGTATTCAGGACACAGAGTTGAACATTCCCTATCATAGAGCAGGTTTGAATCACTCCTTTTGTAGTATCTGGAAGTGGACATTTG
The DNA here is from genome assembly GCF_000001405.40 of Homo sapiens. Taxonomy (NCBI): domain Eukaryota; kingdom Metazoa; phylum Chordata; class Mammalia; order Primates; family Hominidae; genus Homo; species Homo sapiens. The sequence continues at coordinate 20,114,068 of NC_000018.10, forward strand.
GAGCGCTTTCAGGCCTATGTTGGAAAAGGAAATATCTTCCCATAACAACTAGACAGAAGCATTCTCAGAAACTTATTTGAGATGTGTGTACTCAACTAAGAGAATTGAACCACCGTTTTGAAGGAGCAGTTTTGAAACACTCTTTTTCTGGAATCTGCAAGTGGATATTTGGCTAGCTTTGGGGATTTCGCTGGAAGCGGGAATACATATAAAAAGCACACAGCAGCGTTCTGAGAAACTGCTTTCTGATGTTTGCATTCAAGTCAAAAGTTGAACACTCCCTTTCATAGAGCAGTCCTGAAACACTCCTTTTGTAGTATCTGGAACTGGACTTTTGGAGCGCTTTCAGGGCTAAGGTGAAAAAGGAAATATCTTCCCATAAAAACTGGACAGAAGCATTCTCAGAAACTTGTTTATGCTGTATCTACTCAACTAACAAAGTTGAACCTTTCTTTTGATAGAGCAGTTTTGAAATGGTCTTTTTGTGGAATCTGCAAGTGGATATTTGGCTAGTTTTGAGGATTTCGTTGGAAGCGGGAATTCATACAAATTGCAGACTGCAGCGTTCTGAGAAACATCTTTGTGATGTTTGTATTCAGGACACAGAGATGAACATTCCCTATCATAGAGCAGGTTGGAATCACTCCTTTTGTAGTATCTGGAAGTGGACATTTGGAGCGCTTTCAGGCCTATGTTGAAAAAGGAAATATCTTCCCATAACAACTAGACACAAACATTCTCAGAAACTTGTTTGTGATGTGTGCCCTCTACTGACAGAGTTGAACCTTTCTTTTCATAGAGCAGTTTCGAAACACTCTTTTTGTAGAATCTGCAAGAGGATATTTGCATAGCTATGAGGATTTCGTGGGAAACGGGATTGTCTTCAGGTAAAATCTAGACAGAAGCATTCTCAGAAACTTCTTTGGGATGTTTGCATTCAAGTCACAGAGTAGAACATTCCCTTTGGTAGAGCAGGTTTGAAACACTCTTTTTGTAGTATCTGGAAGTGGACATTTGGAGCGCTTTCAGGCCTATGTTGGAAAGGGAAATATCTTCCCGTAACAACTAGGCAGAAGCATTCTCAGAAACTTATTTGAGATGTGTGTACTCAACTAAGAGAATTGAACCACCGTTTTGAAGGAGCAGTTTTGAAACACTCTTTTTCTGGAATCTGCAAGAGTATATTTGCCTAGCCTTGAGGATTTCGTTGGAAACCGGATTGTCTTCAGATAAAATCTAGACAAATGCATTCTCAGAAACTTCTTTGGGATGTTTGCATTCAAGTCACAGAGTAGAACATTCCCTTTGGTAGAGCAGGTTTGAAACACTCTTTTTTTCGTATATGGAAGTGGACATTTGGAGCGCTTTCAGGCCTACGTTGGAAAAGGAAATATCTTCCCATAACAACTAGACAGAAGCATTCTCAGAAACTAGTTTCTGATGTGTGTCCTCAACTAACACAGTTGAACATTTCTTTAGACAGAACAGTTTTGAAACACTCTTTTTGTGGAATCTGCAAGTGGCTATTTGGCTAGATTTGAGGATTTCGTTGGAAACGGGATTACATATAAAAAGCAGTCAGCAGCATTCTCAGAAAGTTCTTTGTGATGATTGCATTCAAGTCACAGAATTGAACATTCCCTTTCACAGAGCAGGTTTGAAACACTCTTTTTGTAGTGTGTGTAAGTGGACATTTGGAGCGCTTTCCGGCCTAAGGTGAAAAAGGACATATCTTCCCATAAAAACTAGACAGAAGCATTCTCAGAAACTTACTCGTGATGTGTGTCCTCAACTAAAGGAGTAGAACCTTTCTATTCATGGAGAAGTTTTGAAACGCTCTTTTTGTGGAATCTCCAAGTGGATATTTGGCTAGTTTTGAGGATTTCGTTGGAAGCGAGAATTCATACAAATTGCAGACTGCAGCGTTCTGAGAAACATCTTTGTGATGTTTGTATTCAAGACACAGAGATGAACATTCCCTATCATAGAGCATGTTGGAATCACTCCTTTTGTAGTATCTGGAAGTGGACATTTGGAGCGCTTTCAGGCCTATGTTGAAAAAGGAAATATCTTCCCATAACAACTAGACACAAGCATTCTCAGAAACTTATTTGAGATGTGTGTACTCAACTAAGAGAATTGAACCACCGTTTTGAAGGAGCAGTTTTGAAACACTCTTTTTCTGGAATCTGCAAGTGGATATTTGGCTAGCTTTGGGGATTTCGCTGGAAGCGGGAATACATATAAAAAGCACACAGCAGCGTTCTGAGAAACTGCTTTCTGATGTTTGCATTCAAGTCAAAAGTTGAACACTCCCTTTCATAGAGCAGTCTTGAAACACCCCTTTTGTAGTATCTGGAACTGGACTTTTGGAGCGATTTCAGGGCTAAGGTGAAAAAGGAAATATCTTCCCATAAAAACTGGACAGAAGCATTCTCAGAAACTTGGTTATGCTGTATCTACTCAACTAACAAAGTTGAACCTTTCTTTTGATAGAGCAGTTTTGAAATGGTCTTTTTGTGGAATCTGCAAGTGGATATTTGGCTAGTTTTGAGGATTTCGTTGGAAGCGGGAATTCATACAAATTGCAGACTGCAGCGTTCTGAGAAACATCTTTGTGATGTTTGTATTCAGGACACAGAGTTGAACATTCCCTATCATAGAGCAGGTTGGAATCACTCCTTTTGTAGTATCTGGAAGTGGACATTTGGAGCGCTTTCAGGCCTATTTTGGAAAGGGAAATATCTTCCCGTAACAACTATGCAGAAGCATTCTCAGAAACTTATTTGAGATGTGTGTACTCAACTAAGAGAATTGAACCACCGTTTTGAAGGAGCAGTTTTGAAACACTCTTTTTCTGGAATCCTGCAAGAGTATATTTGCCTAGCCTTGAGAATTTCGTTGGAAACGGGATTGTCTTCAGATAAAATCTAGACAGAAGCATTCTCAGAAACTTCTTTGGGATGTTTGCATTCAAGTCACAGAGTAGAACATTCCCTTTGGTAGAGCAGGTTTGAAACACTCTTTTTGTAGTATCTGGAAGTGGACATTTGGAACGCTTTCAGGCCTATGTTGGAAAGGGAAATATCTTCCCTTAACAACTAGGCAGAAGCATTCTCAGAAACTTATTTGAGATGTGTGTACTCAACTAAGAGAATTGAATCACCGTTTTGAAGGAGCAGTTTTGAAACACTCTTTTTCTGGAATCTGCAAGAGGATATTTGCCTAGCCTTGAGGATTTCGTTGGAAACGGGATTGTCTTTAGATCAAATCTAGACAGAAGCATTCTCAGAAACTTCTTTGGGATGTTTGCATTCAAGTCACAGAGTAGAACATTCCCTTTGGTAGAGCAGGTTTGAAACACTCTTTTTTTAGTATATGGAAGTGGACATTTGGAGCGCTTTCAGGCCTACGTTGGAAAAGGAAATATCTTCCCATAACAACTAGACAGAAGCATTCTCAGAAACTAGTTTCTGATGTGTGTCCTCAACTAACACAGTTGAACATTTCTTTAGACAGAACAGTTTTGAAACACTCTTTTTGTGGAATCTGCAAGTGGCTATTTGGCTAGATTTGAGGATTTCGTTGGAAACGGGATTACATATAAAAAGCAGACAGCAGCATTCTCAGAAAGTTCTTTGTGATGATTGCATTCAAGTCACAGAATTGAACATTCCCTTTCACAGAGCAGGTTTGAAACACTCTTTTTGTAGTGTGTGTAAGTGGACATTTGGAGCACTTTCCGGCCTAAGGTGAGAAAGGAAATATCTTCCCATAAAAACTAGACAGAAGCATTCTCAGAAACTTACTCGTGATGTGTGTCCTCAACTAAAGGAGTAGAACCTTTCTATTCATAGAGAAGTTTTGAAACGCTCTTTTTGTGGAATCTCCAAGTGGATATTTGGCTAGTTTTGAGGATTTCGTTGGAAGCGGGAATTCATACAAATTGCAGACTGCAGCATTCTCAGAAACTTGTTTATGCTGTATCTACTCAACTAACAAAGTTGAACCTTTCTTTTGATAGAGCAGTTTTGAAATGCTCTTTTTGTGGAATCTGCAAGTGGATATTTGGCTAGTTTTGAGGATTTCGTTGGAAGCGGGAATTCATACAAATTGCAGACTGCAGCGTTCTGAGAAACATCTTTGTGATGTTTGTATTCAGGACAGAGAGTTGAACATTCCCTATCATAGAGCAGGTTGGAATCACTCCTTTTGTAGTATCTGGAAGTGGACATTTGGAGCGCTTTCAGGCCTATGTTGAAAAAGGAAATATCTTCCCATAACAACTAGACACAAGCATTCTCAGAAACTTGTTTGTGATGTGTGCCCTCTACTGACAGAGTTGAACCTTTCTTTTCATAGAGCAGTTTTGAAACACTCTTTTTGTAGAATCTGCAAGAGGATATTTGCATAGCTTTGAGGATTTCGTGGGAAACGGGATTGTCTTCAGGTAAAATCTAGACAGAAGCATTCTCAGAAACTTCTTTGGGATGTTTGCATTCAAGTCACAGAGTAGAACATTCCCTTTGGTAGAGCAGGTTTGAAACACTCTTTTTGTAGTATCTGGAAGTGGACATTTGGAGCGCTTTCAGGCCCATGTTGGAAAGGGAAATATCTTCCCGTAACAACTAGGCAGAAGCATTCTCAGAAACTTATTTGAGATGTGTGTACTCAACTAAGAGAATTGAACCACCCTTTTGAAGGAGCAGTTTTGAAACACTCTTTTTCTGGAATCTGCAAGAGTATATTTGCCTAGCCTTGAGGATTTCGTTGGAAACGGGATTGTCTTCAGATCAAATCTAGACAGAAGCATTCTCAGAAACTTCTTTGGGATGTTTGCATTCAAGTCACAGAGTAGAACATTCCCTTTGGTAGAGCAGGTTTGAAACACTCTTTTTTTAGTATATGGAAGTGGACATTTGGAGCGCTTTCAGGCCTACGTTGGAAAAGGAAATATCTTCCCATAACAACTAGACAGAAGCATTCTCAGAAACTAGTTTCTGATGTGTGTCCTCAACTAACACAGTTGAACATTTCTTTAGACAGAACAGTTTTGAAACACTCTTTTTGTGGAATCTGCAAGTGGATATTTGGCTAGATTTGAGGATTTCGTTGGAAACGGGATTACATATAAAAAGCAGACAGCAGCATTCTCAGAAAGTTCTTTGTGATGATTGCATTCAAGTCACAGAATTGAACATTCCCTTTCACAGAGCAGGTTTGAAACACTCTTTTTGTAGTGTGTGTAAGTGGACATTTGGAGCGCTTTCCGGCCTAAGGTGAAAAAGGACATATCTTCCCATAAAAACTAGACAGAAGCATTCTCAGAAACTTACTCGTGATGTGTGTCCTCAACTAAAGGAGTAGAACATTTCTATTCATAGAGAAGTTTTGAAACGCTCTTTTTGTGGAATCTCCAAGTGGATATTTGGCTAGTTTTGAGGATTTCGTTGGAAGCGGGAATTCATACAAATTGCAGACTGCAGCATTCTCAGAAACTTATTTGAGATGTGTGTACTCAACTAAGAGAATTGAACCACCGTTTTGAAGGAGCAGTTTTGAAACACTCTTTTTCTGGAATCTGCAAGTGGATATTTGGCTAGCTTTGGGGATTTCGCTGGAAGCGGGAATACATATAAAAAGCACACAGCAGCATTCTCAGAAACTTATTTGAGAAGTGTGTACTCAACTAAGAGAATTGAACCACCGTTTTGAAGGAGCAGTTTTGAAACACTCTTTTTCTGGAATCTGCAATTGGATATTTGGCTAGCTTTGGGGATTTCGCTGGAAGCGGGAATACATATAAAAAGCACACAGCAGCGTTCTGAGAAACTGCTTTCTGATGTTTGCATTCAAGTCAAAAGTTGAACACTCCCTTTCATAGAGCAGTCTTGAAACACCCCTTTTGTAGTATCTGGAACTGGACTTTTGGAGCGATTTCAGGGCTAAGGTGAAAAAGGAAATATCTTCCCATAAAAACTGGACAGAAGCATTCTCAGAAACTTGTTTATGCTGTATCTACTCAACTAACAAAGTTGAACCTTTCTTTTGATAGAGCAGTTTTGAAATGCTCTTTTTGTGGAATCTGCAAGTGGATATTTGGCTAGTTTTGAGGATTTCGTTGGAAGCGGGAATTCATACAAATTGCAGACTGCAGCGTTCTGAGAAACATCTTTGTGATGTTTGTATTCAGGACACAGAGTTGAACATTCCCTATCATAGAGCAGGTTGGAATCACTCCTTTTGTAGTATCTGGAAGTGGACATTTGGAGCGCTTTCAGGCCTATTTTGGAAAGGGAAATATCTTCCCGTAACAACTATGCAGAAGCATTCTCAGAAACTTGTTTGTGATGTGTGCCCTCTACTGACAGAGTTGAACCTTTCTTTTCATAGAGCAGTTTTGAAACACTCTTTTTGTAGAATCCGCAAGAGGATATTTGCATAGCTTTGAGGATTTCGTGGGAAACGGGATTGTCTTCAGGTAAAATCTAGACAGAAGCATTCTCAGAAACTTCTTTGGGATGTTTGCATTCAAGTCACAGAGTAGAACATTCCCTTTGGTAGAGCAGGTTTGAAACACTCTTTTTGTAGTATCTGGAAGTGGACATTTGGAGCGCTTTCAGGCCTATGTTGGAAAGGGAAATATCTTCCCGTAACAACTAGGCAGAAGCATTCTCAGAAACTTATTTGAGATGTGTGTACTCAACTAAGAGAATTGAACCACCGTTTTGAAGGAGCAGTTTTGAAACACTCTTTTTCTGGAATCTGCAAGAGTATATTTGCCTAGCCTTGAGAATTTCGTTGGAAACGGGATTGTCTTCAGATCAAATCTAGACAGAAGCATTCTCAGAAACTTCTTTGGGATGTTTGCATTCAAGTCACAGAGTAGAACATTCCCTTTGGTAGAGCAGGTTTGAAACACTCTTTTTTTAGTATATGGAAGTGGACATTTGGAGCGCTTTCAGGCCTACGTTGGAAAAGGAAATATCTTCCCATAACAACTAGACAGAAGCATTCTCAGAAACTAGTTTCTGATGTGTGTCCTCAACTAACACAGTTGAACATTTCTTTAGACAGAACAGTTTTGAAACTCTCTTTTTGTGGAATCTGCAAGTGGCTATTTGGCTAGATTTGAGGATTTCGTTGGAAACGGGAGTACATATAAAAAGCAGACAGCAGCATTCTTAGAAAATTCTTTGTGATGATTGCATTCAAGTCACAGAATTGAACATTCCCTTTCACAGAGCAGGTTTGAAACCCTCTTTTTGTAGTGTGTGTAAGTGGACATTTGGAGCACTTTCCGGCCTAAGGTGAAAAACGAAATATCTTCCCATAAAAACTAGACAGAAGCATTCTCAGAAACTTACTCGTGATGTGTGTCCTCAACTAAAGGAGTAGAACCTTTCTTTTCATAGAGAAGTTTTGAAACGCTCTTTTTGTGGAATCTGCAAGTGGATATTTGGCTAGTTTTGAGGATTTCGTTGGAAGCGGGAATTCATACAAATTGCAGACTGCAGCGTTCTGAGAAACATCTTTGTGATGTTTGTATTCAGGACACAGAGTTGAACATTCCCTATCATAGAGCAGGTTTGAATCACTCCTTTTGTAGTATCTGGAAGTGGACATTTGGAGCGCTTTCAGGCCTATGTTGGAAAAGGAAATATCTTCCCATAACAACTAGACAGAAGCATTCTCAGAAACTTATTTGAGATGTGTGTACTCAACTAAGAGAATTGAACCACCGTTTTGAAGGAGCAGTTTTGAAACACTCTTTTTCTGGAATCTGCAAGTGGATATTTGGCTAGCTTTGGGGATTTCGCTGGAAGCGGGAATACATAAAAAATCACACAGCAGCGTTCTGAGAAACTGCTTTCTGATGTTTGCATTCAAGTCAAAAGTTGAACACTCCCTTTCATAGAGCAGTCCTGAAACACTCCTTTTGTAGTATCTGGAACTGGACTTTTGGAGCGCTTTCAGGGCTAAGGTGAAAAAGGAAATATCTTCCCATAAAAACTGGACAGAAGCATTCTCAGAAACTTGTTTATGCTGTATCTACTCAACTAACAAAGTTGAACCTTTCTTTTGATAGAGCAGTTTTGAAATGGTCTTTTTGTGGAATCTGCAAGTGGATATTTGGCTAGTTTTGAGGATTTCGTTGGAAGCGGGAATTCATACAAATTGCAGACTGCAGCGTTCTGAGAAACATCTTTGTGATGTTTGTATTCAGGACAGAGAGTTGAACATTCCCTATCATAGAGCAGGTTGGAATCACTCCTTTTGTAGTATCTGGAAGTGGACATTTGGAGCGCTTTCAGGCCTATGTTGAAAAAGGAAATATCTTCCCATAACAACTAGACACAAGCATTCTCAGAAACTTGTTTGTGATGTGTGCCCTCTACTGACAGAGTTGAACCTTTCTTTTCATAGAGCAGTTTTGAAACACTCTTTTTGTAGAATCTGCAAGAGGATATTTGCATAGCTTTGAGGATTTCGTGGGAAACGGGATTGTCTTCAGGTAAAATCTAGACAGAAGCATTCTCAGAAACTTCTTCGGGATGTTTGCATTCAAGTCACAGAGTAGAACATTCCCTTTGGTAGAGCAGGTTTGAAACACTCTTTTTGTCGTATCTGGAAGTGGACATTTGTTGCGCTTTCAGGCCTATGTTGGAAAGGGAAATATCTTCCCGTAACAACTAGGCAGAAGCATTCTCTGAAACTTTTTTGAGATGTGTGTACTCAACTAAGAGAATTGAACCACCGTTTTGAAGGAGCAGTTTTGAAACACTCTTTTTCTGGAATCTGCTAGAGGATATTTGCCTAGCTTTGAGGATTTCGTTGGAAACCGGATTGTCTTCAGATAAAATCTAGACAGAAGCATTCTCAGAAACTTCTTTGGGATGTTTGCATTCAAGTCACAGAGTAGAACATTCCCTTTGGTAGAGCAGGTTTGAAACACTCTTTTTTTAGTATATGGAAACGGACATTTGGAGCGCTTTCAGGCCTACGTTGGAAAAGGAAATATCTTCCCATAACAACTAGACAGAAGCATTCTCAGAAACTAGTTTCTGATGTGTGTCCTCAACTAACACAGTTGAACTTTTCTTTAGACAGAACAGTTTTGAAACACTCTTTTTGTGGAATCTGCAAGTGGATATTTGGCTAGATTTGAGGATTTCGTTGGAAACAGGATTACATATAAAAAGCAGACAGCAGCATTCTCAGAAAGTTCTTTGTGATGATTGCATTCAAGTCACAGAATTGAACATTCCCTTTCACAGAGCAGGTTTGAAACACTCTTTTTGTAGTGTGTGTAAGTGGACATTTGGAGCACTTTCCGGCCTAAGGTGAGAAAGGAAATATCTTCCCATAAAAACTAGACAGAAGCATTCTCAGAAACTTACTCGTGATGTGTGTCCTCAACTAAAGGAGTAGAACCTTTCTTTTCATAGAGAAGTTTTGAAACGCTCTTTTTGTGGAATCTGCAAGTGGATATTTGGCTAGTTTTGAGGATTTCGTTGGAAGCGGGAATTCATACAAATTGCAGACTGCAGCATTCTCAGAAACTTGTTTATGCTGTATCTACTCAACTAACAAAGTTGAACCTTTCTTTTGATAGAGCAGTTTTGAAATGCTCTTTTTGTGGAATCTGCAAGTGGATATTTGGCTAGTTTTGAGGATTTCGTTGGAAGCGGGAATTCATACAAATTGCAGACTGCAGCGTTCTGAGAAACATCTTTGTGATGTTTGTATTCAGGACACAGAGTTGAACATTCCCTATCATAGAGCAGGTTGGAATCACTCCTTTTGTAGTATCTGGAAGTGGACATTTGGAGCGCTTTCTGGCCTATGTTGAAAAAGGAAATATCTTCCCATAACAACTAGACACAAGCATTCTCAGAAACTTGTTTGTGATGTGTGCCCTCTACTGACAGAGTTGAACCTTTCTTTTCATAGAGCAGTTTTGAAACACTCTTTTTGTAGAATCTGCAAGAGGATATTTGCATAGCTTTGAGGATTTCGTGGGAAACGGGATTGTCTTCAGGTAAAATCTAGACAGAAGCATTCTCAGAAACTTCTTTGGGATGTTTGCATTCAAGTCACAGAGTAGAACATTCCCTTTGGTAGAGCAGGTTTGAAACACTCTTTTTGTAGTATCTGGAAGTGGACATTTGGAGCGCTTTCAGGCCTATGTTGGAAAGGGAAATATCTTCCCGTAACAACTAGGCAGAAAGCATTCTCAGAAACTTATTTGAGATGTGTGTACTCAACTAAGTAGCAATTGAACCACCGTTTTGAAGGAGCAGTTTTGAAACACTCTTTTTCTGGAATCTGCAAGAGGATATTTGCCTAGCCTTGAGGATTTCGTTGGAAACGGGATTGTCTTCAGATCAAATCTAGACAGAAGCATTCTCAGAAACTTCTTTGGGATGTTTGCATTCAAGTCACAGAGTAGAACATTCTCTTTGGTAGAGCAGGTTTGAAACAATCTTTTTTTAGTATATGGAAGTGGACATTTGGAGCGCTTTCAGGCCTACGTTGGAGAAGGAAATATCTTCCCATAACAACTAGACCGAAGCATTCTCAGAAACTAGTTTCTGATGTGTGTCCTCAACTAACACAGTTGTACATTTCTTTAGACAGAACAGTTATGAAACACTCTTTTTGTGGAATCTGCAAGTGGATATTTGGCTAGATTTGAGGATTTCGTTGGAAACGGGATTACATATAAAAAGCAGTCAGCAGCATTCTCAGAAAGTTCTTTGTGATGATTGTATTCAAGTCACAGAATTGAACATTCCCTTTCACAGAGCAGGTTTGAAACACTCTTTTTGTAGTATGTGTAAGTGGACATTTGGAGCCCTTCTGGCCTAAGGTGAAAAAGGAAATATCTTCCCATAAAAACTAGACAGAAGCATTCTCAGAAACTTACTCGTGATGTGTGTCCTCAACTAAAGGAGTAGAACCTTTCTTTTCATAGAGAAGTTTTGAAACGCTCTTTTTGTGGAATCTGCAAGTGGATATTTGGCTAGTTTGGAGGATTTCGTTGGAAGCGGGAATTCATACAAATTGCAGACTGCAGCGTTCTGAGAAACATCTTTGTGATGTTTGTATTCAGGACACAGAGATGAACATTCCCTATCATAGAGCAGGTTGGAATCACTCCTTTTGTAGTATCTGGAAGTGGACATTTGGAGCGCTTTCAGGCCTATGTTGGAAAAGGAAATATCTTCCCATAACAACTAGACAGAAGCATTCTCAGAAACTTATTTGAGATGTGTGTACTCAACTAAGAGAATTGAACCACCGTTTTGAAGGAGCAGTTTTGAAACACTCTTTTTCTGGAATCTGCAAGTGGATATTTGGCTAGCTTTGGGGATTTCGCTGGAGGCGGGAATACATATAAAAAGCACACAGCCAGCGTTCTGAGCAAACTGCTTTCTGATGTTTGCATTCAAGTCAAAAGTTGAACACTCCCTTTCATAGAGCAGTCTTGAAACACCCCTTTTGTAGTATCTGGAACTGGACTTTTGGAGCGATTTCAGGGCTAAGGTGAAAAAGGAAATATCTTCCCATAAAAACTGGACAGAAGCATTCTCAGAAACTTGTTTATGCTGTATCTACTCAACTAACAAAGTTGAACCTTTCTTTTGATAGAGCAGTTTTGAAATGGTCTTTTTGTGGAATCTGCAAGTGGATATTTGGCTAGTTTTGAGGATTTCGTTGGAAGCGGGAATTCATACAAATTGCAGACTGCAGCGTTATGAGAAACATCTTTGTGATGTTTGTATTCAGGACACAGAGATGAACATTCCCTATCATAGAGCAGGTTGGAATCACTCCTTTTGTAGTATCTGGAAGTGGACATTTGGAGCGCTTTCAGGCCTATGTTGAAAAAGGAAATATCTTCCCATAACAACTAGACACAAGCATTCTCAGAAACTTGTTTGTGATGTGTGCCCTCTACTGACAGAGTTGAACCTTTCTTTTCATAGAGCAGTTTTGAAACACTCTTTTTGTAGAATCTGCAAGAGGTTATTTGCATAGCTTTGAGGATTTCGTGGGAAACGGGATTGTCTTCAGCTAAAATCTAGACAGAAGCATTCTCAGAAACTTCTTTGGGATGTTTGCATTCAAGTCACAGAGTAGAACATTCCCTTTGGTAGAGCAGGTTTGAAACACTCTTTTTGTAGTATCTGGAAGTGGACATTTGGAGCGCTTTCAGGCCCATGTTGGAAAGGGAAATATCTTCCCGTAACAACTAGGCAGAAGCATTCTCAGAAACGTATTTGAGATGTGTGTACTCAACTAAGAGAATTGAACCACCGTTTTGAAGGAGCAGTTTTGAAACACTCTTTTTCTGGAATCTGCAAGAGGATATTTGCCTAGCCTTGAGGATTTCGTTGGAAACGGGATTTTCTTCAGATAAAATCTAGACAGAAGCATTCTCAGAAACTTCTTTGGGATGTTTGCATTCAAGTCACAGAGTAGAACATTCCCTTTGGTAGAGCAGGTTTGAAACACTCTTTTTTTAGTATATGGAAGTGGACATTTGGAGCGCTTTCAGGCCTACGTTGGAAAAGGAAATATCTTCCCATAACAACTAGACAGAAGCATTCTCAGAAACTAGTTTCTGATGTGTGTCCTCAACTAACACAGTTGAACTTTTCTTTAGACAGGACAGTTTTGAAACACTCTTTTTGTGGAATCTGCAAGTGGATATTTGGCTAGATTTGAGGATTTCTTTGGAAACGGGATTACATATAAAAAGCAGACAGCAGCATTGTCAGAAAGTTCTTTGTGATGATTGCATTCAAGTCACAGAATTGAACATTCCCTTTCACAGAGCAGGTTTGAAACACTCTTTTTGTAGTGTGTGTAAGTGGACATTTGGAGCGATTTCCGGCCTAAGGTGAAAAAGGAAATATCTTCCCATAAAAACTAGACAGAAGCATTCTCAGAAACTTACTCGTGATGTGTGTACTCAACTAAAGGAGTAGAAACTTTCTTTTCATAGAGAAGTTTTGAAACGCTCTTTTTGTGGAATCTGCAAGTGGATATTTGGCTAGTTTTGAGGCTTTCGTTGGAAGCGGGAATTCATACAAATTGCAGACTGCAGCGTTCTGAGAAACATCTTTGTGATGTTTGTATTCAGGACACAGAGTTGAACATTCCCTATCATAGAGCAGGTTTGAATCACTCCTTTTGTAGTATCTGGAAGTGGACATTTGGAGCGCTTTCAGGCCTATGTTGGAAAAGGAAATATCTTCCCATAACAACTAGACAGAAGCATTCTCAGAAACTTATTTGAGATGTGTGTACTCAACTAAGAGAATTGAACCACCGTTTTGAAGGAGCAGTTTTGAAACTCTCTTTTTCTGGAATCTGCAAGTGGATATTTGGCTAGCTTTGGGGATTTCGCTGGAAGCGGGAATACATATAAAAAGCACACAGCAGCGTTCTGAGAAACTGCTTTCTGATGTTTGCATTCAAGTCAAAAGTTGAACACTCCCTTTCATAGTGCAGTCCTGAAACACTCCTTTTGTAGTATCTGGAACTGGACTTTTGGAGCGCTTTCAGGGCTAAGGTGAAAAAGGAAATATCTTCCCATAAAAACTGGACAGAAGCATTCTCAGAAACTTGGTTATGCTGTATCTACTCAACTAACAAAGTTGAACCTTTCTTTTGATAGAGCAGTTTTGAAATGGTCTTTTTGTGGAATCTGCAAGTGGATATTTGGCTAGTTTTGAGGATTTCGTTGGAAGCGGGAATTCATACAAATTGCAGACTGCAGCGTTCTGAGAAACATCTTTGTGATGTTTGTATTCAGGACAGAGAGTTGAACATTCCCTATCATAGAGCAGGTTGGAATCACTCCTTTTGTAGTATCTGGAAGTGGACATTTGGAGCGCTTTCAGGCCTATGTTGAAAAAGGAAATATCTTCCCATAACAACTAGACACAAGCATTCTCAGAAACTTGTTTGTGATGTGTGCCCTCTACTGACAGAGTTGAACCTTTCTTTTCATAGAGCAGTTTTGAAACACTCTTTTTGTAGAATCTGCAAGAGGATATTTGCATAGCTTTGAGGATTTCGTGGGAAACGGGATTGTCTTCAGGTAAAATCTAGACAGAAGCATTCTCAGAAACTTCTTTGGGATGTTTGCATTCAAGTCACAGAGTAGAACATTCCCTTTGGTAGAGCAGGTTTGAAACACTCTTTTTGTAGTATCTGGAAGTGGACATTTGGAGCGCTTTCAGGCCCATGTTGGAAAGGGAAATATCTTCCCGTAACAACTAGGCAGAAGCATTCTCAGAAACTTATTTGAGATGTGTGTACTCAACTAAGAGAATTGAACCACCGTTTTGAAGGAGCAGTTGTGAAACACTCTTTTTCTGGAATCTGCTAGAGTATATTTGCCTAGCTTTGAGGATTTCGTTGGAAACGGGATTGTCTTCAGCTCAAATCTAGACAGAAGCATTCTCAGAAACTTCTTTGGGATGTTTGCATTCAAGTCACAGAGTAGAACATTCCCTTTGGTAGAGCAGGTTTGAAACACTCTTTTTTTAGTATATGGAAGTGGACATTTGGAGCGCTTTCAGGCCTACGTTGGAAAAGGAAATATCTTCCCATAACAACTAGACAGAAGCATTCTCAGAAACTAGTTTCTGATGTGTGTCCTCAACTAACACAGTTGAACATTTCTTTAGACAGAACAGTTTTGAAACACTCTTTTTGTGGAATCTGCAAGTGGCTATTTGGCTAGATTTGAGGATTTCGTTGGAAACGGGATTACATATAAAAAGCAGTCAGCCAGCATTCTCAGTAAAGTTCTTTGTGATGATTGCATTCAAGTCACAGAATTGAACATTCCCTTTCACAGAGCAGGTTTGAAACACTCTTTTTGTAGTGTGTGTAAGTGGACATTTGGAGCGCTTTCCGGCCTAAGGTGAAAAAGGAAATATCTTCCCATAAAAACTAGACAGAAGCATTCTCAGAAACTTACTCGTGATGTGTGTACTCAACTAAAGGAGTAGAAACTTTCTGTTCATAGAGAAGTTTTGAAACGCTCTTTTTGTGGAATCTGCAAGTGGATATTTGGCTAGTTTTGAGGATTTCGTTGGAAGCGGGAATTCATACAAATTGCAGACTGCAGCGTTCTGAGAAACATCTTTGTGATGTTTGTATTCAGGACACAGAGTTGAACATTCCCTATCATAGAGCAGGTGGGAATCACTCCTTTTGTAGTATCTGGAAGTGGACATTTGGAGCGCTTTCAGGCCTATGTTGGAAAAGGAAATATCTTCCCATAACAAATAGACAGAAGCATTCTCAGAAACTTATTTGAGATGTGTGTACTCAACTAAGAGAATTGAACCACCGTTTTGAAGGAGCAGTTTTGAAACACTCTTTTTCTGGAATCTGCAAGTGGATATTTGGCTAGCTTTGGGGATTTCGCTGGAAGCGGGAATACATATAAAAAGCACACAGCAGCGTTCTGAGAAACTGCTTTCTGATGTTTGCATTCAAGTCAAAAGTTGAACACTCCCTTTCATAGAGCAGTCCTGAAACACCCCTTTTGTAGTATCTGGAACTGGACTTTTGGAGCGATTTCAGGGCTAAGGTGAAAAAGGAAATATCTTCCCATAAAAACTGGACAGAAGCATTCTCAGAAACTTGTTTATGCTGTATCTACTCAACTAACAAAGTTGAACCTTTCTTTTGATAGAGCAGTTTTGAAATGGTCTTTTTGTGGAATCTGCAAGTGGATATTTGGCTAGTTTTGAGGATTTCGTTGGAAGCAGGAATTCATACAAATTGCAGACTGCAGCGTTATGAGAAACATCTTTGTGATGTTTGTATTCAGGACACAGAGTTGAACATTCCCTATCATAGAGCAGGTTGGAATCACTCCTTTTGTAGTATCTGGAAGTGGACATTTGGAGCGCTTTCAGGCCTATTTTGGACAGGGAAATATCTTCCCATAACAACTATGCAGAAGCATTCTCAGAAACTTGTTTGTGATGTGTGCCCTCTACTGACAGAGTTGAACCTTTCTTTTCTTAGAGCAGTTTTGAAACACTCTTTTTGTAGAATCTGCAAGAGGATATTTGCATAGCTTTGAGGATTTCGTGGGAAACGGGATTGTCTTCAGGTAAAATCTAGACAGAAGCATTCTCAGAAACTTCTTTGGGATGTTTGCATTCAAGTCACAGCAGTAGAACATTCCCTTTGGTAGAGCAGGTTTGCAACACTCTTTTTGTAGTATCTGGAAGTGGACATTTGGAGCGCTTTCAGGCCTATGTTGGAAAGGGAAATATCTTCCAGTAACAACTAGGCAGAAGCATTCTCAGAAACTTATTTGAGATGTGTGTACTCAACTAAGAGAATTGAACCACCGTTTTGAAGGAGCAGTTTTGAAACACTCTTTTTCTGGAATCTGCAAGAGGATATTTGCCTAGCCTTGAGGATTTCGTTGGAAACGGGATTGTCTTCAGAGAAAATGCTAGACAGAAGCATTCTCAGAAACTTCTTTGGGATGTTTGCATTCAAGTCACAGAGTAGAACATTCCCTTTGGTAGAGCAGGTTTGAAACACTCTTTTTTTAGTATATGGAAGTGGACATTTGGAGCGCTTTCAGGCCTACGTTGGAAAAGGAAATATCTTCCCATAACAACTAGACAGAAGCATTCTCAGAAACTAGTTTCTGATGTGTGTCCTCAACTAACACAGTTGAACATTTCTTTAGACAGAACAGTTTTGAAACACTCTTTTTGTGGAATCTGCAAGTGGCTATTTGGCTAGATTTGAGGATTTCGTTGGAAACGGGATTACATATAAAAAGCAGTCAGCAGCATTCTCAGAAAGTTGTTTGTGATGATTGCATTCAAGTCACAGAATTGAACATTCCCTTTCACAGAGCAGGTTTGAAACACTCTTTTTGTAGTGTGTGTAAGTGGACATTTGGAGCGCTTTCCGGCCTAAGGTGAAAAAGGACATATCTTCCCATAAAAACTAGATAGAAGCATTCTCAGAAACTTACTCGTGATGTGTGTCCTCAACTAAAGGAGTAGAACCTTTCTATTCATAGAGAAGTTTTGAAACGCTCTTTTTGTGGAATCTCCAAGTGGATATTTGCCTAGTTTTGAGGATTTCGTTGGAAGCGGGAATTCATACAAATTGCAGACTGCAGCGTTCTGAGAAACATCTTTGTGATGTTTGTATTCAAGACACAGAGATGAACATTCCCTATCATAGAGCATGTTGGAATCACTCCTTTTGTAGTATCTGGAAGTGGACATTTGGAGCGCTTTCAGGCCTATGTTGAAAAAGGAAATATCTTCCCATAAAAACTAGACACAAGCATTCTCAGAAACTTGTTTGTGATGTGTGCCCTCTACTGACAGAGTTGAACCTTTCTTTTCATAGAGCAGTTTTGAAACACTCTTTTTGTAGAATCCGCAAGAGGATATTTGCATAGCTTTGAGGATTTCGTGGGAAACGGGATTGTCTTCAGGTAAAATCTAGACAGAAGCATTCTCAGAAACTTCTTTGGGATGTTTGCATTCAAGTCACAGAGTAGAACATTCCCTTTGGTAGAGCAGGTTTGAAACCCTCTTTTTGTAGTATCTGGAAGTGGACATTTGGAGCGCTTTCAGGCCTATGTTGGAAAGGGAAATATCTTCCCTTAACAACTAGGCAGAAGCATTCTCAGAAACTTATTTGAGATGTGTGTATTCAACTAAGAGAGTTGAACCACCGTTTTGAAGGAGCAGTTTTGAAACACTCTTTTTCTGGAATCTGAAAGAGGATATTTGCCTAGCCTTGAGGATTTCGTTGGAAACGAGATTGTCTTCAGATCAAATCTATACAGAAGCATTCTCAGAAACTTCTTTGGGATGTTTGCATTCAAGTCACAGAGTAGAACATTCCCTTTGGTAGAGCAGGTTTGAAACACTCTTTTTTTAGTATATGGAAGTGGACATTTGGAGCGCATTCAGGCCTACGTTGGAAAAGGAAATATCTTCCCATAACAACTAGACAGAAGCATTCTCAGAAACTAGTTTCTGATGTGTGTCCTCAACTAACACAGTTGAACATTTCTTTAGACAGAACAGTTTTGAAACACTCTTTTTGTGGAATCTGCAAGTGGCTATTTGGCTAGATTTGAGGATTTCGTTGGAAACGGGATTACATATAAAAAGCAGTCAGCAGCATTCTCAGAAAGTTCTTTGTGATGATTGCATTCAAGTCACAGAATTGAACATTCCCTTTCACAGAGCAGGTTTGAAACACTCTTTTTGTAGTGTGTGTAAGTGGACATTTGGAGCACTTACCGGCCTAAGGTGAAAAAGGAAATATCTTCCCATAAAAACTAGACAGAAGCATTCTCAGAAACTTACTCGTGATGTGTGTCCTCAACTAAAGGAGTAGAACCTTTCTTTCATAGAGAAGTTTTGAAACGCTCTTTTTGTGGAATCTGCAAGTGGATATTTGGCTAGTTTGGAGGATTTCGTTGGAAGCGGGAATTCATACAAATTGCAGACTGCAGCGTTCTGAGAAACTGCTTTCTGATGTTTGCATTCAAGTCAAAAGTTGAACACTCCCTTTCATAGTGCAGTCTGAAACACTCCTTTTGTAGTATCTGGAACTGGACTTTTGGAGCGCTTTCAGGGCTAAGGTGAAAAAGGAAATATCTTCCCATAAAAACTGGACAGAAGCATTCTCAGAAACTTGTTTATGCTGTATCTACTCAACTAACAAAGTTGAACCTTTCTTTTGATAGAGCAGTTTTGAAATGCTCTTTTTGTGGAATCTGCAAGTGGATATTTGGCTAGTTTTGAGGATTTCGTTGGAAGCGGGAATTCATACAAATTGCAGACTGCAGCGTTCTGAGAAACATCTTTGTGATGTTTGTATTCAGGACAGAGAGTTGAACATTCCCTATCATAGAGCAGGTTGGAATCACTCCTTTTGTAGTATCTGGAAGTGGACATTTGGAGCGCTTTCAGGCCTATGTTGAAAAAGGAAATATCTTCCCATAACAACTAGACAGAAGCATTCTCAGTAAACTTGTTTGTGATGTGTGCCCTCTACTGACAGAGTTGAACCTTTCTTTTCATAGAGCAGTTTCGAAACACTCTTTTTGTAGAATCTGCAAGAGGATATTTGCATAGCTTTGAGGATTTCGTGGGAAACGGGATTGTCTTCAGGTAAAATCTAGACAGAAGCATTCTCAGAAACTTCTTTGGGATGTTTGCATTCAAGTCACAGAGCAGAACATTCCCTTTGGTAGAGCAGGTTTGAAACCCTCTTTTTGTAGTATCTGGAAGTGGACATTTGGAGCGCTTTCAGGCCTATGTTGGAAAGGGAAATATCTTCCCGTAACAACTAGGCAGAAGCATTCTCAGCAAACTTATTTGAGATGTGTGTACTCAACTAAGAGAATTGAACCACCGTTTTGAAGGAGCAGTTTTGAAACACTCTTTTTCTGGAATCTGCAAGAGTATATTTGCCTAGCCTTGAGGATTTCGTTGGAAACGGGATTGTCTTCAGAGAAAATCTAGACAGAAGCATTCTCAGAAACTTCTTTGGGATGCTTGCATTCAAGTCACAGAGTAGAACATTCCCTTTGGTAGAGCAGGTTTGAAACACTCTTTTTGTAGTATCTGGAAGTGGACATTTGGAGCGCTTTCAGGCCTACGTTGGAAAAGGAAATATCTTCCCATAACAACTAGACAGAAGCATTCTCAGAAACTAGTTTCTGATGTGTGTCCTCAACTAACACAGTTGAACATTTCTTTAGACAGAACAGTTTTGAAACTCTCTTTTTGTGGAATCTGCAAGTGGCTATTTGGCTAGATTTGAGGATTTCGTTGGAAACGGGATTACATATAAAAAGCAGACAGCAGCATTCTCAGAAAGTTCTTTGTGATGATTGCATTCAAGTCACAGAATTGAACATTCCCTTTCACAGAGCAGGTTTGAAACACTCTTTTTATAGTGTGTGTAAATGGACATTTGGAGCACTTTCCGGCCTAAGGTGAAAAAGGAAATATCTTCCCATAAAAACTAGACAGAAGCATTCTCAGAAACTTACTCGTGATGTGTGTCCTCAACTAAAGGAGTAGAACCTTTGTTTTCATAGAGAAGTTTTGAAACGCTCTTTTTGTGGAATCTGCAAGTGGATATTTGGCTAGTTTGGAGGATTTCGTTGGAAGCGGGAATTCATACAAATTGCAGACTGCAGCGTTCTGAGAAACATCTTTGTGATGTTTGTATTCAGGACACAGAGTTGAACATTCCCTATCATAGAGCAGGTTGGAATCACTCCTTTTGTAGTATCTGGAAGTGGACATTTGGAGCGCTTTCAGGCCTATGTTGGAAAAGGAAATATCTTCCCATAACAACTAGACAGAAGCATTCTCAGAAACTTATTTGAGATGTGTGTACTCAACTAAGAGAATTGAACCACCGTTTTGAAGGAGCAGTTTTGAAACTCTCTTTTTCTGGAATCTGCAAGTGGATATTTGGCTAGCTTTGGGGATTTCGCTGGAAGCGGGAATACATATAAAAAGCACACAGCAGCGTTCTGAGAAACTGCTTTCTGATGTTTGCATTCAAGTCAAAAGTTGAACACTCCCTTTCATAGAGCAGTCCTGAAACACTCCTTTTGTAGTATCTGGAACTGGACTTTTGGAGCGCTTTCAGGGCTAAGGTGAAAAAGGAAATATCTTCCCATAAAAACTGGACAGAAGCATTCTCAGAAACTTGGTTATGCTGTATCTACTCAACTAACAAAGTTGAACCTTTCTTTTGATAGAGCAGTTTTGAAATGGTCTTTTTGTGGAATCTGCAAGTGGATATTTGGCTAGTTTTGAGGATTTCGTTGGAAGCGGGAATTCATACAAATTGCAGACTGCAGCGTTCTGAGAAACATCTTTGTGATGTTTGTATTCAGGACAGAGAGTTGAACATTCCCTATCATAAAGCAGGTTGGAATCACTCCTTTTGTAGTATCTGGAAGTGGACATTTGGAGCGCTTTCAGGCCTATGTTGAAAAAGGAAATATCTTCCCATAACAACTAGACACAAGCATTCTCAGAAACTTGTTTGTGATGTGTGCCCTCTACTGACAGAGTTGAACCTTTCTTTTCATAGAGCAGTTTTGAAACACTCTTTTTGTAGAATCTGCAAGAGGATATTTGCATAGCTTTGAGGATTTCGTGGGAAACGGGATTGTCTTCAGGTAAAATCTAGACAGAAGCATTCTCAGAAACTTCTTTGGGATGTTTGCATTCAAGTCACAGAGTAGAACATTCCCTTTGGTAGAGCAGGTTTGAAACACTCTTTTTGTAGTATCTGGAAGTGGACATTTGGAGCGCTTTCAGGCCTATGTTGGAAAGGGAAATATCTTCCCGTAACAACTAGGCAGAAGCATTCTCAGAAACTTATTTGAGATGTGTGTACTCAACTAAGAGAATTGAACCACCGTTTTGAAGGAGCAGTTTTGAAACACTCTTTTTCTGGAATCTGCAAGAGGATATTTGCATAGATTTGAGGATTTCGTTGGAAACGGGATTGTCTTCAGATCAAATCTAGACAGAAGCATTCTCAGAAACTTCTTTGGGATGTTTGCATTCAAGTCACAGAGTAGAACATTCCCTTTGGTAGAGCAGGTTTGAAACACTCTTTTTTTAGTATATGGAAGTGGACATTTGGAGCGCTTTCAGGCCTACGTTGGAAAAGGAAATATCTTCCCATAACAACTAGACAGAAGCATTCTCAGAAACTAGTTTCTGATGTGTGTCCTCAACTAACACAGTTGCACATTTCTTTAGACAGAACAGTTTTGAAACACTCTTTTTGTGGAATCTGCAAGTGGCTATTTGGCTAGATTTGAGGATTTCGTTGGAAACGGGATTACATATAAAAAGCAGTCAGCGGCATTCTCAGAAAGTTCTTTGTGATGATTGCATTCAAGTCACAGAATTGAACATTCCCTTTCACAGAGCAGGTTTGAAACACTCTTTTTGTAGTGTGTGTAAGTGGACATTTGGAGCACTTACCGGCCTAAGGTGAAAAAGGAAATATCTTCCCATAAAAACTAGACAGAAGCATTCTCAGAAACTTACTCGTGATGTGTGTCCTCAACTAAAGGAGTAGAACCTTTCTTTTCATAGAGAAGTTTTGAAACGCTCTTTTTGTGGAATCTGCAAGTGGATATTTGGCTAGTTTTGAGGATTTCGTTGGAAGCGGGAATTCATACAAATTGCAGACTGCAGCATTCTCAGAAACTTGTTTATGCTGTATCTACTCTACTAAAAAAGTTGAACCTTTCTTTTGATAGAGCAGTTTTGAAATGCTCTTTTTGTGGAATCTGCAATTGGATATTTGGCTAGATTTGAGGATTTCGTTGGAAGCTGGAATACATACAAATTGCAGACTGCAGCGTTCTGAGAAACATCTTTGTGATGTTTGTATTCAGGACAGAGAGTTGAACATTCCCTATCATAGAGCAGGTTGGAATCACTCCTTTTGTAGTATCTGGAAGTGGACATTTGGAGCGCTTTCAGGCCCATGTTGAAAAAGGAAATATCTTCCCATAACAACTAGACACAAGCATTCTCAGAAACTTGTTTGTGATGTGTGCCCTCTACTGACAGATTTGAACCTTTCTTTTCATAGAGCAGTTTTGAAACACTCTTTTTGTAGAATCTGCAAGAGGATATTTGCATAGCTTTGAGGATTTCGTGGGAAACGGGATGGTCTTCAGGTAAAATCTGGACAGAAGCATTCTCAGAAACTTCTTTGGGATGTTTGCATTCAAGTCACAGAGTAGAACATTCCCTTTGGTAGAGCAGGTTTGAAACACTCTTTTTGTAGTATCTGGAAGTGGACATTTGGAGCGCTTTCAGGCCTATGTTGGAAAGGGAAATATCTTCCCGTAACAACTAGGCAGAAGCATTCTCAGAAACTTATTTGAGATGTGTGTACTCAACTAAGAGAATTGAACCACCGTTTTGAAGGAGCAGTTTTGAAACACTCTTTTTCTGGAATCTGCAAGAGTATATTTGCCTAGCCTTGAGGATTTCGTTGGAAACGGGATTGTCTTCAGAGAAAATCTAGACAGAAGCATTCTCAGAAACTTCTTTGGGATGTTTGCATTCAAGTCACAGAGTAGAACATTCCCTTTGGTAGAGCAGGTTTGAAACACTCTTTTTTTAGTATATGGAAGTGGACATTTGGAGCGCTTTCAGGCCTACGTTGGAAAAGGAAATATCTTCCCATAACAACTAGACAGAAGCATTCTCAGAAACTAGTTTCTGATGTGTGTCCTCAACTAACACAGTTGAACATTTCTTTAGACAGAACAGTTTTGAAACACTCTTTTTGTGGAATCTGCAAGTGGCTATTTTGCTAGATTTGAGGATTTCGTTGGAAACGGGATTGCATATAAAAAGCAGACAGCAGCATTCTCAGAAAGTTCTTTGTGATGATTGCATTCAAGTCACAGAATTGAACATTCCCTTTCACAGAGCAGGTTTGAAACACTCTTTTTGTAGTGTGTGTAAGTGGACATTTGGAGCACTTACCGGCCTAAGGTGAAAAAGGAAATATCTTCCCATAAAAACTAGACAGAAGCATTCTCAGAAACTTACTCGTGATGTGTGTCCTCAACTAAAGGAGTAGAACCTTTCTATTCATAGAGAAGTTTTGAAACGCTCTTTTTGTGGAATCTCCAAGTGGATATTTGGCTAGTTTTGAGGATTTCGTTGGAAGCGGGAATTCATACAAATTGCAGACTGCAGCATTCTCAGAAACTTATTTGAGATGTGTGTACTCAACTAAGAGAATTGAACCACCGTTTTGAAGGAGCAGTTTTGAAACACTCTTTTTCTGGAATCTGCAAGTGGATATTTGGCTAGCTTTGGGGATTTCGCTGGAAGCGGGAATACATATAAAAAGCACACAGCAGCATTCTCAGAAACTTATTTGAGATGTGTGTACTCAACTAAGAGAATTGAACCACCGTTTTGAAGGAGCAGTTTTGAAACTCTCTTTTTCTGGAATCTGCAAGTGGATATTTGGCTAGCTTTGGGGATTTCGCTGGAAGCGGGAATACATATAAAAAGCACACAGCAGCGTTCTGAGAAACTGCTTTCTGATGTTTGCATTCAAGTCAAAAGTTGAACACTCCCTTTCATAGAGCAGTCTTGAAACACCCCTTTTGTAGTATCTGGAACTGGACTTTTGGAGCGATTTCAGGGCTAAGGTGAAAAAGGAAATATCTTCCCATAAAAACTGGACAGAAGCATTCTCAGAAACTTGGTTATGCTGTATCTACTCAACTAACAAAGTTGAACCTTTCTTTTGATAGAGCAGTTTTGAAATGGTCTTTTTGTGGAATCTGCAAGTGGATATTTGGCTAGTTTTGAGGATTTCGTTGGAAGCGGGAATTCATACAAATTGCAGACTGCAGCGTTCTGAGAAACATCTTTGTGATGTTTGTATTCAGGACACAGAGTTGAACATTCCCTATCATAGAGCAGGTTTGAATCACTCCTTTTGTAGTATCTGGAAGTGGACATTTGGAGCACTTTCAGGACTATGTTGGAAAAGGAAATATCTTCCCATAACAACTAGACAGAAGCATTCTCAGAAACTTATTTGAGATGTGTGTACTCAACTAAGAGAATTGAACCACCGTTTTGAAGGAGCAGTTTTGAAACACTCTTTTTCTGGAATCTGCAAGTGGATATTTGGCTAGCTTTGGGGATTTCGCTGGAAGCGGGAATACATATAAAAAGCACACAGCAGCATTCTCAGAAACTTATTTGAGATGTGTGTACTCAACTAAGAGAATTGAACCACCGTTTTGAAGGAGCAGTTTTGAAACTCTCTTTTTCTGGAATCTGCAAGTGGATATTTGGCTAGCTTTGGGGATTTCGCTGGAAGCGGGAATACATATAAAAAGCACACAGCAGCGTTCTGAGAAACTGCTTTCTGATGTTTGCATTCAAGTCAAAAGTTGAACACTCCCTTTCATAGAGCAGTCTTGAAACACCCCTTTTGTAGTATCTGGAACTGGACTTTTGGAGCGATTTCAGGGCTAAGGTGAAAAAGGAAATATCTTCCCATAAAAACTGGACAGAAGCATTCTCAGAAACTTGTTTATGCTGTATCTACTCAACTAACAAAGTTGAACCTTTCTTTTGATAGAGCAGTTTTGAAATGGTCTTTTTGTGGAATCTGCAAGTGGATATTTGGCTAGTTTTGAGGATTTCGTTGGAAGCGGGAATTCATACAAATTGCAGACTGCAGCGTTCTGAGAAACATCTTTGTGATGTTTGTATTCAGGACACAGAGTTGAACATTCCCTATCATAGAGCAGGTTGGAATCACTCCTTTTGTAGTATCTGGAAGTGGACATTTGGAGCGCTTTCAGGCCTATTTTGGAAAGGGAAATATCTTCCCGTAACAACTATGCAGAAGCATTCTCAGAAACTTGTTTGTGATGTGTGCCCTCTACTGACACAGTTGAACCTTTCTTTTCATAGAGCAGTTTCGAAACACTCTTTTTGTAGAATCTGCAAGAGGATATTTGCATAGCTTTGAGGATTTCGTGGGAAACGGGATTGTCTTCAGATAAAATCTAGACAGAAGCATTCTCAGAAACTTCTTTGGGATGTTTGCATTCAAGTCACAGAGTAGAACATTCCCTTTGGTAGAGCAGGTTTGAAACACTCTTTTTGTAGTATCTGGAAGTGGACATTTGGAGCGCTTTCAGGCCCATGTTGGAAAGGGAAATATCTTCCCGTAACAACTAGGCAGAAGCATTCTCAGAAACTTATTTGAGATGTGTGGACTCAACTAAGAGAATTGAACCACCGTTTTGAAGGAGCAGTTTTGAAACACTCTTTTTCTGGAATCTGCAAGATTATATTTGCCTAGCCTTGAGGATTTCGTTGGAAACGGGATTGTCTTCAGATAAAATCTAGACAGAAGCATTCTCAGAAACTTATTTGGGATGTTTGCATTCAAGTCACAGAGTAGAACATTACCTTTGGTAGACCAGGTTTGAAACACTCTTTTTTTAGTATATGGAAGTGGACATTTGGAGCGCTTTCAGGCCTATGTTGGAAAAGGAAATATCTTCCCATAACAACTAGACAGAAGCATTCTCAGAAACTAGTTTCTGATGTGTGTCCTCAACTAACACAGTTGAACTTTTCTTTAGACAGAACAGTTTTGAAACACTCTTTTGTGGAATCTGCAAGTGGATATTTGGCTAGATTTGAGGATTTCGTTGGAAACGGGATTACATATAAAAAGCAGACAGCAGCATTCTCAGAAAGTTCTTTGTGATGATTGCATTCAAGTCACAGAATTGAACATTCCCTTTCACAGAGCAGGTTTGAAACACTCTTTTAGTAGTGTGTGTAAGTGGACATTTGGAGCGCTTTCCGGCCTAAGGTGAAAAAGGAAATATCTTCCCATAAAAACTAGACAGAAGCATTCTCAGAAACTTACTCGTGATGTGTGTCCTCAACTAAAGGAGTAGAACATTTCTATTCATAGAGAAGTTTTGAAACGCTCTTTTTGTGGAATCTCCAAGTGGATATTTGGCTAGTTTTGAGGATTTCGTTGGAAGCGGGAATTCATACAAATTGCAGACTGCAGCGTTATGAGAAACATCTTTGTGATGTTTGTATTCAGGACACAGAGTTGAACATTCCCTATCATAGAGCAGGTTGGAATCACTCCTTTTGTAGTATCTGGAAGTGGACATTTGGAGCGCTTTCAGGCCTATTTTGGACAGGGAAATATCTTCCCATAACAACTATGCAGAAGCATTCTCAGAAACTTATTTGAGATGTGTGTACTCAACTAAGAGAATTGAACCACCGTTTTGAAGGAGCAGTTTTGAAACACTCTTTTTCTGGAATCTGCAAGTGGATATTTGGCTAGCTTTGGGGATTTCGCTGGAAGCGGGAATACATATAAAAAGCACACAGCAGCGTTCTGAGAAACTGCTTTCTGATGTTTGCATTCAAGTCAAAAGTTGAACACTCCCTTTCATAGAGCAGTCCTGAAACACCCCTTTTGTAGTATCTGGAACTGGACTTTTGGAGCGATTTCAGGGCTAAGGTGAAAAAGGAAATATCTTCCCATAAAAACTGGACAGAAGCATTCTCAGAAACTTGTTTATGCTGTATCTACTCTACTAACAAAGTTGAACCTTTCTTTTGATAGGGCAGTTTTGAAATGCTCTTTTTGTGGAATCTGCAAGTGGATATTTGGCTAGTTTTGAGGATTTCGTTGGAAGCTGGAATTCATACAAATTGCAGACTGCAGCGTTCTGAGAAACATCTTTGTGATGTTTGTATTCAGGACACAGAGTTGAACATTCCCTATCATAGAGCAGGTTGGAATCACTCCTTTTGTAGTATCTGGAAGTGGACATTTGGAGCGCTTTCAGGCCTATTTTGGAAAGGGAAATATCTTCCCGTAACAACTATGCAGAAGCATTCTCAGAAACTTACTCGTGATGTGTGTCCTCCACTAAATGAGTAGAACCTTTCTTTTCATAGAGAAGTTTTGAAACGCTCTTTTTGTAGAATCTGCAAGAGGATATTTGCATAGCTTTGAGGATTTCGTGGGAAACGGGATTGTCTTCAGGTAAAATCTAGACAGAAGCATTCTCAGAAACTTCTTTGGGATGTTTGCATTCAAGTCACAGAGTAGAACATTCCCTTTGGTAGAGCAGGTTTGAAACACTCTTTTTGTAGTATCTGGAAGTGGACATTTGGAGCGCTTTCAGGCCCATGTTGGAAAGGGAAATATCTTCCCGTAACAACTAGGCAGAAGCATTCTCAGAAACTTATTTGAGATGTGTGTACTCAACTAAGAGAATTGAACCACCGTTTTGAAGGAGCAGTTTTGAAACACTCTTTTTCTGGAATCTGCAAGAGTATATTTGCCTAGCCTTGAGGATTTCGTTGGAAACGGGATTGTCTTCAGAGAAAATCTAGACAGAAGCATTCTCAGAAACTTCTTTGGGATGTTTGCATTCAAGTCACAGAGTAGAACATTCCCTTTGGTAGAGCAGGTTTGAAACACTCTTTTTTTAGTATATGGAAGTGGACATTTGGAGCGCTTTCAGGCCTACGTTGGAAAAGGAAATATCTTCCCATAACAACTAGACAGAAGCATTCTCAGAAACTAGTTTCTGATGTGTGTCCTCAACTAACACAGTTGAACATTTCTTTAGACAGAACAGTTTTGAAACACTCTTTTTGTGGAATCTGCAAGTGGCTATTTGGCTAGATTTGAGGATTTCGTTGGAAACGGGATTACATATAAAAAGCAGCCAGCAGCATTCTCAGAAAGTTCTTTGTGATGATTGCATTCAAGTCACAGAATTGAACATTCCCTTTCACAGAGCAGGTTTGAAACACTCTTTTTGTAGTGTGTGTAAGTGGACATTTGGAGCACTTACCGGCCTAAGGTGAAAAAGGAAATAATCTTCCCATAAAAACTAGACAGAAGCATTCTCAGAAACTTACTCGTGATGTGTGTCCTCAACTAAAGGAGTAGAACCTTTCTTTTCATAGAGAAGTTTTGAAACGCTCTTTTTGTGGAATCTGCAAGTGGATATTTGGCTAGTTTTGAGGATTTCGTTGGAAGCGGGAATTCATACAAATTGCAGACTGCAGCGTTCTGAGAAACATCTTTGTGATGTTTGTATTCAGGACAGAGAGTTGAACATTCCCTATCATAGAGCAGGTTGGAATCACTCCTTTTGTAGTATCTGGAAGTGGACATTTGGAGCGCTTTCAGGCCTATGTTGAAAAAGGAAATATCTTCCCATAACAACTAGACACAAGCATTCTCAGAAACTTGTTTGTGATGTGTGCCCTCTACTGACAGAGTGGAACCTTTCTTTTCATAGAGCAGTTTTGAAACACTCTTTTTGTAGAATCCGCAAGAGGATATTTGCATAGCTTTGAGGATTTCGTGGGAAACGGGATTGTCTTCAGGTAAAATCTAGACAGAAGCATTCTCAGAAACTTCTTTGGGATGTTTGCATTCAAGTCACAGAGTAGAACATTCCCTTTGGTAGAGCAGGTTTGAAACACTCTTTTTGTAGTATCTGGAAGTGGACATTTGGAGCGCTTTCAGGCCCATGTTGGAAAGGGAAATATCTTCCCGTAACAACTAGGCAGAAGCATTCTCAGAAACTTATTTGAGATGTGTGTACTCAACTAAGAGAATTGAACCACCGTTTTGAAGGAGCAGTTTTGAAACACTCTTTTTCTGGAATCTGCAAGAGGATATTTGCCTAGCCTTGAGGATTTCGTTGGAAACGGGATTGTCTTCAGATCAAATCTAGACAGAAGCATTCTCAGAAACTTCTTTGGGATGTTTGCATTCAAGTCACAGAGTAGAACATTCCCTTTGGTAGAGCAGGTTTGAAACACTCTTTTTTTAGTATATGGAAGTGGACATTTGGAGCGCTTTCAGGCCTACGTTGGAAAAGGAAATATCTTCCCATAACAACTAGACAGAAGCATTCTCAGAAACTAGTTTGTGATGTGTGTCCTCAACTAACACAGTTGTACATTTCTTTAGACAGAACAGTTTTGAAACACTCTTTTTGTGGAATCTGCAAGTGGATATTGGGCTAGATTTGAGTATTTCGTTGGAAACGGGATTACATATAAAAAGCAGTCAGCAGCATTCTCAGGAAGTTCTTTGTGATGATTGCATTCAAGTCACAGAATTGAACATTCCCTTTCACAGAGCAGGTTTGAAACACTCTATCTGTAGTGTGTGTAAGTGGACATTTGGAGCGCTTTCCGGCCTAAGGTGAAAAAGGACATATCTTCCCATAAAAACTAGACAGAAGCATTCTCAGAAACTTACTCGTGATGTGTGTCCTCAACTAAAGGAGTAGAACCTTTCTTTTCATAGAGAAGTTTTGAAACGCTCTTTTTGTGGAATCTGCAAGTGGATATTTGGCTAGTTTTGAGGATTTCGTTGGAAGCGGGAATTCATACAAATTGCAGACTGCAGCATTCTCAGAAACTTATTTGAGATGTGTGTACTCAACTAAGAGAATTGAACCACCGTTTTGAAGGAGCAGTTTTGAAACACTCTTTTTCTGGAATCTGCAAGTGGCTATTTGGCTAGCTTTGGGGATTTCGCTGGAAGCGGGAATACATATAAAAAGCACACAGCAGCGTTCTGAGAAACTGCTTTCTGATGTTTGCATTCAAGTCAAAAGTTGAACACTCCCTTTCATAGAGCAGTCCTGAAACACTCCTTTTGTAGTATCTGGAACTGGACTTTTGGAGCGCTTTCAGGGCTAAGGTGAAAAAGGAAATATCTTCCCATAAAAACTGGACAGAAGCATTCTCAGAAACTTGTTTATGCTGTATCTACTCAACTAACAAAGTTGAACCTTTCTTTTGATAGAGCAGTTTTGAAATGCTCTTTTTGTGGAATCTGCAAGTGGATATTTGGCTAGTTTTGAGGATTTCGTTGGAAGCGGGAATTCATACAAATTGCAGACTGCAGCGTTCTGAGAAACATCTTTGTGATGTTTGTATTCAGGACAGAGAGTTGAACATTCCCTATCATAGAGCAGGTTGGAATCACTCCTTTTGTAGTATCTGGAAGTGGACATTTGGAGCGCTTTCAGGACTATGTTGAAAAAGGAAATATCTTCCCATAACAACTAGACACAAGCATTCTCAGAAACTTGTTTGTGATGTGTGCCCTCTACTGACAGAGTTGAACCTTTCTTTTCATAGAGCAGTTTTGAAACACTCTTTTTGTAGAATCTGCAAGAGGATATTTGCATAGCTTTGAGGATTTCGTGGGAAACGGGATTGTCTTCAGGAAAAATCTAGACAGAAGCATTCTCAGAAACTTCTTTGGGATGTTTACATTCAAGTCACAGAGTAGAACATTCCCTTTGGTAGAGCAGGTTTGAAACACTCTTTTTGTAGTATCTGGAAGTGGACATTTGGAGCGCTTTCTGGCCCATGTTGCAAAGGGAAATATCTTCCCGTAACAACTAGGCAGAAGCATTCTCAGAAACTTATTTGAGATGTGTGTACTCAACTAAGAGAATTGAACCACCGTTTTGAAGGAGCAGTTTTGAAACACTCTTTTTCTGGAATCTGCAAGAGTATATTTGCCTAGCCTTGAGGATTTCGTTGGAAACGGGATTGTCTTCAGAGAAAATCTAGACAGAAGCATTCTCAGAAACTTCTTTGGGATGTTTGCATTCAAGTCACAGAGTAGAACATTCCCTTTGGTAGAGCAGGTTTGAAACACTCTTTTTTTAGTATATGGAAGTGGACATTTGGAGCGCTTTCAGGCCTACGTTGGAAAAGGAAATATCTTCCCATAACAACTAGACAGAAGCATTCTCAGAAACTAGTTTCTGATGTGTGTCCTCAACTAACACAGTTGAACATTTCTTTAGACAGAACAGTTTTGAAACACTCTTTTTGTGGAATCTGCAAGTGGCTATTTGGCTAGATTTGAGGATTTCGTTGGAAACGGGATTACATATAAAAAGCAGTCAGCAGCATTCTCAGAAAGTTCTTTGTGATGATTGCATTCAAGTCACAGAATTGAACATTCCCTTTCACAGAGCAGGTTTGAAACACTCTTTTTATAGTGTGTGTAAGTGGACATTTGGAGCACTTTCCGGCCTAAGGTGAAAAAGGAAATATCTTCCCATAAAAACTAGACAGAAGCATTCTCAGAAACTTACTCGTGATGTGTGTCCTCAACTAAAGGAGTAGAACCTTTCTTTTCATAGAGAAGTTTTGAAACGCTCTTTTTGTGGAATCTGCAAGTGGATATTTGGCTAGTTTGGAGGATTTCGTTGGAAGCGGGAATTCATACAAATTGCAGACTGCAGCATTCTCAGAAACTTGTTTATGCTGTATCTACTCAACTAACAAAGTTGAACCTTTCTTTTGATAGAGCAGTTTTGAAATGCTCTTTTTGTGGAATCTGCAAGTGGATATTTGGCTAGTTTTGAGGATTTCGCTGGAAGCGGGAATTCATACAAATTGCAGACTGCAGCGTTCTGAGAAACATCTTTGTGATGTTTGTATTCAGGACAGAGAGTTGAACATTCCCTATCATAGAGCACGTTGGAATCACTCCTTTTGTAGTATCTGGAAGTGGACATTTGGAGCGCTTTCAGGCCTATGTTGAAAAAGGAAATATCTTCCCATAACAACTAGACACAAGCATTCTCAGAAACTTGTTTGTGATGTGTGCCCTCTACTGACAGAGTTGAACCTTTCTTTTCATAGAGCAGTTTTGAAACACTCTTTTTGTAGAATCTGCAAGAGGATATTTGCATAGCTTTGAGGATTTCGTGGGAAACGGGATTGTCTTCAGGTAAAATCTAGACAGAAGCATTCTCAGAAACTTCTTTGGGATGTTTGCATTCAAGTCACAGAGTAGAACATTCCCTTTGGTAGAGCAGGTTTGAAACACTCTTTTTGTAGTATCTGGAAGTGGACATTTGGAGCGCTTTCAGGCCCATGTTGGAAAGGGAAATATCTTCCCGTAACAACTAGGCAGAAGCATTCTCAGAAACTTATTTGAGATGTGTGTACTCAACTAAGAGAATTGAACCACCGTTTTGAAGGAGCAGTTTTGAAACACTCTTTTTCTGGAATCTGCAAGAGTATATTTGCCTAGCCTTGAGGATTTCGTTGGAAACGGGATTGTCTTCAGAGAAAATCTAGACAGAAGCATTCTCAGAAACTTCTTTGGGATGTTTGCATTCAAGTCACAGAGTAGAACATTCCCTTTGGTAGAGCAGGTTTGAAACACTCTTTTTGTAGTGTGTGTAAGTGGACATTTGGAGCGCTTTCTGGCCTACGTTGGAAAAGGAAATATCTTCCCATAACAACTAGACAGAAGCATTCTCAGAAACAAGTTTCTGATGTGTGTCCTCAACTAACACAGTTGTACATTTCTTTAGACAGAACAGTTTTGAAACACTCTTTTTGTGGAATCTGGAAGTGGATATTTGGCTAGATTTGAGCATTTCGTTGGAAACGGGATTACATACAAAAAGCAGACAGCGCATTCTCAGAAAAGTTCTTTGTGATGATTGCATTCAAGTCACAGAATTGAACATTCCCTTTCACAGAGCAGGTTTGAAACACTCTTTTTGTAGTGTGTGTAAGTGGACATTTGGAGCGCTTTCCGGCCTAAGGTGAAAAAGGAAATATCTTCCCATAAAAACTAGACAGAAGCATTCTCAGAAACTTACTCGTGATGTGTGTCCTCAACTAAAGGAGTAGAACCTTTCTATTCATAGAGAAGTTTTGAAACTCTCTTTTTGTTTAATCTCCAAGTGGATATTTGGCTAGTTTTGAGGATTTCGTTGGAAGCGGGAATTCATACAAATTGCAGACTGCAGCGTTCTGAGAAACATCTTTGTGATGTTTGTATTCAGGACACAGAGATGAACATTCCCTATCATAGAGCAGGTTGGAATCACTCCTTTTGTAGTATCTGGGACATTTGGAGCGCTTTCAGGCCTATGTTGAAAAAGGAAATATCTTCCCATAACAACTAGACACAAGCATTCTCAGAAACTTGTTTGTGATGTGTGCCCTCTACTGACAGAGTTGAACCTTTCTTTTCATAGAGCAGTTTTGAAACACTCTTTTTGTAGAATCTGCAAGAGGATATTTGCATAGCTTTGAGGATTTCGTGGGAAACGGGATTGTCTTCAGGTAAAATCTAGACAGAAGCATTCTCAGAAACTTCTTTGGGATGTTTGCATTCAAGTCACAGAGTAGAACATTCCCTTTGGTAGAGCAGGTTTGAAACACTCTTTTTGTAGTATCTGGAAGTGGACATTTGGAGCGCTTTCAGGCCTATGTTGGAAAGGGAAATATCTTCCCGTAACAACTAGGCAGAAGCATTCTCAGAAACTTATTTGAGATGTGTGTACTCAACTAAGAGAATTGAACCACCGTTTTGAAGGAGCAGTTTTGAAACCCTCTTTTTCTGGAATCTGCAAGAGTATATTTGCCTAGCCTTGAGGATTTCGTTGGAAACGGGATTGTCTTCAGATAAAATCTAGACAGAAGCATTCTCAGAAACTTCTTTGGGATGTTTGCATTCAAGTCACAGAGTAGAATATTCCCTTTGGTAGAGCAGGTTTGAAACACTCTTTTTTTAGTATATGGAAGTGGACATTTGGAGCGCTTTCAGGCCTACGTTGGAAAAGGAAATATCTTCCCATAACAACTAGACAGAAGCATTCTCAGAAACTAGTTTCTGATGTGTGTCCTCAACTAACACAGTTGTACATTTCTTTAGACAGAACAGTTTCGAAACACTCTTTTTGTGGAATCTGCAAGTGGATATTTGGCTAGATTTGAGGATTTCGTTGGAAACGGGATTACATATAAAAAGCAGACAGCAGCATTCTCAGAAAGTTCTTTGTGATGATTGCATTCAAGTCACAGAATTGAACATTCCCTTTCACAGAGCAGGTTTGAAACACTCTTTTTGTAGTGTGTGTAAGTGGACATTTGGAGCACTTACCGGCCTAAGGTGAAAAAGGAAATATCTTCCCATAAAAACTAGACAGAAGCATTCTCAGAAACTTACTCGTGATGTGTGTCCTCAACTAAAGGAGTAGAACCTTTCTATTCATAGAGAAGTTTTGAAACGCTCTTTTTGTGGAATCTCCAAGTGGATATTTAGCTAGTTTTGAGGATTTCGTTGGAAGCGGGAATTCATACAAATTGCAGACTGCAGCGTTCTGAGAAACATCTTTGTGATGTTTGTATTCAGGACACAGAGTTGAACATTCCCTATCATAGAGCAGGTTTGAATCACTCCTTTTGTAGTATCTGGAAATGGACATTTGGAGCGCTTTCAGGCCTATGTTGGAAAAGGAAATATCTTCCCGTAACAAATAGACAGAAAGCATTCCCAGAAAACTTATTTGAGATGTGTGTACTCAACTAAGAGAATTGAACCACCGTTTTGAAGGAGCAGTTTGGAAACACTCTTTTTCTGGAATCTGCAAGTGGATATTTGGCTAGCTTTGGGGATTTCGCTGGAAGCGGGAATACATATAAAAAGCACACAGCAGCGTTCTGAGAAACTGCTTTCTGATGTTTGCATTCAAGTCAAAAGTTGAACACTCCCTTTCATAGGGCAGTCCTGAAACACCCCTTTTGTAGTATCTGGAACTGGACTTTTGGAGCGATTTCAGGGCTAAGGTGAAAAAGGAAATATCTTCCCATAAAAACTGGACAGAAGCATTCTCAGAAACTTGTTTATGCTGTATCTACTCAACTAACAAAGTTGAACTTTTCTTTTGATAGAGCAGTTTTGAAATGCTCTTTTTGTGGAGTCTGCAAGTGGATATTTGGTTAGTTTTGAGGATTTCTTTGGAAGCGGGAATTCATACAAATTGCAGACTGCAGCGTTCTGAGAAACATCTTTGTGATGTTTGTATTCAGGACACAGAGTTGAACATTCCCTATCATAGAGGAGGTTGGAATCACTCCTTTTGTAGTATCTGGAAGTGGACATTTGGAGCGCTTTCAGGCCTATGTTGAAAAAGGAAATATCTTCCCATAACAAGTAGACACAAGCATTCTCAGAAACTTGTTTGTGATGTGTGCCCTCTACTGACAGAGTTGAACCTTTCTTTTCATAGAGCAGTTTTGAAACACTCTTTTTGTAGAATCCGCAAGAGGATATTTGCATAGCTTTGAGGATTTCGTGGGAAACGGGATTGTCTTCAGGTAAAATCTAGACAGAAGCATTCTCAGAAACATCTTTGGGATGTTTGCATTCAAGTCACAGAGCAGAACATTCCCTTTGGTAGAGCAGGTTTGAAACACTCTTTTTGTAGTATCTGGAAGTGGACATTTGCAGCGCTTTCAGGCCTATGATGGAAAGGGAAATATCTTCCCGTAACAACTAGGCAGAAGCATTCTCAGAAACTTATTTGAGATGTGTGTACTCAACTAAGAGAATTGAACCACCGTTTTGAAGGAGCAGTTTTGAAACACTCTTTTTCTGGAATCTGCAAGAGGATATTTGCTTAGCCTTGAGGATTTCGTTGGAAACGGGATTGTCTTCAGATCAAATCTAGACAGAAGCATTCTCAGAAACTTCTTTGGGATGTTTGCATTCAAGTCACAGAGTAGAACATTCCCTTTGGTAGAGCAGGTTTGAAACACTCTTTTTTTAGTATATGGAAGTGGACATTTGGAGCGCTTTCAGGCCTACGTTGGAAAAGGAAATATCTTCCCATAACAACTAGACAGAAGCATTCTCAGAAACTAGTTTCTGATGTGTGTCCTCAACTAACACAGTTGTACATTTCTTTATACAGAATAGTTTTGAAACACTCTTTTTGTGGAATCTGCAAGTGGATATTGGGCTAGATTTGAGGATTTCGTTGGAAACGGGATTACATATAAAAAGCAGTCAGCAGCATTCTCAGAAAGTTCTTTGTGATGATTGCATTCAAGTCACAGAATTGAACATTCCCTTTCACAGAGGAGGTTTGAAACACTCTTTTTGTAGGGTGTGTAAGTGGACATTTGGAGCGCTTTCCGGCCTAAGGTGAAAAAGGACATATCTTCCCATAAAAACTAGACAGAAGCATTCTCAGAAACTTACTCGTGATGTGTGCCCTCAACTAAAGGAGTAGAACCTTTCTATTCATAGAGAAGTTTTGAAACGCTCTTTTTGTGGAATCTCCAAGTGGATATTTGGCTAGTTTTGAGGATTTCGTTGGAAGCGGGTATTCATCCAAATTGCAGACTGCAGCGTTCTGAGAAACATCTTTGTGATGTTTGTATTCAGGACACAGAGTTGAACATTCCCTATCATAGAGCAGGTTGGAATCACTCCTTTTGTAGTATCTGGAAGTGGACATTTGGAGCGCTTTCAGGCCTATGTTGAAAAAGGAAATATCTTCCCATAACAAGTAGACACCAAGCATTCTCAGAAACTTATTTGAGATGTGTGTACTCAACTTAGAGAATTGAACCACCGTTTTGAAGGAGCAGTTTTGAAACACTCTTTTTCTGGAATCTGCAAGTGGATATTTGGCTAGCTTTGGGGATTTCGCTGGAAGCGGGAATACATATAAAAAGCACACAGCAGCGTTCTGAGAAACTGCTTTCTGATGTTTGCATTCAAGTCAAAAGTTGAACACTCCCTTTCATAGAGCAGTCCTGAAACACTCCTTTTGTAGTATCTGGAACTGGACTTTTGGAGCGCTTTCAGGGCTAAGGTGAAAAAGGAAATATCTTCCCATAAAAACTGGACAGAAGCATTCTCAGAAACTTGTTTATGCTGTATCTACTCAACTAACAAAGTTGAACCTTTCTTTTGATAGAGCAGTTTTGAAATGGTCTTTTTGTGGAATCTGCAAGTGGATATTTGGCTAGTTTTGAGGATTTCGTTGGAAGCGGGAATTCATACAAATTGCAGACTGCAGCGTTCTGAGAAACATCTTTGTGATGTTTGTATTCAGGACACAGAGTTGAACATTCCCTATCATAGAGCAGGTTGGAATCACTCCTTTTGTAGTATCTGGAAGTGGACATTTGGAGCGCTTTCAGGCCTATGTTGAAAAAGGAAATATCTTCCCATAACAACTAGACACAAGCATTCTCAGAAACTTGTTTGTGATGTGTGCCCTCTACTGACAGAGTTGAACCTTTCTTTTCATAGAGCAGTTTTGAAACACTCTTTTTGTAGAATCTGCAAGAGGATATTTGCATAGCTTTGAGGATTTCGTGGGAAACGGGATTGTCTTCAGGTAAAATCTAGACAGAAGCATTCTCAGAAACTTCTTTGGGATGTTTGCATTCAAGTCACAGAGTAGAACATTCCCTTTGGTAGAGCAGGTTTGAAACACTCTTTTTGTAGTATCTGGAAGTGGACATTTGGAGCGCTTTCAGGCCCATGTTGGAAAGGGAAATATCTTCCCGTAACAACTAGGCAGAAGCATTCTCAGAAACTTATTTGAGATGTGTGTACTCAACTTAAGAGAATTGAACCACCGTTTTGAAGGAGCAGTTTTGAAACACTCTTTTTCTGGAATCTGCAAGAGGATATTTGCATAGCTTTGAGGATTTCGTTGGAAACGGGATTGTCTTCAGATCAAATCTAGACAGAAGCATTCTCAGAAACTTCTTTGGGATGTTTGCATTCAAGTCACAGAGTAGAACATTCCCTTTGGTAGAGCAGGTTTGAAACACTCTTTTTTTAGTATATGGAAGTGGACATTTGGATCGCTTTCAGGCCTACGTTGGAAAAGGAAATATCTTCCCATAACAACTAGACAGAAGCATTCTCAGAAACTAGTTTCTGATGTGTGTCCTCAACTAACACAGTTGAACATTTCTATAGACAGAACAGTTTTGAAACACTCTTTTTGTGGAATCTGCAAGTGGCTATTTGGCTAGATTTGAGGATTTCGTTGGAAACGGGATTACATATAAAAAGCAGTCAGCAGCATTCTCAGAAAGTTCTTTGTGATGATTGCATTCAAGTCACAGAATTGAACATTCCCTTTCACAGAGCAGGTTTGAAACACTCTTTTTATAGTGTGTGTAAGTGGACATTTGGAGCACTTTCCGGCCTAAGGTGAAAAAGGAAATATCTTCCCATAAAAACTAGACAGAAGCATTCTCAGAAACTTACTCGTGATGTGTGTCCTCAACTAAAGGAGTAGAACATTTCTATTCATAGAGAAGTTTTGAAACGCTCTTTTTGTGGAATCTCCAAGTGGATATTTGGCTAGTTTTGAGGATTTCGTTGGAAGCGGGAATTCATACAAATTGCAGACTGCAGCGTTCTGAGAAACATCTTTGTGATGTTTGTATTCAGGACACAGAGTTGAACATTCCCTATCATAGAGCAGGTTTGAATCACTCCTTTTGTAGTATCTGGAAGTGGACATTTGGAGCGCTTTCAGGCCTATGTTGGAAAAGGAAATATCTTCCCATAACAACTAGACAGAAGCATTCCCAGAAACTTATTTGAGATGTGTGTACTCAACTAAGAGAATTGAACCACCATTTTGAAGGAGCAGTTTGGAAACACTCTTTTTCTGGAATCTGCAAGTGGATATTTGGCTAGCTTTGGGGATTTCGCTGGAAGCGGGAATACATATAAAAAGCACACAGCAGCGTTCTGAGAAACTGCTTTCTGATGTTTGCATTCAAGTCAAAAGTTGAACACTCCCTTTCATAGTAGCAGTCCTGAAACACCCCTTTTGTAGTATCTGGAACTGGACTTTTGGAGCGATTTCAGGGCTAAGGTGAAAAAGGAAATATCTTCCCATAAAAACTGGACAGAAGCATTCTCAGAAACTTGTTTATGCTGTATCTACTCAACTAACAAAGTTGAACCTTTCTTTTGATAGAGCAGTTTTGAAATGGTCTTTTTGTGGAATCTGCAAGTGGATATTTGGCTAGTTTTGAGGATTTCGTTGGAAGCGGGAATTCATACAAATTGCAGACTGCAGCGTTCTGAGAAACATCTTTGTGATGTTTGTATTCAGGACACAGAGTTGAACATTCCCTATCATAGAGCAGGTTGGAATCACTCCTTTTGTAGTATCTGGAAGTGGACATTTGGAGCGCTTTCAGGCCTATTTTGGAAAGGGAAATATCTTCCCGTAACAACTATGCAGAAGCATTCTCAGAAACTTGTTTGTGATGTGTGCCCTCTACTGACAGAGTTGAACCTTTCTTTTCATAGAGCAGTTTTGAAACACTCTTTTTGTA
This sequence comes from Homo sapiens, assembly GCF_000001405.40. NCBI lineage: Eukaryota > Metazoa > Chordata > Mammalia > Primates > Hominidae > Homo > Homo sapiens. Next base: position 20,153,904 of record NC_000018.10, read on the forward strand.
GAATCTGCAAGAGGATATTTGCATAGCTTTGAGGATTTCGTGGGAAACGGGATTGTCTTCAGGTAAAATCTAGACAGAAGCATTCTCAGAAACTTCTTTGGGATGTTTGCATTCAAGTCACAGAGTAGAACATTCCCTTTGGTAGAGCAGGTTTGAAACACTCTTTTTGTAGTATCTGGAAGTGGACATTTGGAGCGCTTTCAGGCCCATGTTGGAAAGGGAAATATCTTCCCGTAACAACTAGGCAGAAGCATTCTCAGAAACTTATTTGAGATGTGTGGACTCAACTAAGAGAATTGAACCACCGTTTTGAAGGAGCAGTTTTGAAACACTCTTTTTCTGGAATCTGCAAGAGTATATTTGCCTAGCCTTGAGGATTTCGTTTGAAACGGGATTGTCTTCAGATAAAATCTAGACAGAAGCATTCTCAGAAACTTCTTTGGGATGTTTGCATTCAAGTCACAGAGTAGAACATTCCCTTTGGTAGAGCAGGTTTGAAACACTCTTTTTTTAGTATATGGAAGTGGACATTTGGAGCGCTTTCAGGCCTACGTTGGAAAAGGAAATATCTTCCCATAACAACTAGACAGAAGCATTCTCAGAAACTAGTTTCTGATGTGTGTCCTCAACTAACACAGTTGAACTTTTCTTTAGACAGAACAGTTTTGAAACACTCTTTTTGTGGAATCTGCAAGTGGCTATTTGGCAAGATTTGAGGATTTCGTTGGAAACGGGATTACATATAAAAAGCAGTCAGCAGCATTCTCAGAAAGTTCTTTGTGATGATTGCATTCAAGTCACAGTATTGAACATTCCCTTTCACAGAGCAGGTTTGAAACACTCTTTTTGTAGTGTGTGTAAGTGGACATTTGGAGCACTTACCGGCCTAAGGTGAAAAAGGAAATATCTTCCCATAAAAACTAGACAGAAGCATTCTCAGAAACTTACTCGTGATGTGTGTCCTCAACTAAAGTAGTAGAACCTTTCTTTTCATAGAGAAGTTTTGAAACGCTCTTTTTGTGGAATCTGCAAGTGGATATTTGGCTAGTTTTGAGGATTTCGTTGGAAGCGGGAATTCATACAAATTGCAGACTGCAGCGTTCTGAGAAACATCTTTGTGATGTTTGTATTCAGGACACAGAGTTGAACATTCCCTATCATAGAGCAGGTTTGAATCACTCCTTTTGTAGTATCTGGAAGTGGACATTTGGAGCGCTTTCAGGCCTATGTTGGAAAAGGAAATATCTTCCCATAACAACTAGACAGAAGCATTCTCAGAAACTTATTTGAGATGTGTGTACTCAACTAAGAGAATTGAACCACCGTTTTGAAGGAGCAGTTTTGAAACTCTCTTTTTCTGGAATCTGCAAGTGGATATTTGGCTAGCTTTGGGGATTTCGCTGGAAGCGGGAATACATATAAAAAGCACACAGCAGCGTTCTGAGAAACTGCTTTCTGATGTTTGCATTCAAGTCAAAAGTTGAACACTCCCTTTCATAGAGCAGTCCTGAAACACTCCTTTTGTAGTATCTGGAACTGGACTTTTGGAGCGCTTTCAGGGCTAAGGTGAAAAAGGAAATATCTTCCCATAAAAACTGGACAGAAGCATTCTCACAAACTTGTTTATGCTGTATCTACACAACTAACAAAGTTGAACCTTTCTTTTGATAGAGCAGTTTTGAAATGCTCTTTTTGTGGAATCTGCAAGTGGATATTTGGCTAGTTTTGAGGATTTCGTTGGAAGCGGGAATTCATACAAGTTGCAGTTTGCAGCGTTCTGAGAAACATCTTTGTGATGTTTGTATTCAGGACAGAGAGTTGAACATTCCCTATCATAGAGCAGGTTGGAATCACTCCTTTTGTAGTATCTGGAAGTGGACATTTGGAGCGCTTTCAGGCCTATGTTGAAAAAGGAAATATCTTCCCATAACAACTAGACACAAGCATTCTCAGAAACTTGTTGATGATGTGTTTCCTCTACTGACAGAGTTGAACCTTTCCTTTTCATAGAGCAGTTTCGAAACACTCTTTTTGTAGAATCTGCAAGAGGATATTTGCATAGCTCTGAGGATTTCGTGGGAAACGGGATTGTCTTCAGGTAAAACCTAGACAGAAGCATTCTCAGAAACTTCTTTGGGATGTTTGCATTCAAGTCACAGAGTAGAACATTCCCTTTGGTAGAGCAGGTTTGAAACACTCTTTTTGTAGTATCTGGAAGTGGACATTTGGAGCGCTTTCAGGCCCATGTTGGAAAGGGAAATATCTTCCCGTAACAACTAGGCAGAAAGCATTCTCAGAAACTTATTTGAGATGTGTGTACTCAACTAAGAGAATTGAACCACCGTTTTGAAGGAGCAGTTTTGAAACACTCTTTTTCTGGAATCTGCAAGAGTATATTTGCCTAGCCTTGAGGATTTCGTTGGAAACGGGATTGTCTTCAGAGAAAATCTAGACAGAGCATTCTCAGAAACTTCTTTGGGATGTTTGCATTCAAGTCACAGAGTAGAACATTCCCTTTGGTAGAGCAGGTTTGAAACACTCTTTTTTTAGTATATGGAAGTGGACATTTGGAGCGCTTTCAGGCCTACGTTGGAAAAGGAAATATCTTCCCATAACAACTAGACAGAAGCATTCTCAGAAACTAGTTTCTGATGTGTGTCCTCAACTAACACAGTTGAACATTTCTTTAGACAGAACAGTTTTGAAACACTCTTTTTGTGGAATCTGCAAGTGGCTATTTGGCTAGATTTGAGGATTTCGTTGGAAACGGGATTACATATAAAAAGCAGACAGCGGCATTCTCAGAAAGTTCTTTGTGATGATTGCATTCAAGTCACAGAATTGAACATTCCCTTTCACAGAGCAGGTTTGAAACACTCTTTTTGTAGTGTGTGTAAGTGGACATTTGGAGCACTTACCGGCCTAAGGTGAAAAAGGAAATAATCTTCCCATAAAAACTAGACAGAAGCATTCTCAGAAACTTACTCGTGATGTGTGTCCTCAACTAAAGGAGTAGAACCTTTCTTTTCATAGAGAAGTTTTGAAACGCTCTTTTTGTGGAATCTGCAAGTGGATATTTGGCTAGTTTGGAGGATTTCGTTGGAAGCGGGAATTCATACAAATTGCAGACTGCAGCGTTCTGAGAAACATCTTTGTGATGTTTGTATTCAGGACACAGAGATGAACATTCCCTATCATAGAGCAGGTTGGAATCACTCCTTTTGTAGTATCTGGAAGTGGACATTTGGAGCGCTTTCAGGCCTATGTTGAAAAAGGAAATATCTTCCCATAACAACTAGACACAAGCATTCTCAGAAACTTATTTGAGATGTGTGTACTCAACTAAGAGAATTGAACCACCGTTTTGAAGGAGCAGTTTTGAAACACTCTTTTTCTGGAATCTGCAAGTGGATATTTGGCTAGCTTTGGGGATTTCGCTGGAAGCGGGAATACATATAAAAAGCACACAGCAGCGTTCTGAGAAACTGCTTTCTGATGTTTGCATTCAAGTCAAAAGTTGAACACTCCCTTTCATAGAGCAGTCCTGAAACACTCCTTTTGTAGTATCTGGAACTGGACTTTTGGAGCGCTTTCAGGGCTAAGGTGAAAAAGGAAATATCTTCCCATAAAAACTGGACAGAAGCATTCTCAGAAACTTGGTTATGCTGTATCTACTCAACTAACAAAGTTGAACCTTTCTTTTGATAGAGCAGTTTTGAAATGGTCTTTTTGTGGAATCTGCAAGTGGATATTTGGCTAGTTTTGAGGATTTCGTTGGAAGCGGGAATTCATACAAATTGCAGACTGCAGCGTTCTGAGAAACATCTTTGTGATGTTTGTATTCAGGACACAGAGTTGAACATTCCCTATCATAGAGCAGGTTGAAATCACTCCTTTTGTAGTATCTGGAAGTGGACATTTGGAGCGCTTTCAGGCCTATGTTGAAAAAGGAAATATCTTCCCATAACAAGTAGACACAAGCATTCTCAGAAACTTGTTTGTGATGTGTGCCCTCTACTGACAGAGTTGAACCTTTCTTTTCATAGAGCAGTTTTGAAACACTCTTTTTGTAGAATCTGCAAGAGGATATTTGCATAGCTTTGAGGATTTCGTGGGAAACGGGATTGTCTTCAGGTAAAATCTAGACAGAAGCATTCTCAGAAAATTCTTCGGGATGTTTGCATTCAAGTCACAGAGTAGAACATTCCCTTTGGTAGAGCAGGTTTGAAACACTCTTTTTGTAGTATCTGGAAGTGGACATTTGGAGCGCTTTCAGGCCTATGTTGGAAAGGGAAATATCTTCCCGTAACAACTAGGCAGAAGCATTCTCAGAAACTTATTTGAGATGTGTGTACTCAACTAAGAGAATTGAACCACCGTTTTGAAGGAGCAGTTTTGAAACACTCTTTTTCTGGAATCTGCAAGAGTATATTTGCCTAGCCTTGAGGATTTCGTTGGAAACGGGATTGTCTTCAGATCAAATCTAGACAGAAGCATTCTCAGAAACTTCTTTGGGATGTTTGCATTCAAGTCACAGAGTAGAATATTCCCTTTGGTAGAGCAGGTTTGAAACACTCTTTTTTTAGTATATGGAAGTGGACATTTGGAGCGCTTTCAGGCCTACGTTGGAAAAGGAAATATCTTCCCATAACAACTAGACAGAAGCATTCTCAGAAACTAGTTTCTGATGTGTGTCCTCAACTAACACAGTTGAACATTTCTTTAGACAGAACAGTTTTGAAACACTCTTTTTGTGGAATCTGCAAGTGGCTATTTGGCTAGATTTGAGGATTTCGTTGGAAACGGGATTACATATAAAAAGCAGACAGCAGCATTCTCAGAAAGTTCTTTGTGATGATTGCATTCAAGTCACAGAATTGAACATTCCCTTTCACAGAGCAGGTTTGAAACACTCTTTTTGTAGTGTGTGTAAGTGGACATTTGGAGCACTTACCGGCCTAAGGTGAAAAAGGAAATATCTTCCCATAAAAACTAGACAGAGCATTCTCAGAAACTTACTCGTGATGTGTGTCCTCAACTAAAGGAGTAGAACCTTTCTTTTCATAGAGAAGTTTTGAAACGCTCTTTTTGTGGAATCTGCAAGTGGATATTTGGCTAGTTTTGAGGATTTCGTTGGAAGCGGGAATTCATACAAATTGCAGACTGCAGCGTTCTGAGAAACATCTTTGTGATGTTTGTATTCACGACACAGAGTTGAACATTCCCTATCATAGAGCAGGTTGGAATCACTCCTTTTGTAGTATCTGGAAGTGGACATTTGGAGCGCTTTCAGGCCTATGTTGGAAAAGGAAATATCTTCCCATAACAACTAGACAGAAGCATTCTCAGAAACTTATTTGAGATGTGTGTACTCAACTAAGAGAATTGAACCACCGTTTTGAAGGAGCAGTTTTGAAACACTCTTTTTCTGGAATCTGCAAGTGGATATTTGGCTAGCTTTGGGGATTTCGCTGGAAGCGGGAATACATATAAAAAGCACACAGCAGCGTTCTGAGAAACTGCTTTCTGATGTTTGCATTCAAGTCAAAAGTTGAACACTCCCTTTCATAGAGCAGTCTTGAAACACCCCTTTTGTAGTATCTGGAACTGGACTTTTGGAGCGATTTCAGGGCTAAGGTGAAAAAGGAAATATCTTCCCATAAAAACTGGACAGAAGCATTCTCAGAAACTTGTTTATGCTGTATCTACTCAACTAACAAAGTTGAACCTTTCTTTTGATAGAGCAGTTTTGAAATGGTCTTTTTGTGGAATCTGCAAGTGGATATTTGGCTAGTTTTGAGGATTTCGTTGGAAGCGGGAATTCATACAAATTGCAGACTGCAGCGTTCTGAGAAACATCTTTGTGATGTTTGTATTCAGGACACAGAGTTGAACATTCCCTATCATAGAGCAGGTTTGAATCACTCCTTTTGTAGTATCTGGAAGTGGACATTTGGAGCGCTTTCAGGCCTATGTTGGAAAAGGAAATATCTTCCCATAACAACTAGACAGAAGCATTCTCAGAAACTTATTTGAGATGTGTGTACTCAACTAAGAGAATTGAACCACCGTTTTGAAGGAGCAGTTTTGAAACACTCTTTTTCTGGAATCTGCAAGTGGATATTTGGCTAGCTTTGGGGATTTCGCTGGAAGCGGGAATACATATAAAAAGCACACAGCAGCATTCTCAGAAACTTATTTGAGATGTGTGTACTCAACTAAGAGAATTGAACCACCGTTTTGAAGGAGCAGTTTTGAAACACTCTTTTTCTGGAATCTGCAAGTGGATATTTGGCTAGCTTTGGGGATTTCGCTGGAAGCGGGAATACATATAAAAAGCACACAGCAGCGTTCTGAGAAACTGCTTTCTGATGTTTGCATTCAAGTCAAAAGTTGAACACTCCCTTTCATAGAGCAGTCTTGAAACACCCCTTTTGTAGTATCTGGAACTGGACTTTTGGAGCGATTTCAGGGCTAAGGTGAAAAAGGAAATATCTTCCCATAAAAACTGGACAGAAGCATTCTCAGAAACTTGGTTATGCTGTATCTACTCAACTAACAAAGTTGAACCTTTCTTTTGATAGAGCAGTTTTGAAATGGTCTTTTTGTGGAATCTGCAAGTGGATATTTGGCTAGTTTTGAGGATTTCGTTGGAAGCGGGAATTCATACAAATTGCAGACTGCAGCGTTCTGAGAAACATCTTTGTGATGTTTGTATTCAGGACACAGAGTTGAACATTCCCTATCATAGAGCAGGTTGGAATCACTCCTTTTGTAGTATCTGGAAGTGGACATTTGGAGCGCTTTCAGGCCTATTTTGGAAAGGGAAATATCTTCCCGTAACAACTATGCAGAAGCATTCTCAGAAACTTGTTTGTGATGTGTGCCCTCTACTGACAGAGTTGAACCTTTCTTTTCATAGAGCAGTTTTGAAACACTCTTTTTGTAGAATCTGCAAGAGGATATTTGCATAGCTTTGAGGATTTCGTGGGAAACGGGATTGTCTTCAGGTAAAATCTAGACAGAAGCATTCTCAGAAACTTCTTTGGGATGTTTGCATTCAAGTCACAGAGCAGAACATTCCCTTTGGTAGAGCAGGTTTGAAACACTCTTTTTGTAGTATCTGGAAGTGGACATTTGGAGCGCTTTCAGGCCTATGTTGGAAAGGGAAATATCTTCCCGTAACAACTAGGCAGAAGCATTCTCAGAAACTTATTTGAGATGTGTGTACTCAACTAAGAGAATTGAACCACCGTTTTGAAGGAGCAGTTTTGAAACACTCTTTTTCTGGAATCTGCAAGAGGATATTTGCCTAGCCTTGAGGATTTCGTTGGAAACGGGATTGTCTTCAGATCAAATCTAGACAGAAGCATTCTCAGAAACTTCTTTGGGATGTTTGCATTCATGTCACAGAGTAGAACATTCCCTTTGGTAGAGCAGGTTTGAAACACTCTTTTTTTAGTATATGGAAGTGGACATTTGGAGCGCTTTCAGGCCTACGTTGGAAAAGGAAATATCTTCCCATAACAACTAGACAGAAGCATTCTCAGAAACTAGTTTCTGATGTGTGTCCTCAACTAACACAGTTGAACATTTCTTTAGACAGAACAGTTTTGAAACACTCTTTTTGTGGAATCTGCAAGTGGCTATTTGGCTAGATTTGAGGATTTCGTTGGAAACGGGATTACATATAAAAAGCAGACAGCAGCATTCTCAGAAACTTCTTTGTGATGATTGCATTCAAGTCACAGAATTGAACATTCCCTTTCACAGAGCAGGTTTGAAACACTCTTTTTGTAGTGTGTGTAAGTGGACATTTGGAGCGCTTTCCGGCCTAAGGTGAACAAGGAAATATCTTCCCATAAAAACTAGACAGAAGTATTCTCAGAAACTTACTCGTGATGTGTGTCCTCAACTAAAGGAGTAGAACCTTTCTTTTCATAGAGAAGTTTTGAAACGCTCTTTTTGTGGAATCTGCAAGTGGATATTTGGCTAGTTTTGAGGATTTCGTTGGAAGCGGGAATTCATACAAATTGCAGACTGCAGCGTTCTGAGAAACATCTTTGTGATGTTTGTATTCAGGACACAGAGTTGAACGTTCCCTATCATAGAGCAGGTTTGAATCACTCCTTTTGTAGTATCTGGAAGTGGACATTTGGAGCGCTTTCCGGCCTCAGGTGAAAAAGGAAATATCTTCCCATAAAAACTAGACAGAAGCATTCTCAGAAACTTATTTGAGATGTGTGTACTCAACTAAGAGAATTGAACCACCGTTTTGAAGGAGCAGTTTTGAAACACTCTTTTTCTGGAATCTGCAAGTGGATATTTGGCTAGCTTTGGGGATTTCGCTGGAAGCGGGAATACATATAAAAAGCACACAGCAGCGTTCTGAGAAACTGCTTTCTGATGTTTGCATTCAAGTCAAAAGTTGAACACTCCCTTTCATAGAGCAGTCCTGAAACACTCCTTTTGTAGTATCTGGAACTGGACTTTTGGAGCGCTTTCAGGGCTAAGGTGAAAAAGGAAATATCTTCCCATAAAAACTGGACAGAAGCATTCTCAGAAACTTGTTTATGCTGTATCTACTCAACTAACAAAGTTGAACCTTTCTTTTGATAGAGCAGTTTTGAAATGGTCTTTTTGTGGAATCTGCAAGTGGATATTTGGCTAGTTTTGAGGATTTCGTTGGAAGCGGGAATTCATACAAATTGCAGACTGCAGCGTTCTGAGAAACATCTTTGTGATGTTTGTATTCAGGACACAGAGTTGAACATTCCCTATCATAGAGCAGGTTGGAATCACTCCTTTTGTAGTATCTGGAAGTGGACATTTGGAGCGCTTTCAGGCCTATTTTGGAAAGGGAAATATCTTCCCGTAACAACTATGCAGAAGCATTCTCAGAAACTTGTTTGTGATGTGTGCCCTCTACTGACAGAGTTGAACCTTTCTTTTCATAGAGCAGTTTTGAAACACTCTTTTTGTAGAATCTGCAAGAGGATATTTGCATAGCTTTGAGGATTTCATGGGAAACGGGATTGTCTTCAGGAAAAATCTAGACAGAAGCATTCTCAGAAACTTCTTTGGGATGTTTGCATTCAAGTCACAGAGTAGAACATTCCCTTTGGTAGAGCAGGTTTGAAACACTCTTTTTGTAGTATCTGGAAGTGGACATTTGGAGCGCTTTCAGGCCCATGTTGGAAAGGGAAATATCTTCCCGTAACAACTAGGCAGAAGCATTCTCAGAAACTTATTTGAGATGTGTGTACTCAACTAAGAGAATTGAACCACCGTTTTGAAGGAGCAGTTTTGAAACACTCTTTTTCTGGAATCTGCAAGAGTATATTTGCCTAGCCTTGAGGATTTCGTTGGAAACGGGATTGTCTTCAGAGAAAATCTAGACAGAAGCATTCTCAGAAACTTCTTTGGGATGTTTGCATTCAAGTCACAGAGTAGAACATTCCCTTTGGTAGAGCAGGTTTGAAACACTCTTTTTTTAGTATATGGAAGTGGACATTTGGAGCGCTTTCAGGCCTACGTTGGAAAAGGAAATATCTTCCCATAACAACTAGACAGAAGCATTCTCAGAAACTAGTTTCTGATGTGTGTCCTCAACTAACACAGTTGAACATTTCTTTAGACAGAACAGTTTTGAAACACTCTTTTTGTGGAATCTGCAAGTGGCTATTTGGCTAGATTTGAGGATTTCGTTGGAAACGGGATTACATATAAAAAGCAGACAGCAGCATTCTCAGAAAGTTCTTTGTGATGATTGCATTCAAGTCACAGAATTGAACATTCCCTTTCACAGAGCAGGTTTGAAACACTCTTTTTGTAGTGTGTGTAAGTGGACATTTGGAGCGCTTTCCGGCCTAAGGTGAAAAAGGAAATATCTTCCCATAAAAACTAGACAGAAGCATTCTCAGAAACTTACTCGTGATGTGTGTCCTCAACTAAAGGAGTAGAACCTTTCTTTTCATAGAGAAGTTTTGAAACGCTCTTTTTGTGGAATCTGCAAGTGGATATTTGGCTAGTTTTGAGGATTTCGTTGGAAGCGGGAATTCATACAAATTGCAGACTGCAGCATTCTCAGAAACTTATTTGAGATGTGTGTACTCAACTAAGAGAATTGAACCACCGTTTTGAAGGAGCAGTTTTGAAACTCTCTTTTTCTGGAATCTGCAAGTGGATATTTGGCTAGCTTTGGGGATTTCGCTGGAAGCGGGAATACATATAAAAAGCACACAGCAGCGTTCTGAGAAACTGCTTTCTGATGTTTGCATTCAAGTCAAAAGTTGAACACTCCCTTTCATAGGGCAGTCCTGAAACACCCCTTTTGTAGTATCTGGAACTGGACTTTTGGAGCGATTTCAGGGCTAAGGTGAAAAAGGAAATATCTTCCCATAAAAACTGGACAGAAGCATTCTCAGAAAGTTATTTGAGATGGGTGTACTCAACTAAGAGAATTGAACCACCGTTTTCAAGGAGCAGTTTTGAAACGCTCTTTTTCTGGAATCTGCAAGTGGATATTTGGCTAGCTTTGGGGATTTCGCTGGAAGCGGGAATACATATAAAAAACACACAGCCAGCGTTCTGAGCAAACTGCTTTCTGATGTTTGCATTCAAGTCAAAAGTTGAACACTCCCTTTCATAGAGCAGTCTTGAAACACCCCTTTTGTAGTATCTGGAACTGGACTTTTGGAGCGATTTCAGGGCTAAGGTGAAAAAGGAAATATCTTCCCATAAAAACTGGACAGAAGCATTCTCAGAAACTTGTTTATGCTGTATCTACTCAACTAACAAAGTTGAACCTTTCTTTTGATAGAGCAGTTTTGAAATGGTCTTTTTGTGGAATCTGCAAGTGGATATTTGGCTAGTTTTGAGGATTTCGTTGGAAGCGGGAATTCATACAAATTGCAGACTGCAGCGTTCTGAGAAACATCTTTGTGATGTTTGTATTCAGGACAGAGAGTTGAACATTCCCTATCATAGAGCAGGTTGGAATCACTCCTTTTGTAGTATCTGGAAGTGGACATTTGGAGCACTTTCCGGCCTAAGGTGAAAAAGGAAATATCTTCCCATAAAAACTAGACAGAAGCATTCTCAGAAACTTACTCGTGATGTGTGTCCTCCACTAAATGAGTAGAACCTTTCTTTTCATAGAGAAGTTTTGAAACGCTCTTTTTGTAGAATCTGCAAGAGGATATTTGCATAGCTTTGAGGATTTCGTGGGAAACGGGATTGTCTTCAGGTAAAATCTAGACAGAAAGCATTCTCAGAAAATTCTTCGGGATGTTTGCATTCAAGTCACAGAGTAGAACATTCCCTTTGGTAGAGCAGGTTTGAAACACTCTTTTTGTAGTATCTGGAAGTGGACATTTGGAGCGCTTTCAGGCCTATGTTGGAAAGGGAAATATCTTCCCGTAACAACTAGGCAGAAGCATTCTCAGAAACTTATTTGAGATGTGTGTACTGAACTAAGAGAATTGAACCACCGTTTTGAAGGAGCAGGTTTGAAACACTCTTTTTGTAGTATCTGGAAGTGGACATTTGGAGCGCTTTCAGGCCTATGTTGGAAAGGGAAATATCTTCCCGTAACAACTAGGCAGAAGCATTCTCAGAAACTTATTTGAGATGTGTGTACTCAACTAAGAGAATTGAACCACCGTTTTGAAGGAGCAGTTTTGAAACACTCTTTTTCTGGAATCTGCAAGAGGATATTTGCATAGATTTGAGGATTTCGTTGGCAACGGGATTGTCTTCAGATCCAATCTAGACAGAAGCATTCTCAGAAACTTCTTTGGGATGTTTGCATTCAAGTCACAGAGTAGAACATTCCCTTTGGTAGAGCAGGTTTGAAACACTCTTTTTGTAGTGTGTGTAAGTGGACATTTGGAGCGCTTTCTGGCCTACGTTGGAAAAGGAAATATCTTCCCATAACAACTAGACAGAAGCATTCTCAGAAACTAGTTTCTGATGTGTGTCCTCAACTAACACAGTTGAACATTTCTTTAGACAGAACAGTTTTGAAACACTCTTTTTGTGGAATCTGCAAGTGGCTATTTGGCTAGATTTGAGGATTTCGTTGGAAACGGGATTACATATAAAAAGCAGTCAGCAGCATTCTCAGAAAGTTCTTTGTGATGATTGCATTCAAGTCACAGAATTGAACATTCCCTTTCACAGAGCAGGTTTGAAACACTCTTTTTGTAGTGTGTGTAAGTGGACATTTGGAGCGCTTTCCGGCCTAAGGTGAAAAAGGACATATCTTCCCATAAAAACTAGACAGAAGCATTCTCAGAAACTTACTCGTGATGTGTGTCCTCAACTAAAGGAGTAGAACCTTTCTATTCATAGAGAAGTTTTGAAACGCTCTTTTTGTGGAATCTCCAAGTGGATATTTGGCTAGTTTTGAGGATTTCGTTGGAAGCGGGAAGTCATACAAATTGCAGACTGCAGCGTTCAGAGAAACATCTTTGTGATGTTTGTATTCAAGACACAGAGATGAACATTCCCTATCATAGAGCATGTTGGAATCACTCCTTTTGTAGTATCTGGAAGTGGACATTTGGAGCGCTTTCAGGCCTATGTTGAAAAAGGAAATATCTTCCCATAACAACTAGACACAAGCATTCTCAGAAACTTGTTTGTGATGTGTGCCCTCTACTGACAGAGTTGAACCTTTCTTTTCATAGAGCAGTTTTGAAACACTCTTTTTGTAGAATCCGCAAGAGGATATTTGCATAGCTTTGAGGATTTCGTGGGAAACGGGATTGTCTTCAGGTAAAATCTAGACAGAAGCATTCTCAGAAACTTCTTTGGGATGTTTGCATTCAAGTCACAGAGTAGAACATTCCCTTTGGTAGAGCAGGTTTGAAACACTCTTTTTGTAGTATCTGGAAGTGGACATTTGGAGCGCTTTCAGGCCTATGTTGGAAAGGGAAATATCTTCCCGTAACAACTAGGCAGAAGCATTCTCAGAAACTTATTTGAGATGTGTGTACTCAACTAAGAGAATTGAACCACCGTTTTGAAGGAGCAGTTTTGAAACACTCTTTTTCTGGAATCTGCAAGAGTATATTTGCCTGGCCTTGAGGATTTCGTTGGAAACGGGATTGTCTTCAGATAAAATCTAGACAGAAGCATTCTCAGAAACTTCTTTGGGATGTTTGCATTCAAGTCACAGAGTAGAACATTCCCTTTGGTAGAGCAGGTTTGAAACACTCTTTTTTTAGTATATGGAAGTGGACATTTGGAGCGCTTCAGGCCTACGTTGGAAAAGGAAATATCTTCCCATAACAACTAGACAGAAGCATTCTCAGAAACTAGTTTCTGATGTGTGTCCTCAACTAACACAGTTGAACATTTCTTTAGACAGAACAGTTTTGAAACACTCTTTTTGTGGAATCTGCAAGTGGCTATTTGGCTAGATTTGAGGATTTCGTTGGAAACGGGATTACATATAAAAAGCAGTCAGCAGCATTCTCAGAAAGTTCTTTGTGATGATTGCATTCAAGTCACAGAATTGAACATTCCCTTTCACAGAGCAGGTTTGAAACACTCTTTTTGTAGTGTGTGTAAGTGGACATTTGGAGCACTTTCCGGCCTAAGGTGAAAAAGGAAATATCTTCCCATAAAAACTAGACAGAAGCATTCTCAGAAACTTACTCGTGATGTGTGTCCTCAACTAAAGGAGTAGAACCTTTCTTTTCATAGAGAAGTTTTGAAACGCTCTTTTTGTGGAATCTGCAAGTGGATATTTGGCTAGTTTTGAGGATTTCGTTGGAAGCGGGAATTCATACAAATTGCAGACTGCAGCGTTCTGAGAAACATCTTTGTGATGTTTGTATTCAGGACACAGAGAGGAACATTCCCTATCATAGAGCAGGTTCGAATCACTCCTTTTGTAGTATCTGGAAGTGGACATTTGGAGCGCTTTCAGGCCTATGTTGAAAAAGGAAATATCTTCCCATAACAACTAGACACAAGCATTCTCAGAAACTTATTTGAGATGTGTGTACTCAACTAAGAGAATTGAACCACCGTTTTGAAGGAGCAGTTTTGAAACACTCTTTTTCTGGAATCTGCAAGTGGATATTTGGCTAGCTTTGGGGGATTTCGCTGGAAGCGGGAATACATATAAAAAGCACACAGCAGCGTTCTGAGAAACTGCTTTCTGATGTTTGCATTCAAGTCAAAAGTTGAACACTCCCTTTCATAGAGCAGTCCTGAAACACTCCTTTTGTAGTATCTGGAACTGGACTTTTGGAGCGCTTTCAGGGCTAAGGTGAAAAAGGAAATATCTTCCCATAAAAACTGGACAGAAGCATTCTCAGAAACTTGTTTATGCTGTATCTACTCAACTAACAAAGTTGAACCTTTCTTTTGATAGAGCAGTTTTGAAATGGTCTTTTTGTGGAATCTGCAAGTGGATATTTGGCTAGTTTTGAGGATTTCGTTGGAAGCGGGAATTCATACAAATTGCAGACTGCAGCGTTCTGAGAAACATCTTTGTGATGTTTGTATTCAGGACACAGAGTTGAACATTCCCTATCATAGAGCAGGTTTGAATCACTCCTTTTGTAGTATCTGGAAGTGGACATTTGGAGCGCTTTCAGGCCTATGTTGGAAAAGGAAATATCTTCCCATAACAAATAGACAGAAGCATTCTCAGAAACTTATTTGAGATGTGTGTACTCAACTAAGAGAATTGAACCACCGTTTTGAAGGAGCAGTTTTGAAACACTCTTTGTCTGGAATCTGCAAGTGGATATCTGGCTAGCTTTGGGGATTTCGCTGGAAGCGGGAATACATATAAAAAGCACACCGCAGCATTCTCAGAAACTTCTTTGGGATGTTTGCATTCAAATCACAGAGTAGAACATTCCCTTTGGTAGAGCAGGTTTGAAACACTCTTTTTGTAGTGTCTGGAAGTGGACATTTGGAGCGCTTTCAGGCCCATGTTGGAAAGGGAAATATCTTCCCGTAACAACTAGGCAGAAGCATTCTCAGAAACTTATTTGAGATGTGTGTACTCAACTAAGAGAATTGAACCACCGTTTTGAAGGAGCAGTTTTGAAACACTCTTTTTCTGGAATCTGCATGAGTATATTTGCCTAGCCTTGAGGATTTCGTTGGAAACGGGATTGTCTTCAGATAAAATCTAGACAGAAGCATTCTCAGAAACTTCTTTGGGATGTTTGCATTCAAGTCACAGAGTAGAACATTCCCTTTGGTAGAGCAGGTTTGAAACACTCTTTTTTTAGTATATGGAAGTGGACATTTGGAGCGCTTTCAGGCCTACGTTGGAAAAGGAAATATCTTCCCATAACAACTAGACAGAAGCATTCTCAGAAACTAGTTTCTGATGTGTGTCCTCAACTGACACAGTTGTACATTTCTTTAGACAGAACAGTTTTGAAACACTCTTTTTGTGGAATCTGCAAGTGGATATTGGGCTAGATTTGAGGATTTCGTTGGAAACGGGATTACATATAAAAAGCAGTCAGCAGCATTCTCAGAAAGTTCTTTGTGATGATTGCATTCAAGTCACAGAATTGAACATTCCCTTTCACAGAGCAGGTTTGAAAGACTCTTTTTGTAGTGTGTGTAAGTGGACATTTGGAGCACTTACCGGCCTAAGGTGAAAAAGGAAATATCTTCCCATAAAAACTAGACAGAAGCATTCTCAGAAACTTACTCGTGATGTGTGTCCTCAACTAAAGGAGTAGAACCTTTCTATTCATAGAGAAGTTTTGAAATGCTCTTTTTGTGGAATCTCCAAGTGGATATTAGGCTAGTTTTGAGGATTTCGTTGGAAGCGGGAATTCATACAAATTGCAGACTGCAGCGTTCTGAGAAACTGCTTTCTGATGTTTGCATTCAAGTCAAAAGTTGAACACTCCCTTTCATAGAGCAGTCCTGAAACACCCCTTTTGTAGTATCTGGAACTGGACTTTTGGAGCGATTTCAGGGCTAAGGTGAAAAAGGAAATATCTTCCCATAAAAACTGGACAGAAGCATTCTCAGAAACTTGTTTATGCTGTATCTACTCAACTAACAAAGTTGAACCTTTCTTTTGATAGAGCAGTTTTGAAATGCTCTTTTTGTGGAATCTGCAAGTGGATATTTGGCTAGTTTTGAGGATTTCGTTGGAAGCGGGAATTCATACAAATTGCAGACTGCAGCGTTCTGAGAAACATCTTTGTGATGTTTGTATTCAGGACAGAGAGTTGAACATTCCCTATCATAGAGCAGGTTGGAATCACTCCTTTTGTAGTATCTGGAAGTGGACATTTGGAGCGCTTTCAGGGCCTATGTTGAAAAAGGAAATATTTTCCCATAACAACTAGACACAAGCATTCTCAGAAACTTGTTTGTGATGTGTGCCCTCTACTGACAGAGTTGAACCTTTCTTTTCATAGAGCAGTTTTGAAACACTCTTTTTGTAGAATCTGCAAGAGGATATTTGCATAGCTTTGAGGATTTCGTGGGAAACGGGATTGTCTTCAGGTAAAATCTAGACAGAAGCATTCTCAGAAACTTCTTTGGGATGTTTGCATTCAAGTCACAGAGTAGAACATTCCCTTTAGTAGAGCAGGTTTGAAACACTCTTTTTGTAGTATCTGGAAGTGGACATTTGGAGCGCTTTCAGGCCCATGTTGGAAAGGGAAATATCTTCCCGTAACAACTAGGCAGAAGCATTCTCAGAAACTTATTTGAGATGTGTGTACTCAACTAAGAGAATTGAACCACCGTTTTGAAGGAGCAGTTTTGAAACACTCTTTTTCTTGAATCTGCAAGAGTATATTTGCCTAGCCTTGAGGATTTCGTTGGAAACGGGATTGTCTTCAGATAAAATCTAGACAGAAGCATTCTCAGAAACTTCTTTGGGATGTTTGCATTCAAGTCACAGAGTAGAACATTCCCTTTGGTAGAGCAGGTTTGAAACACTCTTTTTTTAGTATATGGAAGTGGACATTTGGAGCGCTTTCAGGCCTACGTTGGAAAAGGAAATATCTTCCCATAACAACTAGACAGAAGCATTCTCAGAAACTAGTTTCTGATGTGTGTCCTCAACTAACACAGTTGAACATTTCTTTAGACAGAACAGTTTTGAAACGCTCTTTTTGTGGAATCTGCAAGTGGATATTTGGCTAGTTTGGAGGATTTCGTTGGAAGCGGGAATTCATACAAATTGCAGACTGCAGCATTCTCAGAAAGTTCTTTGTGATGATTGCATTCAAGTCACAGAATTGAACATTCCCTTTCATAGAGCAGGTTTGAAACACTCTTTTTGTAGTGTGTGTAAGTGGACATTTGGAGCGCTTTCCGGCCTAAGGTGAAAAAGGACATATCTTCCCATAATAACTAGACAGAAGCATTCTCAGAAACTTACTCGTGATGTGTGTCCTCAACTGAAGGAGTAGAACCTTTCTATTCATAGAGAAGTTTTGAAACGCTCTTTTTGTGGAATCTCCAAGTGGATATTTGGCTAGTTTTGAGGATTTCGTTGGAAGCGGGAATTCATACAAATTGCAGACTGCAGCATTCTCAGAAACTTATTTGAGATGTGTGTACTCAACTAAGAGAATTGAACCACCGTTTTGAAGGAGCAGTTTTGAAACACTCTTTTTCTGGAATCTGCAAGTGGATATTTGGCTAGCTTTGGGGATTTCGCTGGAGGCGGGAATACATATAAAAAGCACACAGCAGCGTTCTGAGAAACTGCTTTCTGATGTTTGCATTCAAGTCAAAAGTTGAACACTCCCTTTCATAGAGCAGTCCTGAAACACTCCTTTTGTTGTATCTGGAACTGGACTTTTGGAGCGCTTTCAGGGCTAAGGTGAAAAAGGAAATATCTTCCCATAAAAACTGGACAGAAGCATTCTCAGAAACTTGTTTATGCTGTATCTACTCAACTAACAAAGTTGAACCTTTCTTTTGATAGAGCAGTTTTGAAATGCTCTTTTTGTGGAATCTGCAAGTGGATATTTGGCTAGTTTTGAGGATTTCGTTGGAAGCGGGAATTCATACAAATTGCAGACTGCAGCGTTCTGAGAAACATCTTTGTGATGTTTGTATTCAGGACAGAGAGTTGAACATTCCCTATCATAGAGCAGGTTGGAATCACTCCTTTTGTAGTATCTGGAAGTGGACATTTGGAGCGCTTTCAGGCCTATGTTGAAAAAGGAAATATCTTCCCATAACAACTAGACACAAGCATTCTCAGAAACTTGTTTGTGATGTGTGCCCTCTACTGACAGAGTTGAACCTTTCTTTTCATAGAGCAGTTTTGAAACACTCTTTTTGTAGAATCTGCAAGAGGATATTTGCATAGCTTTGAGGATTTCGTGGGAAACGGGATTGTCTTCAGGTAAAATCTAGACAGAAGCGTTCTCAGAAACTTCTTTGGGATGTTTGCATTCAAGTCACAGAGTAGAACATTCCCTTTGGTAGAGCAGGTTTGAAACACTCTTTTTGTAGTATCTGGAAGTGGACATTTGGAGCGCTTTCAGGCCCATGTTGGAAAGGGAAATATCTTCCCGTAACAACTAGGCAGAAGCATTCTCAGAAACTTATTTGAGATGTGTGTACTCAACTAAGAGAATTGAACCACCGTTTTGAAGGAGCAGTTTTGAAACACTCTTTTTCTGGAATCTGCAAGAGTATATTTGCCTAGCCTTGAGGATTTCGTTGGAAACGGGATTGTCTTCAGAGAAAATCTAGACAGAAGCATTCTCAGAAACTTCTTTGGGATGTTTGCATTCAAGTCACAGAGTAGAACATTCCCTTTGGTAGAGCAGGTTTGAAACACTCTTTTTTTAGTATATGGAAGTGGACATTTGGAGCGCTTTCAGGCCTACGTTGGAAAAGGAAATATCTTCCCATAACAACTAGACAGAAGCATTCTCAGAAACTAGTTTCTGATGTGTGTCCTCAACTAACACAGTTGAACTTTTCTTTAGACAGAACAGTTTTGAAACACTCTTTTTGTGGAATCTGCAAGTGGATATTTGGCTAGATTTGAGGATTTCGTTGGAAACGGAATTACATATAAAAAGCAGACAGCAGCATTCTCAGAAAGTTCTTTGTGATGATTGCATTCAAGTCACAGAATTGAACATTCCCTTTCACAGAGCAGGTTTGAAAGACTCTTTTTGTAGTGTGTGTAAGTGGACATTTGGAGCACTTACCGGCCTAAGGTGAAAAAGGAAATATCTTCCCATAAAAACTAGACAGAAGCACTCTCAGAAACTTACTCGTGATGTGTGTCCTCAACTAAAGGAGTAGAACCTTTCTTTTCATAGAGAAGTTTTGAAACGCTCTTTTTGTGGAATCTGCAAGTGGATATTTGGCTAGTTTTGAGGATTTCGTTGGAAGCGGGAATTCATACAAATTGCAGACTGCAGCGTTCTGAGAAACATCTTTGTGATGTTTGTATTCAGGACACAGAGTTGAACATTCCCTATCATCGAGCAGGTTTGAATCACTCCTTTTGTAGTATCTGGAAGTGGACATTTGGAGCGCTTTCAGGCCTATGTTGGAAAAGGAAATATCTTCCCATAACAACTAGACAGAAGCATTCTCAGAAACTTATTTGAGATGTGTGTACTCAACTAAGAGAATTGAACCACCGTTTTGAAGGAGCAGTTTTGAAACACTCTTTTTCTGGAATCTGCAAGTGGATATTTGGCTAGCTTTGGGGATTTCGCTGGAAGCGGGAATACATATAAAAAGCACACAGCAGCGTTCTGAGAAACTGCTTTCTGATGTTTGCATTCAAGTCAAAAGTTGAACACTCCCTTTCATAGAGCAGTCTTGAAACACCCCTTTTGTAGTATCTGGAACTGGACTTTTGGAGCGATTTCAGGGCTAAGGTGAAAAAGGAAATATCTTCCCATAAAAACTGGACAGAAGCATTCTCAGAAACTTGTTTATGCTGTATCTACTCAACTAACAAAGTTGAACCTTTCTTTTGATAGAGCAGTTTTGAAATGGTCTTTTTGTGGAATCTGCAAGTGGATATTTGGCTAGTTTTGAGGATTTCGTTGGAAGCGGGAATTCATACAAATTGCAGACTGCAGCGTTCTGAGAAACATCTTTGTGATGTTTGTATTCAGGACAGAGAGTTGAACATTCCCTATCATAGAGCAGGTTGGAATCACTCCTTTTGTAGTATCTGGAAGTGGACATTTGGAGCGCTTTCAGGCCTATGTTGAAAAAGGAAATATCTTCCCATAACAACTAGACACAAGCATTCTCAGAAACTTGTTTGTGATGTGTGCCCTCTACTGACAGAGTTGAACCTTTCTTTTCATAGAGCAGTTTTGAAACACTCTTTTTGTAGAATCTGCAAGAGGATATTTGCATAGCTTTGAGGATTTCGTGGGAAACGGGATTGTCTTCAGGTAAAATCTAGACAGAAGCATTCTCAGAAACTTCTTTGGGATGTTTGCATTCAAGTCACAGAGTAGAACATTCCCTTTGGTAGAGCAGGTTTGAAACACTCTTTTTGTAGTATCTGGAAGTGGACATTTGGAGCGCTTTCAGGCCCATGTTGGAAAGGGAAATATCTTCCCGTAACAACTAGGCAGAAGCATTCTCAGAAACTTATTGGAGATGTGTGTACTCAACTAAGAGAATTGAACCACCGTTTTGAAGGAGCAGTTTTGAAACACTCTTTTTCTGGAATCTGCAAGAGGATATTTGCCTAGCTTTGAGGATTTCGTTGGAAACGGGATTGTCTTCAGATCAAATCTAGACAGAAGCATTCTCAGAAAATTCTTTGGGATGTTTGCATTCAAGTCACAGAGTAGAACATTCCCTTTGGTAGAGCAGGTTTGAAACACTCTTTTTTTAGTATATGGAAGTGGACATTTGGAGCGCTTTCAGGCCTACGTTGGAAAAGGAAATATCTTCCCATAACAACTAGACAGAAGCATTCTCAGAAACTAGTTTCTGATGTGTGTCCTCAACTAACACAGTTGAACATTTCTTTAGACAGAACAGTTTTGAAACTCTCTTTTTGTGGAATCTGCAAGTGGCTATTTGGCTAGATTTGAGGATTTCGTTGGAAACGGGATTACATATAAAAAGCAGACAGCAGCATTCTCAGAACGTTCTTTGTGATGATTGCATTCAAGTCACAGAATTGAACATTCCCTTTCACAGAGCAGGTTTGAAACACTCTTTTTGTAGTGTGTGTAAGTGGACATTTGGAGCACTTTCCGGCCTAAGGTGAAAAAGGAAATATCTTCCCATAAAAACTAGACAGAAGCATTCTCAGAAACTTACTCGTGATGTGTGTCCTCAACTAAAGGAGTAGAACCTTTCTTTTCATAGAGAAGTTTTGAAACGCTCTTTTTGTGGAATCTGCAAGTGGATATTTGGCTAGTTTGGAGGATTTCGTTGGAAGCGGGAATTCATACAAATTGCAGACTGCAGCGTTCTGAGAAACATCTTTGAGATGTTTGTATTCAGGACACAGAGTTGAACATTCCCTATCATAGAGCAGGTTGGAATCACTCCTTTTGTAGTATCTGGAAGTGGACATTTGGAGCGCTTTCAGGCCTATGTTGGAAAAGGAAATATCTTCCCATAACAACTAGACAGAAGCATTCTCAGAAACTTATTTGAGATGTGTGTACTCAACTAAGAGAATTGAACCACCGTTTTGAAGGAGCAGTTTTGAAACACTCTTTTTCTGGAATCTGCAAGTGGATATTTGGCTAGCTTTGGGGATTTCGCTGGAAGCGGGAATACATATAAAAAGCACACAGCAGCGTTCTGAGAAACTGCTTTCTGATGTTTGCATTCAAGTCAAAAGTTGAACACTCCCTTTCATAGAGCAGTCCTGAAACACCCCTTTTGTAGTATCTGGAACTGGACTTTTGGAGCGATTTCAGGGCTAAGGTGAAAAAGGAAATATCTTCCCATAAAAACTGGACAGAAGCATTCTCAGAAACTTGGTTATGCTGTATCTACTCAACTAACAAAGTTGAACCTTTCTTTTGATAGAGCAGTTTTGAAATGGTCTTTTTGTGGAATCTGCAAGTGGATATTTGGCTAGTTTTGAGGATTTCGTTGGAAGCGGGAATTCATACAAATTGCAGACTGCAGCGTTCTGAGAAACAACTTTGTGATGTTTGTATTCAGGACACAGAGTTGAACATTCTCTATCATAGAGCAGGTTGGAATCACTCCTTTTGTAGTATCTGGAAGTGGACATTTGGAGCGCTTTCAGGCCTATGTTGAAAAAGGAAAT
Organism: Homo sapiens; assembly: GCF_000001405.40. Taxonomy (NCBI): domain Eukaryota; kingdom Metazoa; phylum Chordata; class Mammalia; order Primates; family Hominidae; genus Homo; species Homo sapiens. Next base: position 20,176,168 of record NC_000018.10, read on the forward strand.
ATCTTCCCATAACAACTAGACAGAAGCATTCTCAGAAACTTGTTTGTGATGTGTGCCCTCTACTGACACAGTTGAACCTTTCTTTTCATAGAGCAGTTTCGAAACACTCTTTTTGTAGAATCTGCAAGAGGATATTTGCATAGCTTTGAGGATTTCGTGGGAAACGGGATTGTCTTCAGGTAAAATCTAGACAGAAGCATTCTCAGAAACTTCTTTGGGATGTTTGCATTCAAGTCACAGAGTAGAACATTCCCTTTGGTAGAGCAGGTTTGAAACACTCTTTTTGTAGTATCTGGAAGTGGACATTTGGAGCGCTTTCAGGCCCATGTTGGAAAGGGAAATATCTTCCCGTAACAACTAGGCAGAAGCATTCTCAGAAACTTATTTGAGATGTGTGTACTCAACTAAGAGAATTGAACCACCGTTTTGAAGGAGCAGTTTTGAAACACTCTTTTTCTGGAATCTGCAAGAGTATATTTGCCTAGCCTTGAGGATTTCGTTGGAAACGGGATTGTCTTCAGAGAAAATCTAGACAGAAGCATTCTCAGAAACTTCTTTGGGATGTTAGCATTCAAGTCACAGAGTAGAACATTCCCTTTGGTAGAGCAGGTTTGAAACACTCTTTTTGTAGTGTGTGTAAGTGGACATTTGGAGCGCTTTCAGGCCTACGTTGGAAAAGGAAATATCTTCCCATAACAACTAGACAGAAGCATTCTCAGAAACTAGTTTCTGATGTGTGTCCTCAACTAACACAGTTGAACATTTCTTTTGACAGAACAGTTTTGAAACACTCTTTTTGTGGATTCTGCAAGTGGATATTTGGCTAGAGTTGCGGATTTCGTTGGAAACGGGATTACATATAAAAAGCAGACAGCAGCATACTCAGAAACTTCTTTGTGATGATTGCATTCCAGTCACAGAATTGAACATTCCCTTTCATAGAGCAGGTTTGAAACACTCTTTTTGTAGTGTCTGTAAGTGGACATTTGGAGCGCTTTCCGGCCTCAGGTGAAAAAGGAAATATCTTCCCATAAAAACTAGACAGAAGCATTCTCAGAAACTTACTCGTGATGAGTGTCCTCAACTAAAGGCTTAGAACTTTTCTTTTCATAGAGAAGTTTTGAAACGCTCTTTTTGTGGATTCTGCAAGTGGATATTTGGCTAGTTATGAGGATTTCGTTAGAAGCGGGAATTCATACAAATTTCAGACTGCAGCGTTCTGAGAAACATCTTTGTGATGTTTGTATTCAGGATACAGAGTTGAACATTCCCTATCATAGAGCAGGTTTGAATCACTCCTTTTGTAGTACCTGGAAGTGGACATTTGGAGCGCTTTCAGGCCTATGTTGGAAAAGGAAATATCTTCCCATAACAACTAGACAGAAAGCATTCTCAGAAACTTATTTGAGATGTGCGTACTCAACTAAGCAGAATTGAACCACCGTTTTGAAGGAGCAGTTTTGAAACACTCTTTTTCTGGAATCTGCAAGTGGATATCTGGCTAGCTTTGGGGATTTCGCTGGAAGCGGGAATACATATAAAAAGCACACAGCAGCGTTCTGAGAAACTGCTTTCTGATGTTTGCATTCAAGTCAAAAGTTGAACACTCCCTTTCATAGAGCAGTCCTGAAACACCCCTTTTGTAGTATCTGGAACTGGACTTTTGGAGCGATTTCAGGGCTAAGGTGAAAAAGGAAATATCTTCCCATAAAAACTGGACAGAAGCATTCTCAGAAACTTGTTTATGCTGTATCTACTCAACTAACAAAGTTGAACCTTTCTTTTGATAGAGCAGTTTTGAAATGGTCTTTTTGTGGAATCTGCAAGTGGATATTTGGCTAGTTTTGAGGATTTCGTTGGAAGCGGGAATTCATACAAATTGCAGACTGCAGCGTTCTGAGAAACATCTTTGTGATGTTTGTATTCAGGACACAGAGTTGAACATTCCCTATCATAGAGCAGGTTTGAATCACTCCTTTTGTAGTATCTGGAAGTGGACATTTGGAGTGCTTTCTGGCATATGTTGGAAAAGGAAATATCTTCCCATAACAACTAGACAGAAGCATTCTCAGAAACTTATTTGAGATGTGTCTACTCAACTAAGAGAATTGAACCACCGTTTTGAAGGAGCAGTTTTGAAACACTCTTTTTCTGGAATCTGCAAGTGGATATTTGGCTAGCTTTGGGGATTTCGCTGGAAGCGGGAATACATATAAAAAGCACACAGCAGCGTTCTGAGAAACTGCTTTCTGATGTTTGCATTCAAGTCAAAAGTTGAACACTCCCTTTCATAGAGCAGTCCTGAAACACTCCTTTTGTAGTATCTGGAACTGGACTTTTGGAGCGCTTTCAGGGCTAAGGTGAAAAAGGAAATATCTTCCCATAAAAACTGGACAGAAGCATTCTCAGAAACTTGTTTATGCTGTATCTACTCAACTAACAAAGTTGAACCTTTCTTTTGATAGAGCAGTTTTGAAATGCTCTTTTTGTGGAATCTGCAAGTGGATATTTGGCTAGTTTTGAGGATTTCGTTGGAAGCGGGAATTCATACAAATTGCAGACTGCAGCGTTCTGAGAAACATCTTTGTGATGTTTGTATTCAGGACACAGAGTTGAACATTCCCTATCATAGAGCAGGTTGGAATCACTCCTTTTGTAGTATCTGGAAGTGGACATTTGGAGCGCTTTCAGGCCTATTTTGGAAAGGGAAATATCTTCCCGTAACAACTATGCAGAAGCATTCTCAGAAACTTGTTTGTGATGTGTGCCCTCTACTGACAGAGTTGAACCTTTCTTTTCATAGAGCAGTTTTGAAACACTCTTTTTGTAGAATCTGCAAGAGGATATTTGCATAGCTTTGAGGATTTCGTGGGAAACGGGATTGTCTTCAGGTAAAATCTAGACAGAAGCATTCTCAGAAACTTCTTTGGGATGTTTGCATTCAAGTCACAGAGTAGAACATTCCCTTTGGTAGAGCAGGTTTGAAACCCTCTTTTTGTAGTATCTGGAAGTGGACATTTGGAGCGCTTTCAGGCCCATGTTGGAAAGGGAAATATCTTCCCGTAACAACTAGGCAGAAGCATTCTCAGAAACTTATTTGAGATGTGTGTACTCAACTAAGAGAATTGAACCACCGTTTTGAAGGAGCAGTTTTGAAACACTCTTTTTCTGGAATCTGCAAGAGGATATTTGCCTAGCCTTGAGGATTTCGTTGGAAACGGGATTGTCTTCAGATCAAATCTAGACAGAAGCATTCTCAGAAACTTCTTTGGGATGTTTGCATTCAAGTCACAGAGTAGAACATTCCCTTTGGTAGAGCAGGTTTGAAACACTCTTTTTTTAGTATATGGAAGTGGACATTTGGAGCGCTTTCAGGCCTACGTTGGAAAAGGATATATCTTCCCATAACAACTAGACAGAAGCATTCTCAGAAACTAGTTTCTGATGTGTGTCCTCAACTAACACAGTTGAACATTTCTTTAGACAGAACAGTTTTGAAACACTCTTTTTGTGGAATCTGCAAGTGGCTATTTGGCTAGATTTGAGGATTTCGTTGGAAACGGGATTACATATAAAAAGCAGACAGCAGCATTCTCAGAAAGTTCTTTGTGATGATTGCATTCAAGTCACAGAATTGAACATTCCCTTTCACAGAGCAGGTTTGAAACACTCTTTTTGTAGTGTGTGTAAGTGGACATTTGGAGCGCTTTCCGGCCTAAGGTGAAAAAGGAAATATCTTCCCATAAAAACTAGACAGAAGCATTCTCAGAAACTTACTCGTGATGTGTGTCCTCAACTAAAGGAGTAGAACCTTTCTTTTCATAGAGAAGTTTTGAAACGCTCTTTTTGTGGAATCTGCAAGTGGATATTTGGCTAGTTTTGAGGATTTCGTTGGAAGCGGGAATTCATACAAATTGCAGACTGCAGCGTTCTGAGAAACATCTTTGTGATGTTTGTATTCAGGACACAGAGTTGAATATTCCCTATCATAGAGCAGGTTTGAATCACTCCTTTTGTAGTATCTGGAAGTGGACATTTGGAGCGCTTTCAGGCCTATGTTGGAAAAGGAAATATCTTCCCATAACAACTAGACAGAAGCATTCTCAGAAACTTATTTGAGATGTGTGTACTCAACTAAGAGAATTGAACCACCGTTTTGAAGGAGCAGTTTTGAAACTCTCTTTTTCTGGAATCTGCAAGTGGATATTTGGCTAGCTTTGGGGATTTCGCTGGAAGCGGGAATACATATAAAAAGCACACAGCAGCGTTCTGAGAAACTGCTTTCTGATGTTTGCATTCAAGTCAAAAGTTGAACACTCCCTTTCATAGAGCAGTCTTGAAACACCCCTTTTGTAGTATCTGGAACTGGACTTTTGGAGCGATTTCAGGGCTAAGGTGAAAAAGGAAATATCTTCCCATAAAAACTGGACAGAAGCATTCTCAGAAACTTGTTTATGCTGTATCTACTCAACTAACAAAGTTGAACCTTTCTTTTGATAGAGCAGTTTTGAAATGGTCTTTTTGTGGAATCTGCAAGTGGATATTTGGCTAGTTTTGAGGATTTCGTTGGAAGCGGGAATTCATACAAATTGCAGACTGCAGCGTTCTGAGAAACATCTTTGTGATGTTTGTATTCAGGACACAGAGATGAACATTCCCTATCATAGAGCAGGTTGGAATCACTCCTTTTGTAGTATCTGGAAGTGGACATTTGGAGCGCTTTCAGGCCTATGTTGAAAAAGGAAATGTCTTCCCATAACAACTAGACACAAGCATTCTCAGAAACTTGTTTGTGATGTGTGCCCTCTACTGACAGAGTTGAACCTTTCTTTTCATAGAGCAGTTTTGAAACACTCTTTTTGTAGAATCTGCAAGAGGATATTTGCATAGCTTTGAGGATTTCGTGGGAAACGGGATTGTCTTCAGGTAAAATCTAGACAGAAGCATTCTCAGAAACTTCTTCGGGATGTTTGCATTCAAGTCACAGAGTAGAACATTCCCTTTGGTAGAGCAGGTTTGAAACACTCTTTTTGTAGTATCTGGAAGTGGACATTTGTTGCGCTTTCAGGCCTATGTTGGAAACGGAAATATCTTCCCGTAACAACTAGGCAGAAGCATTCTCAGAAACTTATTTGAGATGTGTGTACTCAACTAAGAGAATTGAACCACCGTTTTGAAGGAGCAGTTTTGAAACACTCTTTTTCTGGAATCTGCAAGAGTATATTTGCCTAGCCTTGAGGATTTCGTTGGAAACGGGATTGTCTTCAGAGAAAATCTAGACAGAAGCATTCTCAGAAACTTCTTTGGGATGCTTGCATTCAAGTCACAGAGTAGAACATTCCCTTTGGTAGAGCAGGTTTGAAACACTCTTTTTGTAGTATCTGGAAGTGGACATTTGGAGCGCTTTCAGGCCTACGTTGGAAAAGGAAATATCTTCCCATAACAACTAGACAGAAGCATTCTCAGAAACTAGTTTCTGATGTGTGTCCTCAACTAACACAGTTGTACATTTCTTTAGACAGAACAGTTTTGAAACACTCTTTTTGTGGAATCTGCAAGTGGATATTGGGCTAGATTTGAGGATTTCGTTGGAAACGGGATTACATATAAAAAGCAGTCAGCAGCATTCTCAGAAAGTTCTTTGTGATGATTGCATTCAAGTCACAGAATTGAACATTCCCTTTCACAGAGCAGGTTTGAAACACTCTTTTTGTAGTGTGTGTAAGTGGACATTTGGAGCGCTTTCCGGCCTAAGGTGAAAAAGGAAATATCTTCCCATAAAAACTAGACAGAAGCATTCTCAGAAACTTACTCGTGATGTGTGTCCTCAACTAAAGGAGTAGAACCTTTCTATTCATAGAGAAGTTTTGAAACGCTCTTTTTGTGGAATCTCCAAGTGGATATTTGGTTAGTTTTGAGGATTTCGTTGGAAGCGGGAATTCATACAAATTGCAGACTGCAGCGTTCTGAGAAACATCTTTGTGATGTTTGTATTCAAGACACAGAGATGAACATTCCCTATCATAGAGCATGTTGGAATCACTCCTTTTGTACTATCTGGAAGTGGACATTTGGAGCGCTTTCAGGCCTATGTTGAAAAAGGAAATATCTTCCCATAACAACTAGACACAAGCATTCTCAGAAACTTATTTGAGATGTGTGTACTCAACTAAGAGAATTGAACCACCGTTTTGAAGGAGCAGTTTTGAAACTCTCTTTTTCTGGAATCTGCAAGTGGATATTTGGCTAGCTTTGGGGATTTCGCTGGAAGCGGGAATACATATAAAAAGCACACAGCAGCGTTCTGAGAAACTGCTTTCTGATGTTTGCATTCAAGTCAAAAGTTGAACACTCCCTTTCATAGAGCAGTCTTGAAACACCCCTTTTGTAGTATCTGGAACTGGACTTTTGGAGCGATTTCAGGGCTAAGGTGAAAAAGGAAATATCTTCCCATAAAAACTGGACAGAAGCATTCTCAGAAACTTGGTTATGCTGTATCTACTCAACTAACAAAGTTGAACCTTTCTTTTGATAGAGCAGTTTTGAAATGGTCTTTTTGTGGAATCTGCAAGTGGATATTTGGCTAGTTTTGAGGATTTCGTTGGAAGCGGGAATTCATACAAATTGCAGACTGCAGCGTTCTGAGAAACATCTTTGTGATGTTTGTATTCAAGACACAGAGTGGAACATTCCCTATCATAGAGCAGGTTGGAATCACTCCTTTTGTAGTATCTGGAAGTGGACATTTGGAGCGCTTTCAGGCCTACGTTGAAAAAGGAAATATCTTCCCATAACAACTAGACACAAGCATTCTCAGAAACTTGTTTGTGATGTGTGCCCTCTACTGACAGAGTTGAACCTTCCTTTTCATAGAGCAGTTTTGAAACACTCTTTTTGTAGAATCTGCAAGAGGATATTTGCATAGCTTTGAGGATTTCGTCGGAAACGGGATTGTCTTCAGGTAAAATCTAGACAGAAGCATTCTCAGAAACTTCTTTGGGATGTTTGCATTCAAGTCACAGAGTAGAACATTCCCTTTGGTAGAGCAGGTTTGAAACACTCTTTTTGTAGTATCTGGAAGGGGACATTTGGAGCGCTTTCAGGCCTATGTTGGAAAGGGAAATATCTTCCGGTAACAACTAGGCAGAAGCATTCTCAGAAACTTATTTGAGATGTGTGTACTCAACTAAGAGAATTGAACCACCGTTTTGAAGGAGCAGTTTTGAAACACTCTTTTTCTGGAATCTGCAAGAGGATATTTGCCTAGCCTTGAGGATTTCGTTGGAAACGGGATTGTCTTCAGAGAAAATCTAGACAGAAGCATTCTCAGAAACTTCTTTGGGATGTTTGCATTCAAGTCACAGAGTAGAACATTCCCTTTGGTAGAGCAGGTGTGAAACACTCTTTTTTTAGTATATGGAAGTGGACATTTGGAGCGCTTTCAGGCCTACGTTGGAAAAGGAAATATCTTCCCATAACAACTAGACAGAAGCATTCTCAGAAACTAGTTTCTGATGTGTGTCCTCAACTAACACAGTTGAACATTTCTTTAGACAGAACAGTTTTGAAACACTCTTTTTGTGGAATCTGCAAGTGGCTATTTGGCTAGATTTGAGGATTTCGTTGGAAACGGGATTACATATAAAAAGCAGTCAGCAGCATTCTCAGAAAGTTCTTTGTGATGATTGCATTCAAGTCACAGAATTGAACATTCCCTTTCACAGAGCAGGTTTGAAACACTCTTTTTGTAGTGTGTGTAAGTGGACATTTGGAGCGCTTTCCGGCCTAAGGTGAAAAAGGACATATCTTCCCATAAAAACTAGACAGAAGCATTCTCAGAAACTTACTCGTGATGTGTGTCCTCAACTAAAGGAGTAGAACCTTTCTATTCATAGAGAAGTTTTGAAACGCTCTTTTTGTGGAATCTCCAAGTGGATATTTGGCTAGTTTTGAGGATTTCGTTGGAAGCGGGAATTCATCCAAATTGCAGACTGCAGCGTTCTGAGAAACTGCTTTCTGATGTTTGCATTCAAGTCAAAAGTTGAACACTCCCTTTCATAGAGCAGTCTTGAAACACCCCTTTTGTAGTATCTGGAACTGGACTTTTGGAGCGATTTCAGGGCTAAGGTGAAAAAGGAAATATCTTCCCATAAAAACTGGACAGAAGCATTCTCAGAAACTTGTTTATGCTGTATCTACTCAACTAACAAAGTTGAACCTTTCTTTTGATAGAGCAGTTTTGAAATGCTCTTTTTGTGGAATCTGCAAGTGGATATTTGGCTAGTTTTGAGGATTTCGTTGGAAGCGGGAATTCATACAAATTGCAGACTGCAGCGTTCTGAGAAACATCTTTGTGATGTTTGTATTCAGGACACAGAGTTGAACATTCCCTATAATAGAGCAGGTTGGAATCACTCCTTTTGTAGTATCTGGAAGTGGACATTTGGAGCGCTTTCAGGCCTATGTTGAAAAAGGAAATATCTTCCCATAACAACTAGACAGAAGCATTCTCAGAAACTTGTTTGAGATGTGTGCCCTCTACTGACACAGTTGAACCTTTCTTTTCATAGAGCAGTTTCGAAACACTCTTTTTGTAGAATCTGCAAGAGGATATTTGCATAGCTTTGAGGATTTCGTGGGAAACGGGATTGTCTTCAGATGAAAATCTAGACAGAAGCATTCTCAGAAACTTCTTTGGGATGTTTGCATTCAAGTCACAGAGTAGAACATTCCCTTTGGTAGAGCAGGTTTGAAACACTCTTTTTGTAGTATCTGGAAGTGGACATTTGGAGCGCTTTCAGGCCCATGTTGGAAAGGGAAATATCTTCCCGTAACAACTAGGCAGAAGCATTCTCAGAAACTTATTTGAGATGTGTGTACTCAACTAAGAGAATTGAACCACCGTTTTGAAGGAGCAGTTTTGAAACACTCTTTTTCTGGAATCTGCAAGAGTATATTTGCCTAGCCTTGAGGATTTCGTTGGAAACGGGATTGTCTTCAGAGAAAATCTAGACAGAAGCATTCTCAGAAACTTCTTTGGGATGTTTGCATTCAAGTCACAGAGTAGAACATTCCCTTTGGTAGAGCAGGTTTGAAACACTCTTTTTTTAGTATATGGAAGTGGACATTTGGAGCGCTTTCAGGCCTACGTTGGAAAAGGAAATATCTTCCCATAACAACTAGACAGAAGCATTCTCAGAAACTAGTTTCTGATGTGTGTCCTCAACTAACACAGTTGAACATTTCTTTAGACAGAACAGTTTTGAAACACTCTTTTTGTGGAATCTGCAAGTGGCTATTTGGCTAGATTTGAGGATTTCGTTGGAAACGGGATTACATATAAAAAGCAGTCAGCAGCATTCTCAGAAAGTTCTTTGTGATGATTGCATTCAAGTCACAGAATTGAACATTCCCTTTCACAGAGCAGGTTTGAAACACTCTTTTTGTAGTGTGTGTAAGTGGACATTTGGAGCACTTTCCGGCCTAAGGTGAGAAAGGAAATATCTTCCCATAAAAACTAGACAGAAGCATTCTCAGAAACTTACTCGTGATGTGTGTCCTCAACTAAAGGAGTAGAACCTTTCTTTTCATAGAGAAGTTTTGAAACGCTCTTTTTGTGGAATCTGCAAGTGGATATTTGGCTAGTTTGGAGGATTTCGTTGGAAGCGGGAATTCATACAAATTGCAGACTGCAGCGTTCTGAGAAACTGCTTTCTGATGTTTGCATTCAAGTCAAAAGTTGAACACTCCCTTTCATAGAGCAGTCCTGAAACACCCCTTTTGTAGTATCTGGAACTGGACTTTTGGAGCGATTTCAGGGCTAAGGTGAAAAAGGAAATATCTTCCCATAAAAACTGGACAGAAGCATTCTCAGAAACTTGTTTATGCTGTATCTACTCAACTAACAAAGTTGAACCTTTCTTTTGATAGAGCAGTTTTGAAATGCTCTTTTTGTGGAATCTGCAAGTGGATATTTGGCTAGTTTTGAGGATTTCGTTGGAAGCGGGAATTCATACAAATTGCAGACTGCAGCGTTCTGAGAAACATCTTTGTGATGTTTGTATTCAGGACAGAGAGTTGAACATTCCCTATCATAGAGCAGGTTGGAATCACTCCTTTTGTAGTATCTGGAAGTGGACATTTGGAGCGCTTTCAGGCCTATGTTGAAAAAGGAAATATCTTCCCATAACAACTAGACACAAGCATTCTCAGAAACTTGTTTGTGATGTGTGCCCTCTACTGACAGAGTTGAACCTTTCTTTTCATAGAGCAGTTTTGAAACACTCTTTTTGTAGAATCTGCAAGAGGATATTAGCATAGCTTTGAGGATTTCGTGGGAAACGGGATTGTCTTCAGGTAAAATCTAGACAGAAGCATTCTCAGAAACTTCTTTGGGATGTTTGCATTCAAGTCACAGAGTAGAACATTCCCTTTGGTAGAGCAGGTTTGAAACACTCTTTTTGTAGTATCTGGAAGTGGACATTTGGAGCGCTTTCAGGCCCATGTTGGAAAGGGAAATATCTTGCCGTAACAACTAGGCAGAAGCATTCTCAGAAACTTATTTGAGATGTGTGGACTCAACGAAGAGAATTGAACCACCGTTTTGAAGGAGCAGTTTTGAAACACTCTTTTTCTGGAATCTGCAAGAGAATATTTGCCTAGACTTGAGGATTTCGTTGGAAACGGGATTGTCTTCAGATAAAATCTAGACAGAAGCATTCTCAGAAACTTCTTTGGGATGTTTGCATTCAAGTCACAGAGTAGAACATTCCCTTTGGTAGAGCAGGTTTGAAACACTCTTTTTTTAGTATATGGAAGTGTACATTTGGAGCGCTTTCAGGCCTACGTTGGAAAAGGAAATATCTTCCCATAACAACTAGACAGAAGCATTCTCAGAAACTAGTTTCTGATGTGTGTCCTCAACTAACACAGTTGAACATTTCTTTAGACAGAACAGTTTTGAAACACTCTTTTTGTGGAATCTGCAAGTGGCTATTTGGCTAGATTTGAGGATTTCGTTGGAAACGGGATTACATATAAAAAGCAGACAGCAGCATTCTCACAAAGTTTTTTGTGATGATTGCATTCAAGTCACAGAATTGAACATTCCCTTTCACAGAGCAGGTTTGAAACACTCTTTTTGTAGTGTGTGTAAGTGGACATTTGGAGCGCTTTCCGGCCTAAGGTGGAAAAGGAAATATCTTCCCATAAAAACTAGACAGAAGCATTCTCAGAAACTTACTCGTGATGTGTGTCCTCAACTAAAGGAGTAGAACCTTTCTTTTCATAGAGAAGTTTTGAAACGCTCTTTTTGTGGAATCTGCAAGTGGATATTTGGCTAGTTTTGAGGATTTCGTTGGAAGCGGGAATTCATACAAATTGCAGACTGCAGCGTTCTGAGAAACATCTTTGTGATGTTTGTATTCAGGACACAGAGTTGAACATTCCCTATCATAGAGCAGGTTTGAATCACTCCTTTTGTAGTATCTGGAAGTGGACATTTGGAGCGCTTTCAGGCCTATGTTGGAAAAGGAAATATCTTCCCATAACAACTAGACAGAAGCATTCTCAGAAACTTATTTGAGATGTGTGTACTCAACTAAGAGAATTGAACCACCGTTTTGAAGGAGCAGTTTTGAAACACTCTTTTTCTGGAATCTGCAAGTGGATATTTGGCTAGCTTTGGGGATTTCGCTGGAAGCGGGAATACATATAAAAAGCACACAGCAGCGTTCTGAGAAACTGCTTTCTGATGTTTGCATTCAAGTCAAAAGTTGAACACTCCCTTTCATAGAGCAGTCTTGAAACACCCCTTTTGTAGTATCTGGAACTGGACTTTTGGAGCGATTTCAGGGCTAAGGTGAAAAAGGAAATATCTTCCCATAAAAACTGGACAGAAGCATTCTCAGAAACTTGTTTATGCTGTATCTACTCAACTAACAAAGTTGAACCTTTCTTTTGATAGAGCAGTTTTGAAATGGTCTTTTTGTGGAATCTGCAAGTGGATATTTGGCTAGTTTTGAGGATTTCGTTGGAAGCGGGAATTCATACAAATTGCAGACTGCAGCGTTCAGAGAAACATCTTTGTGATGTTTGTATTCAGGACAGAGAGTTGAACATTCCCTATCATAGAGCAGGTTGGAATCACTCCTTTTGTAGTATCTGGAAGTGGACATTTGGAGCACTTTCCGGCCTAAGGTGAAAAAGGAAATATCTTCCCATAAAAACTAGACAGAAGCATTCTCAGAAACTTACTCGTGATGTGTGTCCTCCACTAAATGAGTAGAACCTTTCTTTTCATAGAGAAGTTTTGAAACGCTCTTTTTGTAGAATCTGCAAGAGGATATTTGCATAGCTTTGAGGATTTCGTGGGAAACGGGATTGTCTTCAGGTAAAATCTAGACAGAAGCATTCTCAGAAACTTCTTTGGGATGTTTGCATTCAAGTCACAGAGTAGAACATTCCCTTTGGTAGAGCAGGTTTGAAACACTCTTTTTATAGTATCTGGAAGTGGACATTTGGAGCGCTTTCAGGCCTATGTTGGAAAGGGAAATATCTTCCCGTAACAACTAGGCAGAAGCATTCTCAGAAACTTATTTGAGATGTGTGTACTCAACTAAGAGAATTAAACCACCGTTTTGAAGGAGCAGTTTTGAAACACTCTTTTTCTGGAATCTGCAAGAGGATATTTGCCTAGCCTTGAGGATTTCGTTGGAAACGGGATTGTCTTCAGATCAAATCTAGACAGAAGCATTCTCAGAAACTTCTTTGGGATGCTTGCATTCAAGTCACAGAGTAGAACATTCCCTTTGGTAGAGCAGGTTTGAAACACTCTTTTTTTAGTATCTGGAAGTGGACATTTGGAGCGCTTTCAGGCCTACGTTGGAAAAGGAAATATCTTCCCATAACAACTAGACAGAAGCATTCTCAGAAACTAGTTTCTGATGTGTGTCCTCAACTAACACAGTTGAACATTTCTTTAGACAGAACAGTTTTGAAACACTCTTTTTGTGGAATCTGCAAGTGGCTATTTGGCTAGATTTGAGGATTTCGTTGGAAACGGGATTACATATAAAAAGCAGACAGCAGCATTCTCAGAAAGTTCTTTGTGATGATTGCATTCAAGTCACAGAATTGAACATTCCCTTTCACAGAGCAGGTTTGAAACACTCTTTTTGTAGTGTGTGTAAGTGGACATTTGGAGCGCTTTCCGGCCTAAGGTGAAAAAGGAAATATCTTCCCATAAAAACTAGACAGAAGCATTCTCAGAAACTTACTCGTGATGTGTGCCCTCAACTAAAGGAATAGAACCTTTCTATTCATAGAGAAGTTTTGAAACGCTCTTTTTGTGGAATCTCCAAGTGGATATTTGGCTAGTTATGAGGATTTCGTTGGAAGCGGGAATTCATCCAAATTGCAGACTGCAGCATTCTGAGAAACATCTTTGTGATGTTTGTATTCAAGACACAGAGATGAACATTCCCTATCATAGAGCATGTTGGAATCAGTCCTTTTGTAGTATCTGGAAGTGGACATTTGGAGCGCTTTCAGGCCTATGTTGAAAAAGGAAATATCTTCCCATAACAACTAGACACAAGCATTCTCAGAAACTTATTTGAGATGTGTGTACTCAACTAAGAGAATTGAACCACCGTTTTGAAGGAGCAGTTTTGAAACACTCTTTTTCTGGAATCTGCAAGTGGATATTTGGCTAGCTTTGGGGATTTCGCTGGAAGCGGGAATACATATAAAAAGCACACAGCAGCGTTCTGAGAAACTGCTTTCTGATGTTTGCATTCAAGTCAAAAGTTGAACACTCCCTTTCATAGAGCAGTCTTGAAACACCCCTTTTGTAGTATCTGGAACTGGACTTTTGGAGCGATTTCAGGGCTAAGGTGAAAAAGGAAATATCTTCCCATAAAAACTGGACAGAAGCATTCTCAGAAACTTGTTTATGCTGTATCTACTCAACTAACAAAGTTGAACCTTTCTTTTGATAGAGCAGTTTTGAAATGGTCTTTTTGTGGAATCTGCAAGTGGATATTTGGCTAGTTTTGAGGATTTCGTTGGAAGCGGGAATTCATACAAATTGCAGACTGCAGCGTTCTGAGAAACATCTTTGTGATGTTTGTATTCAGGACACAGAGATGAACATTCCCTATCATAGAGCAGGTTGGAATCACTCCTTTTGTAGTATCTGGAAGTGGACATTTGGAGCGCTTTCAGGCCTATGTTGAAAAAGGAAATATCTTCCCATAACAACTAGACACAAGCATTCTCAGAAACTTGTTTGTGATGTGTGCCCTCTACTGACAGAGTTGAACCTTTCTTTTCATAGAGCAGTTTTGAAACACTCTTTTTGTAGAATCTGCAAGAGCATATTTGCATAGCTTTGAGGATTTCGTGGGAAACGGGATTGTCTTCAGGTAAAATCTAGACAGAAGCATTCTCAGAAACTTCTTTGGGATGTTTGCATTCAAGTCACAGAGTAGAACATTCCCTTTGGTAGAGCAGGTTTGAAACACTCTTTTTGTAGTATCTGGAAGTGGACATTTGGAGCGCTTTCAGGCCTATGTTGGAAAGGGAAATATCTTCCCGTAACAACTAGGCAGAAGCATTCTCAGAAACTTATTTGAGATGTGTGTACTCAACTAAGAGAATTGAACCACCGTTTTGAAGGAGCAGTTTTGAAACACTCTTTTTCTGGAATCTGCAAGAGTATATTTGCCTAGCCTTGAGGATTTCGTTGGAAACGGGATTGTCTTCAGAGAAAATCTAGACAGAAGCATTCTCAGAAACTTCTTTGGGATGTTTGCATTCATGTCACAGAGTAGAACATTCCCTTTGGTAGAGCAGGTTTGAAACACTCTTTTTTTAGTATATGGAAGTGGACATTTGGAGCGCTTTCAGGCCTACGTTGGAAAAGGAAATATCTTCCCATAACAACTAGACAGAAGCATTCTCAGAAACTAGTTTCTGATGTGTGTCCTCAACTAACACAGTTGAACATTTCTTTAGACAGAACAGTTTTGAAACTCTCTTTTTGTGGAATCTGCAAGTGGCTATTTGGCTAGATTTGAGGATTTCGTTGGAAACGGGATTACATATAAAAAGCAGACAGCAGCATTCTCAGAAAGTTCTTTGTGATGATTGCATTCAAGTCACAGAATTGAACATTCCCTTTCACAGAGCAGGTTTGAAACACTCTTTTTGTAGTGTGTGTAAGTGGACATTTGGAGCGCTTTCCGGCCTAAGGTGAAAAAGGACATATCTTCCCATAAAAACTAGACAGAAGCATTCTCAGAAACTTACTCGTGATGTGTGCCCTCAACTAAAGGAGTAGAACCTTTCTATTCATAGAGAAGTTTTGAAACGCTCTTTTTGTGGAATCTCCAAGTGGATATTTGGCTAGTTTTGAGGATTTCGTTGGAAGCGGGTATTCATCCAAATTGCAGACTGCAGCGTTCTGAGAAACATCTTTGTGATGTTTGTATTCAGGACACAGAGATGAACATTCCCTATCATAGAGCAGGTTGGAATCACTCCTTTTGTAGTATCTGGAAGTGGACATTTGGAGCGCTTTCAGGCCTATGTTGAAAAAGGAAATATCTTCCCATAACAACTAGACACAAGCATTCTCAGAAACTTATTTGAGATGTGTGTACTCAACTAAGAGAATTGAACCACCGTTTTGAAGGAGCAGTTTTGAAACTCTCTTTTTCTGGAATCTGCAAGTGGATATTTGGCTAGCTTTGGGGATTTCGCTGGAAGCGGGAATACATATAAAAAGCACACAGCAGCGTTCTGAGAAACTGCTTTCTGATGTTTGCATTCAAGTCAAAAGTTGAACACTCCCTTTCATAGTGCAGTCCTGAAACACTCCTTTTGTAGTATCTGGAACTGGACTTTTGGAGCGCTTTCAGGGCTAAGGTGAAAAAGGAAATATCTTCCCATAAAAACTGGACAGAAGCATTCTCAGAAACTTGTTTATGCTGTATCTACTCAACTAACAAAGTTGAACCTTTCTTTTGATAGAGCAGTTTTGAAATGGTCTTTTTGTGGAATCTGCAAGTGGATATTTGGCTAGTTTTGAGGATTTCGTTGGAAGCGGGAATTCATACAAATTGCAGACTGCAGCGTTCTGAGAAACATCTTTGTGATGTTTGTATTCAGGACAGAGAGTTGAACATTCCCTATCATAGAGCAGGTTGGAATCACTCCTTTTGTAGTATCTGGAAGTGGACATTTGGAGCGCTTTCAGGCCTATGTTGAAAAAGGAAATATCTTCCCATAACAACTAGACACAAGCATTCTCAGAAACTTGTTTGTGATGTGTGCCCTCTACTGACAGAGTTGAACCTTTCTTTTCATAGAGCAGTTTTGAAACACTCTTTTTGTAGAATCTGCAAGAGGATATTTGCATAGCTTTGAGGATTTCGTGGGAAACGGGATTGTCTTCAGGTAAAATCTAGACAGAAGCATTCTCAGAAACTTCTTTGGGATGTTTGCATTCAAGTCACAGAGTAGAACATTCCCTTTGGTAGAGCAGGTTTGAAACACTCTTTTTGTAGTATCTGGAAGTGGACATTTGGAGCGCTTTCAGGCCCATGTTGGAAAGGGAAATATCTTCCCGTAACAACTAGGCAGAAGCATTCTCAGAAACTTATTTGAGATGTGTGTACTCAACTAAGAGAATTGAACCACCGTTTTGAAGGAGCAGTTTTGAAACCCTCTTTTTCTGGAATCTGCAAGAGTATATTTGCCTAGCCTTGAGGATTTCGTTGGAAACGGGATTGTCTTCAGATAAAATCTAGACAGAAGCATTCTCAGAAACTTCTTTGGGATGTTTGCATTCAAGTCACAGAGTAGAACAT
Source organism: Homo sapiens (assembly GCF_000001405.40). Taxonomy (NCBI): domain Eukaryota; kingdom Metazoa; phylum Chordata; class Mammalia; order Primates; family Hominidae; genus Homo; species Homo sapiens. Next base: position 20,193,042 of record NC_000018.10, read on the forward strand.
TCCCTTTGGTAGAGCAGGTTTGAAACACTCTTTTTTTAGTATATGGAAGTGGACATTTGGAGCGCTTTCAGGCCTACGTTGGAAAAGGAAATATCTTCCCATAACAACTAGACAGAAGCATTCTCAGAAACTAGTTTCTGATGTGTGTCCTCAACTAACACAGTTGAACATTTCTTTAGACAGAACAGTTTTGAAACACTCTTTTTGTGGAATCTGCAAGTGGATATTTGGCTAGATTTGAGCATTTCGTTGGAAACGGGATTACATATAAAAAGCAGACAGCGGCATTCTCAGAAAGTTCTTTGTGATGATTGCATTCAAGTCACAGAATTGAACATTCCCTTTCACAGAGCAGGTTTGAAACACTCTTTTTGTAGTGTGTGTAAGTGGACATTTGGAGCGCTTTCCGGCCTAAGGTGAAAAAGGAAATATCTTCCCATAAAAAGTAGACAGAAGCATTCTCAGAAACTTACTCGTGATGTGTGTACTCAAGTAAAGGAGTAGAAACTTTCTTTTCATAGAGAAGTTTTGAAACGCTCTTTTTGTGGAATCTGCAAGTGGATATTTGGCTAGTTTTGAGGATTTCGTTGGAAGCGGGAATTCATACAAATTGCAGACTGCAGCGTTCTGAGAAACATCTTTGTGATGTTTGTATTCAGGACACAGAGTTGAACATTCCCTATCATAGAGCAGGTTTGAATCACTCCTTTTCTAGTATCTGGAAGTGGACATTTGGAGCGCTTTCAGGCCTATGTTGGAAAAGGAAATATCTTCCCATAACAAATAGACAGAAGCATTCTCAGAAACTTATTTGAGATGTGTGTACTCAACTAAGAGAATTGAACCACCGTTTTGAAGGAGCAGTTTTGAAACACTCTTTTTCTGGAATCTGCAAGTGGATATCTGGCTAGCTTTGGGGATTTCGCTGGAAGCGGGAATACATTTAAAAAGCACACAGCAGCATTCTCAGAAACTTATTTGAGATGTGTGTACTCAACTAAGAGAATTGAACCACCGTTTTGAAGGAGCAGTTTTGAAACTCTCTTTTTCTGGAATCTGCAAGTGGATATTTGGCTAGCTTTGGGGATTTCGCTGGAAGCGGGAATACATATAAAAAGCACACAGCAGCGTTCTGAGAAACTGCTTTCTGATGTTTGCATTCAAGTCAAAAGTTGAACACTCCCTTTCATAGAGCAGTCCTGAAACACTCCTTTTGTAGTATCTGGAACTGGACTTTTGGAGCGCTTTCAGGGCTAAGGTGAAAAAGGAAATATCTTCCCATAAAAACTGGACAGAAGCATTCTCAGAAACTTGTTTATGCTGTATCTACTCAACTAACAAAGTTGAACCTTTCTTTTGATAGAGCAGTTTTGAAATGGTCTTTTTGTGGAATCTGCAAGTGGATATTTGGCTAGTTTTGAGGATTTCGTTGGAAGCGGGAATTCATACAAATTGCAGACTGCAGCGTTCTGAGAAACATCTTTGTGATGTTTGTATTCAGGACACAGAGTTGAACGTTCCCTATCATAGAGCAGGTTTGAATCACTCCTTTTGTAGTATCTGGAAGTGGACATTTGGAGCGCTTTCAGGCCTATGTTGGAAAAGGAAATATCTTCCCATAACAAATAGACAGAAGCATTCTCAGAAACTTGTTTGTGATGTGTGCCCTCTACTGACAGAGTTGAACCTTTCTTTTCATAGAGCAGTTTTGAAACACTCTTTTTGTAGAATCTGCAAGAGGATATTTGCATAGCTTTGAGGATTTCGTGGGAAACGGGATTGTCTTCAGGTAAAATCTAGACAGAAGCATTCTCAGAAACTTCTTTGGGATGTTTGCATTCAAGTCACAGAGTAGAACATTCCCTTTGGTAGAGCAGGTTTGAAACACTCTTTTTATAGTATCTGGAAGTGGACATTTGGAGCGCTTTCAGGCCTATGTTGGAAAGGGAAATATCTTCCCGTAACAACTAGGCAGAAGCATTCTCAGAAACTTATTTGAGATGTGTGTACTCAACTAAGAGAATTGAACCACCGTTTTGAAGGAGCAGTTTTGAAACACTCTTTTTCTGGAATCTGCAAGAGGATATTTGCCTAGCCTTGAGGATTTCGTTGGAAACGGGATTGTCTTCAGATCAAATCTAGACAGAAGCATTCTCAGAAACTTCTTTGGGATGTTTGCATTCAAGTCACAGAGTAGAACATTCCCTTTGGTAGAGCAGGTTTGAAACACTCTTTTTTTAGTATATGGAAGTGGACATTTTGATCGCTTTCAGGCCTACGTTGGAAAAGGAAATATCTTCCCATAACGACTAGACAGAAGCATTCTCAGAAACTAGTTTCTGATGTGTGTCCTCAACTAACACAGTTGAACATTTCTTTAGACAGAACAGTTTTGAAACACTCTTTTTGTGGAATCTGCAAGTGGCTATTTGGCTAGATTTGAGGATTTCGTTGGAAACGGGATTACATATAAAAAGCAGTCAGCAGCATTCTCAGAAAGTTCTTTGTGATGATTGCATTCAAGTCACAGAATTGAACATTCCCTTTCACAGAGCAGGTTTGAAACACTCTTTTTGTAGTGTGTGTAAGTGGACATTTGGAGCACTTACCGGCCTAAGGTGAAAAAGGAAATATCTTCCCATAAAAACTAGACAGAAGCACTCTCAGAAACTTACTCGTGATGTGTGTCCTCAACTAAAGGAGTAGAACCTTTCTTTTCATAGAGAAGTTTTGAAACGCTCTTTTTGTGGAATCTGCAAGTGGATATTTGGCTAGTTTGGAGGATTTCGTTGGAAGCGGGAATTCATACAAATTGCAGACTGCAGCGTTCTGAGAAACATCTTTGTGATGTTTGTATTCAGGACACAGAGTTGAACATTCCCTATCATAGAGCAGGTTGGAATCACTCCTTTTGTAGTATCTGGAAGTGGACATTTGGAGCGCTTTCAGGCCTATGTTGGAAAAGGAAATATCTTCCCATAACAACTAGACAGAAGCATTCTCAGAAACTTATTTGAGATGTGTGTACTCAACTAAGAGAATTGAACCACCGTTTTGAAGGAGCAGTTTTGAAACACTCTTTTTCTGGAATCTGCAAGTGGATATTTGGCTAGCTTTGGGGATTTCGCTGGATGCGGGAATACATATAAAAAGCACACAGCAGCGTTCTGAGAAACTGCTTTCTGATGTTTGCATTCAAGTCAAAAGTTGAACACTCCCTTTCATAGAGCAGTCCTGAAAGACTCCTTTTGTAGTATCTGGAACTGGACTTTTGGAGCGCTTTCAGGGCTAAGGTGAAAAAGGAAATATCTTCCCATAAAAACTGGACAGAAGCATTCTCAGAAACTTTTTTATGCTGTATCTACTCAACTAACAAAGTTGAACCTTTCTTTTGATAGAGCAGTTTTGAAATGCTCTTTTTGTGGAATCTGCAAGTGGATATTTGGCTAGTTTTGAGGATTTCGTTGGAAGCGGGAATTCATACAAATTGCAGACTGCAGCGTTCTGAGAAACATCTTTGTGATGTTTGTATTCAGGACAGAGAGTTGAACATTCCCTATCATAGAGCAGGTTGGAATCACTCCTTTTGTAGTATCTGGAAGTGGACATTTGGAGCGCTTTCAGGCCTATGTTGAAAAAGGAAATATCTTCCCATAACAACTAGACACAAGCATTCTCAGAAACTTGTTTGTGATGTGTGCCCTCTACTGACAGAGTTGAACCTTTCTTTTCATAGAGCAGTTTTGAAACACTCTTTTATAGAATCCGCAAGAGGATATTTGCATAGCTTTGAGGATTTCGTGGGAAACGGGATTGTCTTCAGGTAAAATCTAGACAGAAGCATTCTCAGAAACTTCTTTGGGATGTTTGCATTCAAGTCACAGAGTAGAACATTCCCTTTGGTAGAGCAGGTTTGAAACACTCTTTTTGTAGTATCTGGAAGTGGACATTTGGAGCGCTTTCAGGCCTATGTTGGAAAGGGAAATATCTTCCCGTAACAACTAGGCAGAAGCATTCTCAGAAACTTATTTGAGATGTGTGTACTCAACTAAGAGAATTGAACCACCGTTTTGAAGGAGCAGTTTTGAAACACTCTTTTTCTGGAATCTGCAAGAGTATATTTGCCTAGCCTTGAGGATTTCGTTGGAAACGGGATTGTCTTCAGAGAAAATCTAGACAGAAGCATTCTCAGAAACTTCTTTGGGATGTTTGCATTCAAGTCACAGAGTAGAACATTCCTTTGGTAGAGCAGGTTTGAAACACTCTTTTTTTAGTATATGGAAGTGGACATTTGGAGCGCTTTCAGGCCTACGTTGGAAAAGGAAATATCTTCCCATAACAACTAGACAGAAGCATTCTCAGAAACTAGTTTCTGATGTGTGTCCTCAACTAACACAGTTGAACATTTCTTTAGACAGAACAGTTTTGAAACACTCTTTTTGTGGAATCTGCAAGTGGCTATTTGGCTAGATTTGAGGATTTCGTTGGAAACGGGATTACATATAAAAAGCAGTCAGCAGCATTCTCAGAAACTTCTTTGTGATGATTGCATTCAAGTCACAGAATTGAACATTCCCTTTCACAGAGCAGGTTTGAAACACTCTTTTTGTAGTGTGTGTAAGTGGACATTTGGAGCACTTTCCGGCCTAAGGTGAAAAAGGAAATATCTTCCCATAAAAACTAGACAGAAGCATTCTCAGAAACTTACTCGTGATGTGTGTCCTCAACTAAAGGAGTAGAACCTTTCTTTTCATAGAGAAGTTTTGAAACGCTCTTTTTGTGGAATCTGCAAGTGGATATTTGGCTAGTTTGGAGGATTTCGTTGGAAGCGGGAATTCATACAAATTGCAGACTGCAGCATTCTCAGAAACTTATTTGAGATGTGTGTACTCAACTAAGAGAATTGAACCACCGTTTTGAAGGAGCAGTTTTGAAACTCTCTTTTTCTGGAATCTGCAAGTGGATATTTGGCTAGCTTTGGGGATTTCGCTGGAAGCGGGAATACATATAAAAAGCACACAGCAGCGTTCTGAGAAACTGCTTTCTGATGTTTGCATTCAAGTCAAAAGTTGAACACTCCCTTTCATAGAGCAGTCTTGAAACACCCCTTTTGTAGTATCTGGAACTGGACTTTTGGAGCGATTTCAGGGCTAAGGTGAAAAAGGAAATATCTTACCATAAAAACTGGACAGAAGCATTCTCAGAAACTTATTTGAGATGTGTGTACTCAACTAAGAGAATTGAACCACCGTTTTGAAGGAGCAGTTTTGAAACACTCTTTTTCTGGAATCTGCAAGTGGATATTTGGCTAGCTTTGGGGATTTCGCTGGAGGCGGGAATACATATAAAAATCACACAGCAGCGTTCTGAGAAACTGCTTTCTGATGTTTGCATTCAAGTCAAAAGTTGAACACTCCCTTTCATAGTAGCAGTCCTGAAACACCCCTTTTGTAGTATCTGGAACTGGACTTTTGGAGCGATTTCAGGGCTAAGGTGAAAAAGGAAATATCTTCCCATAAAAACTGGACAGAAGCATTCTCAGAAACTTGTTTATGCTGTATCTACTCAACTAACAAAGTTGAACCTTTCTTTTGATAGAGCAGTTTTGAAATGCTCTTTTTGTGGAATCTGCAAGTGGATATTTGGCTAGTTTTGAGGATTTCGCTGGAAGCGGGAATTCATACAAATTGCAGACTGCAGCGTTCTGAGAAACATCTTTGTGATGTTTGTATTCAGGACACAGAGTTGAACATTCCCTATCATCGAGCAGGTTGGAATCACTCCTTTTGTAGTATCTGGAAGTGGACATTTGGAGCGCTTTCAGGCCTATGTTGAAAAAGGAAATATCTTCCCATAAAAACTAGACAGAAGCATTCTCAAAAACTTACTCGTGATGTGTGTCCTCCACTAAATGAGTAGAACCTTTCTTTTCATAGAGAAGTTTTGAAACGCTCTTTTTGTAGAATCTGCAAGAGGATATTTGCATAGCTTTGAGGATTTCGTGGGAAACGGGATTGTCTTCAGGTAAAATCTAGACAGAAGCATTCTGAGAAACTTCTTTGGGATGTTTGCATTCAAGTCACAGAGTGGAATATTCCCTTTGGTAGAGCAGGTTTGAAACACTCTTTTTGTAGTATCTGGAAGTGGACATTTGGAGCGCTTTCAGGCCTATGTTGGAAAGGGAAATATCTTCCCGTAACAACTAGGCAGAAGCATTCTCAGAAACTTATTTGAGATGTGTGTACTCAACTAAGAGAATTGAACCACCGTTTTGAAGGAGCAGTTGTGAAACCCTCTTTTTCTGGAATCTGCAAGAGTATATTTGCCTAGCCTTGAGGATTTCGTTGGAAACGGGATTGTCTTCAGATAAAATCTAGATAGAAGCATTCTCAGAAACTTCTTTGGGATGCTTGCATTCAAGTCACAGAGTAGAACATTCCCTTTGGTAGAGCAGGTTTGAAACACTCTTTTTGTAGTATCTGGAAGTGGACATTTGGAGCGCTTTCAGGCCTACGTTGGAAAAGGAAATATCTTCCCATAACAACTAGACAGAAGCATTCTCAGCAAACTAGTTTCTGATGTGTGTCCTCAACTAACACAGTTGAACATTTCTTTAGACAGAACAGTTTTGAAACACTCTTTTTGTGGAATCTGCAAGTGGCTATTTGGCTAGATTTGAGGATTTCGTTGGAAACGGGATTACATATAAAAAGCAGACAGCAGCATTCTCAGAAAGTTCTTTGTGATGATTGCATTCAAGTCACAGAATTGAACATTCCCTTTCACAGAGCAGGTTTGAAACACTCTTTTTGTAGTGTGTGTAAGTGGACATTTGGAGCGCTTTCCGGCCTAAGGTGAAAAAGGAAATATCTTCCCATAAAAACTAGACAGAAGCATTCTCAGAAACTTACTCGTGATGTGTGTCCTCAACTAAAGGAGTAGAACCTTTCTTTTCATAGAGAAGTTTTGAAACGCTCTTTTTGTGGAATCTGCAAGTGGATATTTGGCTAGTTTTGAGGATTTCGTTGGAAGCGGGAATTCATACAAATTGCAGACTGCAGCGTTCTGAGAAACTGCTTTCTGATGTTTGCATTCAAGTCAAAAGTTGAACACTCCCTTTCATAGAGCAGTCTTGAAACACCCCTTTTGTAGTATCTGGAACTGGACTTTTGGAGCGATTTCAGGGCTAAGGTGAAAAAGGAAATATCTTCCCATAAAAACTGGACAGAAGCATTCTCAGAAACTTGTTTATGCTGTATCTACTCAACTAACAAAGTTGAACCTTTCTTTTGATAGAGCAGTTTTGAAATGCTCTTTTTGTGGAATCTGCAAGTGGATATTTGGCTAGTTTTGAGGATTTCGTTGGAAGCGGGAATTCATACAAATTGCAGACTGCAGCGTTCTGAGAAACATCTTTGTGATGTTTGTATTCAGGACACAGAGTTGAACATTCCCTATCATAGAGCAGGTTGGAATCACTCCTTTTGTAGTATCTGGAAGTGGACCTTTGGAGCGCTTTCAGGCCTATGTTGGAAAAGGAAATATCTTCCCATAACAACTAGACAGAAGCATTCTCAGAAACTTATTTGAGATGTGTGTACTCAACTAAGAGAATTGAACCACCGTTTTGAAGGAGCAGTTTTGAAACACTCTTTTTCTGGAATCTGCAAGTGGATATTTGGCTAGCTTTGGGGATTTCGCTGGAAGCGGGAATACATATAAAAAGCACACAGCAGCATTCTCAGAAACTTATTTGAGATGTGTGTACTCAACTAAGAGAATTGAACCACCGTTTTGAAGGAGCAGTTTTGAAACACTCTTTTTCTGGAATCTGCAAGTGGATATTTGGCTAGCTTTGGGGATTTCGCTGGAAGCGGGAATACATATAAAAAGCACACAGCAGCGTTCTGAGAAACTGCTTTCTGATGTTTGCATTCAAGTCAAAAGTTGAACACTCCCTTTCATAGAGCAGTCTTGAAACACCCCTTTTGTAGTATCTGGAACTGGACTTTTGGAGCGATTTCAGGGCTAAGGTGAAAAAGGAAATATCTTCCCATAAAAACTGGACAGAAGCATTCTCAGAAACTTGTTTATGCTGTATCTACTCAACTAACAAAGTTGAACCTTTCTTTTGATAGAGCAGTTTTGAAATGGTCTTTTTGTGGAATCTGCAAGTGGATATTTGGCTAGTTTTGAGGATTTCGTTGGAAGCGGGAATTCATACAAATTGCAGACTGCAGCGTTCTGAGAAACATCTTTGTGATGTTTGTATTCAGGACACAGAGTTGAACATTCCCTATCATAGAGCAGGTTGGAATCACTCCTTTTGTAGTATCTGGAAGTGGACATTTGGAGCGCTTTCAGGCCTATTTTGGAAAGGGAAATATCTTCCCGTAACAACTATGCAGAAGCATTCTCAGAAACTTGTTGGTGATGTGTTTCCTCTACTGACAGAGTTGAACCTTTCTTTTCATAGAGCAGTTTCGAAACACTCTTTTTGTAGAATCTGCAAGAGGATATTTGCATAGCTCTGAGGATTTCGTGGGAAACGGGATTGTCTTCAGGTAAAATCTAGACAGAAGCATTCTCAGAAACTTCCTTGGGATGTTTGCATTCAAGTCACAGAGTAGAACATTCCCCTTTGGTAGAGCAGGTTTGAAACACTCTTTTTGTAGTATCTGGAAGTGGACATTTGGAGCGCTTTCAGGCCTATGTTGGAAAGGGAAATATCTTCCCGTAACAACTAGGCAGAAGCATTCTCAGAAACTTATTTGAGATGTGTGTACTCAACTAAGAGAATTGAACCACCGTTTTGAAGGAGCAGTTTTGAAACACTCTTTTTCTGGAATCTGCAAGAGTATATTTGCCTAGCCTTGAGGATTTCGTTGGAAACGGGATTGTCTTCAGATAAAATCTAGACAGAAGCATTCTCAGAAACTTCTTTGGGATGCTTGCATTCAAGTCACAGAGTAGAACATTCCCTTTGGTAGAGCAGGTTTGAAACACTCTTTTTTTAGTATCTGGAAGTGGACATTTGGAGCGCTTTCAGGCCTACGTTGGAAAAGGAAATATCTTCCCATAACAACTAGACAGAAGCATTCTCAGAAACTAGTTTCTGATGTGTGTCCTCAACTAACACAGTTGTACATTTCTTTAGACAGAACAGTTTTGAAACACTCTTTTTGTGGAATCTGCAAGTGGATACTGGGCTAGATTTGAGGATTTCGTTGGAAACGGGATTACATATAAAAAGCAGTCAGCAGCATTCTCAGAAAGTTCTTTGTGATGATTGCATTCAAGTCACAGAATTGAACATTCCCTTTCACAGAGCAGGTTTGAAACACTCTTTTTGTAGTGTGTGTAAGTGGACATTTGGAGCGCTTTCCGGCCTAAGGTGAAAAAGGACATATCTTCCCATAAAAACTAGACAGAAGCATTCTCAGAAACTTACTCGTGATGTGTGTCCTCAACTAAAGGAGTAGAACCTTTCTATTCATAGAGAAGTTTTGAAACGCTCTTTTTGTGGAATCTCCAAGTGGATATTTGGCTAGTTTTGAGGATTTCGTTGGAAGCGGGAATTCATACAAATTGCAGACTGCAGCGTTCTGAGAAACATCTTTGTGATGTTTGTATTCAGGACACAGAGTTGAACATTCCCTATCATAGAGCAGGTTTGAATCACTCCTTTTGTAGTATCTGGAAGTGGACATTTGGAGCGCTTTCAGGCCTATGTTGGAAAAGGAAATATCTTCCCATAACAACTAGACAGAAGCATTCTCAGAAACTTATTTGAGATGTGTGTACTCAACTAAGAGAATTGAACCACCGTTTTGAAGGAGCAGTTTTGAAACTCTCTTTTTCTGGAATCTGCAAGTGGATATTTGGCTAGCTTTGGGGATTTCGCTGGAAGCGGGAATACATATAAAAAGCACACAGCAGCGTTCTGAGAAACTGCTTTCTGATGTTTGCATTCAAGTCAAAAGTTGAACACTCCCTTTCATAGAGCAGTCCTGAAACACCCCTTTTGTAGTATCTGGAACTGGACTTTTGGAGCGATTTCAGGGCTAAGGTGAAAAAGGAAATATCTTCCCATAAAAACTGGACAGAAGCATTCTCAGAAACTTGTTTATGCTGTATCTACTCAACTAACAAAGTTGAACCTTTCTTTTGATAGAGCAGTTTTGAAATGCTCTTTTTGTGGAATCTGCAAGTGGATATTTGGCTAGTTTTGAGGATTTCGCTGGAAGCGGGAATTCATACAAATTGCAGACTGCAGCGTTCTGAGAAACGTCTTTGTGATGTTTGTATTCAGGACACAGAGTTGAACATTCCCTGTCATAGAGCAGGTTGGAATCACTGCTTTTGTCGTATCTGGAAGTGGACGTTTGGAGCGCTTTCAGGACTATGTTGGAAAAGGAAATATCCTCCCATAACAGCTAGACAGAAGCATTCTCAGAAACTTGTTTGTGATGTGTGCCCTCTACTGACAGAGTTGAACCTTTCTTTTCATAGAGCAGTTTTGAAACACTCTTTTTGTAGAATCTGCAAGAGGATATTTGCATAGCTTTGAGGATTTCGTGGGAAACGGGATTGTCTTCAGGTAAAATCTAGACAGAAGCATTCTCAGAAACTTCTTTGGGATGTTTGCATTCAAGTCACAGAGTAGAACATTCCCTTTGGTAGAGCAGGTTTGAAACCCTCTTTTTGTAGTATCTGGAAGTGGACATTTGGAGCGCTTTCAGGCCCATGTTGGAAAGGGAAATATCTTCCCGTAACAACTAGGCAGAAGCATTCTCAGAAACTTATTTGAGATGTGTGTACTCAACTAAGAGAATTGAACCACCGTTTTGAAGGAGCAGTTTTGAAACACTCTTTTTCTGGAATCTGCAAGAGTATATTTGCCTAGCCTTGAGGATTTCGTTGGAAACGGGATTGTCTTCAGATAAAATCTAGACAGAAGCATTCTCAGAAACTTCTTTGGGATGTTTGCATTCAAGTCACAGTAGTAGAACATTCCCTTTGGTAGAGCAGGTTTGAAACACTCTTTTTTTAGTATATGGAAGTGGACATTTGGAGCGCTTTCAGGCCTACGTTGGAAAAGGAAATATCTTCCCATAACAAATAGACAGAAGCATTCTCAGAAACTAGTTTCTGATGTGTGTCCTCAACTAACACAGTTGTACATTTCTTTATACAGAACAGTTTTGAAACACTCTTTTTGTGGAATCTGCAAGTGGATATTGGGCTAGATTTGAGGATTTCGTTGGAAACGGGATTACATATAAAAAGCAGACAGCAGCATTCTCAGAAAGTTCTTTGTGATGATTGCATTCAAGTCACAGAATTGAACATTCCCTTTCACAGAGCAGGTTTGAAACACTCTTTTTGTAGTGTGTGTAAGTGGACATTTGGAGCGCTTTCCGGCCTAAGGTGAAAAAGGACATATCTTCCCATAAAAACTAGACGGAAGCATTCTCAGAAACTTACTCGGTGATGTGTGTCCTCAACTAAAGGAGTAGAACCTTTCTATTCATAGAGAAGTTTTGAAACGCTCTTTTTGTGGAATCTCCAAGTGGATATTTGGCTAGTTTTGAGGATTTCGTTGGAAGCGGGAATTCATACAAATTGCAGACTGCAGGGTTCTGAGAAACATCTTTGTGATGTTTGTATTCAGGACACAGAGATGAACATTCCCTATCATAGAGCAGGTTGGAATCACTCCTTTTGTAGTATCTGGAAGTGGACATTTGGAGCGCTTTCAGGCCTATGTTGATAAAGGAAATATCTTCCCATAACAACTAGACACAAGCATTCTCAGAAACTTGTTTGTGATGTGTGCCCTCTACTGACAGAGTTGAACCTTTCTTTTCATAGAGCAGTTTTGAAACACTCTTTTTGTAGAATCTGCAAGAGGATATTTGCATAGCTTTGAGGATTTCGTGGGAAACGGGATTGTCTTCAGGTAAAATCTAGAGAGAAGCATTCTCAGAAACTTCTTCGGGATGTTTGCATTCAAGTCACAGAGTAGAACATTCCCTTTGGTAGAGCAGGTTTGAAACACTCTTTTTGTAGTATCTGGAAGTGGACATTTGTTGCGCTTTCAGGCCTATGTTGGAAACGGAAATATCTTCCCGTAACAACTAGGCAGAAGCATTCTCAGAAACTTATTTGAGATGTGTGTACTCAACTAAGAGAATTGAACCACCGTTTTGAAGGAGCAGTTTTGAAACACTCTTTTTCTGGAATCTGCAAGAGTATATTTGCCTAGCCTTGAGGATTTCGTTGGAAACGGGATTGTCTTCAGAGAAAATCTAGACAGAAAGCATTCTCAGAAAACTTCTTTGGGATGTTTGCATTCAAGTCACAGAGTAGAACATTCCCTTTGGTAGAGCAGGTGTGAAACACTCTTTTTTTAGTATATGGAAGTGGACATTTGGAGCGCTTTCAGGCCTACGTTGGAAAAGGAAATATCTTCCCATAACAACTAGACAGAAGCATTCTCAGAAACTAGTTTCTGATGTGTGTCCTCAACTAACACAGTTGAACATTTCTTTAGACAGAACAGTTTTGAAACACTCTTTTTGTGGAATCTGCAAGTGGCTATTTGGCTAGATTTGAGGATTTCGTTGGAAACGGGATTACATATAAAAAGCAGTCAGCAGCATTCTCAGAAAGTTCTTTGTGATGATTGCATTCAAGTCACAGAATTGAACATTCCCTTTCACAGAGCAGGTTTGAAACACTCTTTTTGTAGTGTGTGTAAGTGGACATTTGGAGCGCTTTCCGGCCTAAGGTGAAAAAGGACATATCTTACCATAAAAACCAGACAGAAGCATTCTCAGAAACTTACTCGTGATGTGTGCCCTCAACTAAAGGAGTAGAACCTTTCTTTTCATAGAGAAGTTTTGAAACGCTCTTTTTGTGGAATCTGCAAGTGGATATTTGGCTAGTTTTGAGGATTTCGTTGGAAGCGGGAATTCATACAAATTGCAGACTGCAGCGTTCTGAGAAACATCTTTGTGATGTTTGTATTCAGGACACAGAGTTGAACATTCCCTATCATAGAGCAGGTTGGAATCACTCCTTTTGTAGTATCTGGAAGTGGACATTTGGAGCGCTTTCAGGCCTATGTTGGAAAAGGAAATATCTTCCCATAACAACTAGACAGAAGCATTCTCAGAAACTTATTTGAGATGTGTGTACTCAACTAAGAGAATTGAACCACCGTTTTGAAGGAGCAGTTTTGAAACACTCTTTTTCTGGAATCTGCAAGTGGATATTTGGCTAGCTTTGGGGATTTCGCTGGAAGCGGGAATACATATAAAAAGCACACAGCAGCGTTCTGAGAAACTGCTTTCTGATGTTTGCATTCAAGTCAAAAGTTGAACACTCCCTTTCATAGAGCAGTCCTGAAACACTCCTTTTGTAGTATCTGGAACTGGACTTTTGGAGCGCTTTCAGGGCTAAGGTGAAAAAGGAAATATCTTCCCATAAAAACTGGACAGAAGCATTCTCAGAAACTTGGTTATGCTGTATCTACTCAACTAACAAAGTTGAACCTTTCTTTTGATAGAGCAGTTTTGAAATGGTCTTTTTGTGGAATCTGCAAGTGGATATTTGGCTAGTTTTGAGGATTTCGTTGGAAGCGGGAATTCATACAAATTGCAGACTGCAGCGTTCTGAGAAACATCTTTGTGATGTTTGTATTCAGGACAGAGAGTTGAACATTCCCTATCATAGAGCAGGTTGGAATCACTCCTTTTGTAGTATCTGGAAGTGGACATTTGGAGCGCTTTCTGGCCTATGTTGAAAAAGGAAATATCTTCCCATAACAACTAGACACAAGCATTCTCAGAAACTTGTTTGTGATGTGTGCCCTCTACTGACAGAGTTGAACCTTTCTTTTCATAGAGCAGTTTTGAAACACTCTTTTTGTAGAATCTGCAAGAGGATATTTGCATAGCTTTGAGGATTTCGTGGGAAACGGGATTGTCTTCAGGTAAAATCTAGACAGAAGCATTCTCAGAAACTTCTTTGGGATGTTTGCATTCAAGTCACAGAGTAGAACATTCCCTTTGGTAGAGCAGGTTTGAAACACTCTTTTTGTAGTATCTGGAAGTGGACATTTGGAGCGCTTTCAGGCCTATGTTGGAAAGGGAAATATCTTCCCGTAACAACTAGGCAGAAGCATTCTCAGAAACTTATTTGAGATGTGTGTACTCAACTAAGAGAATTGAACCACCGTTTTGAAGGAGCAGTTTTGAAACACTCTTTTTCTGGAATCTGCAAGAGTATATTTGCCTAGCCTTGAGGATTTCGTTGGAAACGGGATTGTCTTCAGATAAAATCTAGACAGAAGCGTTCTCAGAAACTTCTTTGGGATGTTTGCATTCAAGTCACAGAGTAGAACATTCCCTTTGGTAGAGCAGGTTTGAAACACTCTTTTTTTAGTATATGGAAGTGGACATTTGGAGCACTTTCAGGCCTACGTTGGAAAAGGAAATATCTTCCCATAACAACTAGACAGAAGCATTCTCAGAAACTAGTTTCTGATGTGTGTCCTCAACTAACACAGTTGAACATTTCTTTAGACAGAACAGTTTTGAAACACTCTTTTTGTGGAATCTGCAAGTGGCTATTTGGCTAGATTTGAGGATTTCGTTGGAAACGGGATTACATATAAAAAGCAGTCAGCAGCATTCTCAGAAAGTTCTTTGTGATGATTGCATTCAAGTCACAGAATTGAACATTCCCTTTCACAGAGCAGGTTTGAAACACTCTTTTTGTAGTGTGTGTAAGTGGACATTTGGAGCACTTACCGGCCTAAGGTGAAAAAGGAAATATCTTCCCATAAAAACTAGACAGAAGCATTCTCAGAAACTTACTCGTGATGTGTGTCCTCAACTAAAGGAGTAGAACCTTTGTTTTCATAGAGAAGTTTGGAAACGTTCTTTTTGTGGAATCTGCAAGTGGATATTTGGCTAGTTTGGAGGATTTCGTTGGAAGCGGGAATTCATACAAATTGCAGACTGCAGCGTTCTGAGAAACATCTTTGTGATGTTTGTATTCAGGACACAGAGTTGAACATTCCCTATCATAGAGCAGGTTGGAATCACTCCTTTTGTAGTATCTGGAAGTGGACATTTGGAGCGCTTTCAGGCCTATGTTGGAAAAGGAAATATCTTCCCATAACAACTAGACAGAAGCATTCTCAGAAACTTATTTGAGATGTGTGTACTCAACTAAGAGAATTGAACCACCGTTTTGAAGGAGCAGTTTTGAAACACTCTTTTTCTGGAATCTGCAAGTGGATATTTGGCTAGCTTTGGGGATTTCGCTGGAAGCGGGAATACATATAAAAAGCACACAGCAGCGTTCTGAGTAAACTGCTTTCTGATGTTTGCATTCAAGTCAAAAGTTGAACACTCCCTTTCATAGAGCAGTCCTGAAACACCCCTTTTGTAGTATCTGGAACTGGACTTTTGGAGCGATTTCAGGGCTAAGGTGAAAAAGGAAATATCTTCCCATAAAAACTGGACAGAAGCATTCTCAGAAACTTGTTTATGCTGTATCTACTCAACTAACAAAGTTGAACCTTTCTTTTGATAGAGCAGTTTTGAAATGGTCTTTTTGTGGAATCTGCAAGTGGATATTTGGCTAGTTTTGAGGATTTCGTTGGAAGCGGGAATTCATACAAATTGCAGACTGCAGCGTTCTGAGAAACATCTTTGTGATGTTTGTATTCAGGACACAGAGTTGAACATTCCCTATCATAGAGCAGGTTGGAATCACTCCTTTTGTAGTATCTGGAAGTGGACATTTGGAGCGCTTTCAGGCCTATTTTGGAAAGGGAAATATCTTCCCGTAACAACTATGCAGAAGCATTCTCAGAAACTTGTTTGTGATGTGTGCCCTCTACTGACAGAGTTGAACCTTTCTTTTCATAGAGCAGTTTTGAAACACTCTTTTTGTAGAATCTGCAAGAGGATATTTGCATAGCTTTGAGAATTTCGTGGGAAACGGGATTGTCTTCAGGTAAAATCTAGACAGAAGCATTCTCAGAAACTTCTTTGGGATGTTTGCATTCAAGTCACAGAGCAGAACATTCCCTTTGGTAGAGCAGGTTTGAAACACTCTTTTTGTAGTATCTGGAAGTGGACATTTGGAGCGCTTTCAGGCCTATGTTGGAAAGGGAAATATCTTCCCGTAACAACTAGGCAGAAGCATTCTCAGAAACTTATTTGAGATGTGTGTACTCAACTAAGAGAATTGAACCACCGTTTTGAAGGAGCAGTTTTGAAACACTCTTTTTCTGGAATCTGCAAGAGGATATTTGCCTAGCCTTGAGGATTTCGTTGGAAACGGGATTGTCTTCAGATCAAATCTAGACAGAAGCATTCTCAGAAACTTCTTTGGGATGTTTGCATTCAAGTCACAGAGTAGAACATTCCCTTTGGTAGAGCAGGTGTGAAACACTCTTTTTTTAGTATATGGAAGTGGACATTTGGAGCGCTTTCAGGCCTACGTTGGAAAAGGAAATATCTTCCCATAACAACTAGACAGAAGCATTCTCAGAAACTAGTTTCTGATGTGTGTCCTCAACTAACACAGTTGAACATTTCTTTAGACAGAACAGTTTTGAAACACTCTTTTTGTGGAATCTGCAAGTGGCTATTTGGCTAGATTTGAGGATTTCGTTGGAAACGGGATTACATATAAAAAGCAGTCAGCAGCATTCTCAGAAAGTTCTTTGTGATGATTGCATTCAAGTCACAGAATTGAACATTCCCTTTCACAGAGCAGGTTTGAAACACTCTTTTTGTAGTGTGTGTAAGTGGACATTTGGAGCACTTACCGGCCTAAGGTGAAAAAGGAAATAATCTTCCCATAAAAACTAGACAGAAGCATTCTCAGAAACTTACTCGTGATGTGTGTCCTCAACTAAAGGAGTAGAACCTTTCTATTCATAGAGAAGTTTTGAAACGCTCTTTTTGTGGAATCTCCAAGTGGATATTTGGCTAGTTTTGAGGATTTCGTTGGAAGCGGGAATTCCTACAAATTGCAGACTGCAGCGTTCTGAGAAACATCTTTGTGATGTTTGTATTCAGGACACAGAGATGAACATTCCCTATCATAGAGCATGTTGGAATCACTCCTTTTGTAGTATCTGGAAGTGGACATTTGGAGCGCTTTCAGGCCTATGTTGAAAAAGGAAATATCTTCCCATAACAACTAGACACAAGCATTCTCAGAAACTTATTTGAGATGTGTGTACTCAACTAAGAGAATTGAACCACCGTTTTGAAGGAGCAGTTTTGAAACACTCTTTTTCTGGAATCTGCAAGTGGATATTTGGCTAGCTTTGGGGATTTCGCTGGAAGCGGGAATACATATAAAAAGCACACAGCAGCGTTCTGAGAAACTGCTTTCTGATGTTTGCATTCAAGTCAAAAGTTGAACACTCCCTTTCATAGAGCAGTCTTGAAACACCCCTTTTGTAGTATCTGGAACTGGACTTTTGGAGCGATTTCAGGGCTAAGGTGAAAAAGGAAATATCTTCCCATAAAAACTGGACAGAAGCATTCTCAGAAACTTGTTTATGCTGTATCTACTCAACTAACAAAGTTGAACCTTTCTTTTGATAGAGCAGTTTTGAAATGCTCTTTTTGTGGAATCTGCAAGTGGATATTTGGCTAGTTTTGAGGATTTCGTTGGAAGCGGGAATTCATACAAATTGCAGACTGCAGCGTTCTGAGAAACATCTTTGTGATGTTTGTATTCAGGACACAGAGTTGAACATTCCCTATCATAGAGCAGGTTGGAATCACTCCTTTTGTAGTATCTGGAAGTGGACATTTGGAGCGCTTTCAGGCCTATTTTGGAAAGGGAAATATCTTCCCGTAACAACTATGCAGAAGCATTCTCAGAAACTTGTTGGTGATGTGTTTCCTCTACTGACAGAGTTGAACCTTTCTTTTCATAGAGCAGTTTCGAAACACTCTTTTTGTAGAATCTGCAAGAGGATATTTGCATAGCTCTGAGGATTTCGTGGGAAACGGGATTGTCTTCAGGTAAAATCTAGACAGAAGCATTCTCAGAAACTTCTTTGGGATGTTTGCATTCAAGTCACAGAGTAGAACATTCCCTTTGGTAGAGCAGGTTTGAAACACTCTTTTTGTAGTATCTGGAAGTGGACATTTGGAGCGCTTTCAGGCCTATGTTGGAAAGGGAAATATCTTCCCGTAACAACTAGGCAGAAGCATTCTCAGAAACTTGTTTGTGATGTGTGCCTTCTACTGACACAGTTGAACCTTTCTTTTCATAGAGCACTTTCGAAACACTCTTTTTGTAGAATCTGCAAGAGGATATTTGCATAGCTTTGAGGATTTCGTGGGAAACGGGATTGTCTTCAGGTAAAATCTAGACAGAAGCATTCTCAGAAACTTCTTTGGGATGTTTGCATTCAAGTCACGGAGTAGAACATTCCCTTTGGTAGAGCAGGTTTGAAACACTCTTTTTGTAGTGTGTGTAAGTGGACATTTGGAACGCTTTCAGGCCTACATTGGAAAAGGAAATATCTTCCCATAACAACTAGACAGAAGCATTCTCAGAAACTAGTTTCTGATGTGTGTCCTCAACTAACACAGTTGAACATTTCTTTGGACAGAACAGTTTTCAAACACTCTTTTTGTGGAATCTGCAAGTGGATATTTGGCTAGATTTGAGGATTTCTTTGGAAACGGGATTACATATAAAAAGCAGACAGCAGCATTCTCAGAAACTTCTTTGTGATGATTGCATTCAAGTCACAGAATTGAACATTCCCTTTCACAGAGCAGGTTTGAAACACTCTTTTTGTAGTGTGTGTAAGTGGACATTTGGAGCGCTTTCCGGCCTAAGGTGAACAAGGAAATATCTTCCCATAAAAACTAGACAGAAGCATTCTCAGAAACTTACTCGTGATGTGTGTCCTCAACTAAAGGAGTAGAACCTTTCTTTTCATAGAGAAGTTTTGAAACGCTCTTTTTGTGGACTCTGCAAGTGGATATTTGGCTAGTTTGGAGGATTTCGTTGGAAGCGGGAATTCATACAAATTGCAGACTGCAGCGTTCTGAGAAACATCTTTGTGATGTTTGTATTCAGGACACAGAGTTGAACATTCCCTATCATAGAGCAGGTTGGAATCACTCCTTTTGTAGTATCTGGAAGTGGACATTTGGAGCGCTTTCAGGCCTATGTTGGAAAAGGAAATATCTTCCCATAACAACTAGACAGAAGCATTCTCAGAAACTTATTTGAGATGTGTGTACTCAACTAAGAGAATTGAACCACCGTTTTGAAGGAGCAGTTTTGAAACACTCTTTTTCTGGAATCTGCAAGTGGATATTTGGCTAGCTTTGGGGATTTCGCTGGAAGCGGGAATACATATAAAAAGCACACAGCAGCGTTCTGAGAAACTGCTTTCTGATGTTTGCATTCAAGTCAAAAGTTGAACACTCCCTTTCATAGAGCAGTCTTGAAACACCCCTTTTGTAGTATCTGGAACTGGACTTTTGGAGCGATTTCAGGGCTAAGGTGAAAAAGGAAATATCTTCCCATAAAAACTGGACAGAAGCATTCTCAGAAACTTGGTTATGCTGTATCTACTCAACTAACAAAGTTGAACCTTTCTTTTGATAGAGCAGTTTTGAAATGGTCTTTTTGTGGAATCTGCAAGTGGATATTTGGCTAGTTTTGAGGATTTCGTTGGAAGCGGGAATTCATACAAATTGCAGACTGCAGCGTTCTGAGAAACATCTTTGTGATGTTTGTATTCAGGACAGAGAGTTGAACATTCCCTATCATAGAGCAGGTTGGAATCACTCCTTTTGTAGTATCTGGAAGTGGACATTTGGAGCACTTTCCGGCCTAAGGTGAAAAAGGAAATATCTTCCCATAAAAACTAGACAGAAGCATTCTCAGAAACTTGTTTGTGATGTGTGCCCTCTACTGACAGAGTTGAACCTTTCTTTTCATAGAGCAGTTTTGAAACACTCTTTTTGTAGAATCCGCAAGAGGATATTTGCATAGCTTTGAGGATTTCTTGGGAAACGGGATTGTCTTCAGGTAAAATCTAGACAGAAGCATTCTCAGAAACTTCTTTGGGATGTTTGCATTCAAGTCACAGAGTAGAACATTCCCTTTGGTAGAGCAGGTTTGAAACACTCTTTTTGTAGTATCTGGAAGTGGACATTTGGAGTGCTTTCAGGCCCATGTTGGAAAGGGAAATATCTTCCCGTAACAACTAGGCAGAAGCATTCTCAGAAACTTATTTGAGGATGTGTGTACTCAACTAAGAGAATTGAACCACCATTTTGAAGGAGCAGTTTTGAAACACTCTTTTTCTGGAATCTGCAAGAGTATATTTGCCTAGCCTTGAGGATTTCGTTGGAAACCGGATTGTCTTCAGATAAAATCTAGACAGAAGCATTCTCAGAAACTTCTTTGGGATGTTTGCATTCAAGTCACAGAGTAGAACATTCCCTTTGGTAGAGCAGGTTTGAAACACTCTTTTTTTAGTATATGGAAGTGGACATTTGGAGCGCTTTCAGGCCTACGTTGGAAAAGGAAATATCTTCCCATAACAACTAGACAGAAGCATTCTCAGAAACTAGTTTCTGATGTGTGTCCTCAACTAACACAGTTGAACATTTCTTTAGACAGAACAGTTTTGAAACACTCTTTTTGTGGAATCTGCAAGTGGCTATTTGGCTAGATTTGAGGATTTCGTTGGAAACGGGATTACATATAAAAAGCAGTCAGCAGCATTCTCAGAAAGTTCTTTGTGATGATTGCATTCAAGTCACAGAATTGAACATTCCCTTTCACAGAGCAGGTTTGAAACACTCTTTTTGTAGTGTGTGTAAGTGGACATTTGGAGCGCTTTCCGGCCTAAGGTGAAAAAGGACATATCTTCCCATAAAAACTAGACAGAAGCATTCTCAGAAACTTACTCGTGATGTGTGTCCTCAACTAAAGGAGTAGAACCTTTCTTTTCATAGAGAAGTTTTGAAACGCTCTTTTTGTGGAATCTGCAAGTGGATATTTGGCTAGTTTTGAGGATTTCGTTGGAAGCGGGAATTCATACAAATTGCAGACTGCAGCGTTCTGAGAAACTGCTTTCTGATGTTTGCATTCAAGTCAAAAGTTGAACACTCCCTTTCATAGAGCAGTCCTGAAACACTCCTTTTGTAGTATCTGGAACTGGACTTTTGGAGCGCTTTCAGGGCTAAGGTGAAAAAGGAAATATCTTCCCATAAAAACTGGACAGAAGCATTCTCAGAAACTTGTTTATGCTGTATCTACTCTACTAAAAAAGTTGAACCTTTCTTTTGATAGAGCAGTTTTGAAATGCTCTTTTTGTGGAATCTGCAAGTGGATATTTGGCTAGATTTGAGGATTTCGTTGGAAGCTGGAATACATACAAATTGCAGACTGCAGCGTTCTGAGAAACATCTTTGTGATGTTTGTATTCAGGACACAGAGTTGAACATTCCCTATCATAGAGCAGGTTGGAATCACTCCTTTTGTAGTATCTGGAAGTGGACATTTGGAGCGCTTTCAGGCCTATTTTGGAAAGGGAAATATCTTCCCGTAACAACTATGCAGAAGCATTCTCAGAAACTTGTTTGTGATGTGTGCCCTCTACTGACAGAGTTGAACCTTTCTTTTCATAGAGCAGTTTTGAAACACTCTTTTTGTAGAATCCGCAAGAGGATATTTGCATAGCTTTGAGGATTTCGTGGGAAACGGGATTGTCTTCAGGTAAAATCTAGACAGAAGCATTCTCAGAAACTTCTTTGGGATGTTTGCATTCAAGTCACAGAGTAGAACATTCCCTTTGGTAGAGCAGGTTTGAAACACTCTTTTTGTAGTATCTGGAAGTGGACATTTGGAGCGCTTTCAGGCCCATGTTGGAAAGGGAAATATCTTCCCGTAACAACTAGGCAGAAGCATTCTCAGAAACTTATTTGAGATGTGTGTACTCAACTAAGAGAATTGAACCACCGTTTTGAAGGAGCAGTTTTGAAACACTCTTTTTCTGGAATCTGCAAGAGGATATTTGCCTAGCCTTGAGGATTTCGTTGGAAAAGGGATTGTCTTCAGATCAAATCTAGACAGAAGCATTCTCAGAAACTTCTTTGGGATGTTTGCATTCAAGTCACAGAGTAGAACATTCCCTTTGGTAGAGCAGGTTTGAAACACTCTTTTTTTAGTATATGGAAGTGGACATTTGGAGCGCTTTCAGGCCTACGTTGGAAAAGGAAATATCTTCCCATAACAACTAGACAGAAGCATTCTCAGAAACTAGTTTCTGATGTGTGTCCTCAACTAACACAGTTGAACATTTCTTTAGACAGAACAGTTTTGAAACACTCTTTTTGTGGAATCTGCAAGTGGCTATTTGGCTAGATTTGAGGATTTCGTTGGAAACGGGATTACATATAAAAAGCAGTCAGCAGCATTCTCAGAAAGTTCTTTGTGATGATTGCATTCAAGTCACAGAATTGAACATTCCCTTTCACAGAGCAGGTTTGAAACACTCTTTTTGTAGTGTGTGTAAGTGGACATTTGGAGCACTTTCCGGCCTAAGGTGAAAAAGGGAATATCTTCCCATAAAAACTAGACAGAAGCATTCTCAGAAACTTACTCGTGATGTGTGTCCTCAACTAAAGGAGTAGAACCTTTCTATTCATAGAGAAGTTTTGAAACGCTCTTTTTGTGGAATCTCCAAGTGGATATTTGGCTAGTTTTGAGGATTTCGTTGGAAGCGGGAATTCATACAAATTGCAGACTGCAGCGTTCTGAGAAACTGCTTTCTGATGTTTGCATTCAAGTCAAAAGTTGAACACTCCCTTTCATAGGGCAGTCCTGAAACACCCCTTTTGTAGTATCTGGAACTGGACTTTTGGAGCGATTTCAGGGCTAAGGTGAAAAAGGAAATATCTTCCCATAAAAACTGGACAGAAGCATTCTCAGAAAGTTATTTGAGATGGGTGTACTCAACTAAGAGAATTGAACCACCGTTTTCAAGGAGCAGTTTTGAAACGCTCTTTTTCTGGAATCTGCAAGTGGATATTTGGCTAGCTTTGGGGATTTCGCTGGAAGCGGGAATACATATAAAAAACACACAGCAGCGTTCTGAGAAACTGCTTTCTGATGTTTGCATTCAAGTCAAAAGTTGAACACTCCCTTTCATAGAGCAGTCTTGAAACACCCCTTTTGTAGTATCTGGAACTGGACTTTTGGAGCGATTTCAGGGCTAAGGTGAAAAAGGAAATATCTTCCCATAAAAACTGGACAGAAGCATTCTCAGAAACTTGTTTATGCTGTATCTACTCTACTAACAAAGTTGAACCTTTCTTTTGATAGAGCAGTTTTGAAATGCTCTTTTTGTGGAATCTGCAAGTGGATATTTGGCTAGTTTTGAGGATTTCGTTGGAAGCTGGAATTCATGCAAATTGCAGACTGCAGCGTTCTGAGAAACATCTTTGTGATGTTTGTATTCAGGACAGAGAGTTGAACATTCCCTATCATAGAGCAGGTTGGAATCACTCCTTTTGTAGTATCTGGAAGTGGACATTTGGAGCGCTTTCTGGCCTATGTTGAAAAAGGAAATATCTTCCCATAACAACTAGACACAAGCATTCTCAGAAACTTGTTTGTGATGTGTGCCCTCTACTGACAGAGTTGAACCTTTCTTTTCATAGAGCAGTTTTGAAACACTCTTTTTGTAGAATCTGCAAGAGGATATTTGCATAGCTTTGAGGATTTCGTGGGAAACGGGATTGTCTTCAGGTAAAATCTAGACAGAAGCATTCTCAGAAACTTCTTTGGGATGTTTGCATTCAAGTCACAGAGTAGAACATTCCCTTTGGTAGAGCAGGTTTGAAACACTCTTTTTGTAGTATCTGGAAGTGGACATTTGGAGCGCTTTCAGGCCCATGTTGGAAAGGGAAATATCTTCCCGTAACAACTAGGCAGAAGCATTCTCAGAAACTTATTTGAGATGTGTGTACTCAACTAAGAGAATTGAACCACCGTTTTGAAGGAGCAGTTTTGAAACACTCTTTTTCTGGAATCTGCAAGAGTATATCTTCCTAGCTTTGTGGATTTCGTTGGAAACGGGATTGTCTTCAGATAAAATCTAGACAGAAGCATTCTCAGAAACTTCTTTGGGATGTTTGCATTCAAGTCACAGAGTAGAACATTCCCTTTGGTAGAGCAGGTTTGAAACACTCTTTTTTTAGTATATGGAAGTAGACATTTGGAGCGCTTTCAGGCCTACGTTGGAAAAGGAAATATCTTCCCATAACAATTAGACAGAAGCATTCTCAGAAACTAGTTTCTGATGTGTGTCCTCAACTAACACAGTTGAACATTTCTTTAGACAGAACAGTTTTGAAACTCTCTTTTTGTGGAATCTGCAAGTGGCTATTTGGCTAGATTTGAGGATTTCGTTGGAAACGGGATTACATATAAAAAGCAGACAGCAGCATTCTCAGAACGTTCTTTGTGATGATTGCATTCAAGTCACAGAATTGAACATTCCCTTTCACAGAGCAGGTTTGAAAAACTCTTTTTGTAGTGTGTGTAAGTGGACATTTGGAGCACTTTCCGGCCTAAGGTGAAAAAGGAAATATCTTCCCATAAAAACTAGACAGAAGCATTCTCAGAAACTTACTCGTGATGTGTGTCCTCAACTAAAGGAGTAGAACCTTTCTTTTCATAGAGAAGTTTTGAAACGCTCTTTTTGTGGAATCTGCAAGTGGATATTTGGCTAGTTTTGAGGATTTCGTTGGAAGCGGGAATTCATACAAATTGCAGACTGCAGCATTCTCAGAAACTTGTTTATGCTGTATCTACTCAATTAACAAAGTTGAACCTTTCTTTTGATAGAGCAGTTTTGAAATGCTCTTTTTGTGGAATCTGCAAGTGGATATTTGGCTAGTTTTGAGGATTTCGTTGGAAGCGGGAATTCATACAAATTGCAGACTGCAGCGTTCTGAGAAACATCTTTGTGATGTTTGTATTCAGGACAGAGAGTTGAACATTCCCTATCATAGAGCAGGTTGGAATCACTCCTTTTGTAGTATCTGGAAGTGGACATTTGGAGCGCTTTCAGGCCTATGTTGAAAAAGGAAATATCTTCCCATAACAACTAGACACAAGCATTCTCAGAAACTTGTTTGTGATGTGTGCCCTCTACTGACAGAGTTGAACCTTTCTTTTCATAGAGCAGTTTTGAAACACTCTTTTTGTAGAATCTGCAAGAGGATATTTGCATAGCTTTGAGGATTTCGTGGGAAACGGGATTGTCTTCAGGTAAAATCTAGACAGAAGCATTCTCAGAAACTTCTTTGGGATGTTTGCATTCAAGTCACAGAGTAGAACATTCCCTTTGGTAGAGCAGGTTTGAAACACTCTTTTTGTAGTATCTGGAAGTGGACATTTGGAGCGCTTTCAGGCCCATGTTGGAAAGGGAAATATCTTCCCGTAACAACTAGGCAGAAGCATTCTCAGAAACTTATTTGAGATGTGTGTACTCAACTAAGAGAATTGAACCACCGTTTTGAAGGAGCAGTTTTGAAACACTCTTTTTCTGGAATCTGCAAGAGTATATTTGCCTAGCCTTGAGGATTTCGTTGGAAACGGGATTGTCTTCAGAGAAAATCTAGACAGAAGCATTCTCAGAAACTTCTTTGGGATGTTTGCATTCAAGTCACAGAGTAGAACATTCCCTTTGGTAGAGCAGGTTTGAAACACTCTTTTTTTAGTATATGGAAGTGGACATTTTGATCGCTTTCAGGCCTACGTTGGAAAAGGAAATATCTTCCCATAACAACTAGACAGAAGCATTCTCAGAAACTAGTTTCTGATGTGTGTCCTCAACTAACACAGTTGAACTTTTCTTTAGACAGAACAGTTTTGAAACACTCTTTTTGTGGAATCTGCAAGTGGATATTTGGCTAGATTTGAGGATTTCGTTGGAAACGGGATTACATATAAAAAGCAGACAGCAGCATTCTCAGAAAGTTCTTTGTGATGATTGCATTCAAGTCACAGAATTGAACATTCCCTTTCACAGAGCAGGTTTGAAACACTCTTTTTGTAGTGTGTGTAAGTGGACATTTGGAGCGCTTTCCGGCCTAAGGTGAAAAAGGAAATATCTTCCCATAAAAACTAGACAGAAGCATTCTCAGAAACTTACTCGTGATGTGTGTCCTCAACTAAAGGAGTAGAACCTTTCTTTTCATAGAGAAGTTTTGAAACGCTCTTTTTGTGGAATCTGCAAGTGGATATTTGGCTAGTTTTGAGGATTTCGTTGGAAGCGGGAATTCATACAAATTGCAGACTGCAGCATTCTCAGAAACTTGTTTATGCTGTATCTACTCAGCTAACAAAGTTGAACCTTTCTTTTGATAGAGCAGTTTTGAAATGCTCTTTTTGTGGAGTCTGCAAGTGGATATTTGGTTAGTTTTGAGGATTTCTTTGGAAGCGGGAATTCATACAAATTGCAGACTGCAGCGTTCTGAGAAACATCTTTGTGATGTTTGTATTCAGGACACAGAGTTGAACATTCCCTATCATAGAGCAGGTTGGAATCACTCCTTTTGTAGTATCTGGAAGTGGACATTTGGAGCGCTTTCAGGCCTATGTTGAAAAAGGAAATATCTTCCCATAACAAGTAGACACAAGCATTCTCAGAAACTTGTTTGTGATGTGTGCCCTCTACTGACAGAGTTGAACCTTTCTTTTCATAGAGCAGTTTTGAAACACTCTTTTTGTAGAATCTGCAAGAGGATATTTGCATAGCTTTGAGGATTTCGTGGGAAACGGGATTGTCTTCAGGTAAAATCTAGACAGAAGCATTCTCAGAAACTTCTTTGGGATGTTTGCATTCAAGTCACAGAGTAGAACATTCCCTTTGGTAGAGCAGGTTTGAAACACTCTTTTTGTAGTATCTGGAAGTGGACATTTGGAGCGCTTTCAGGCCTATGTTGGAAAGGGAAATATCTTCCCGTAACAACTAGGCAGAAGCATTCTCAGAAACTTATTTGAGATGTGTGTACTCAACTAAGAGAATTGAACCACCGTTTTGAAGGAGCAGTTTGGAACACTCTTTTTCTGGAATCTGCAAGAGGATATTTGCCTAGCCTTGAGGATTTCGTTGGAAACGGGATTGTCTTCAGATCAAATCTAGACAGACGCATTCTCAGAAACTTCTTTGGGATGTTTGCATTCAAGTCACAGAGTAGAACATTCCCTTTGGTAGAGCAGGTTTGAAACACTCTTTTTTTAGTATATGGAAGTGGACATTTGGAGCGCTTTCAGGCCTACTTTGGAAAAGGAAATATCTTCCCATAACAACTAGACAGAAGCATTCTCAGAAACTAGTTTCTGATGTGTGTCCTCAACTAACACAGTTGAACATTTCTTTAGACAGAACAGTTTTGAAACACTCTTTTTGTGGAATCTGCAAGTGGCTATTTGGCTAGATTTGAGGATTTCGTTGGAAACGGGATTACATATAAAAAGCAGACAGCAGCATTCTCAGAAAGTTCTTTGTGATGATTGCATTCAAGTCACAGAATTGAACATTCCCTTTCACAGAGCAGGTTTGAAACACTCTTTTTGTAGTGTGTGTAAGTGGACATTTGGAGCACTTTCCGGCCTAAGGTGAAAAAGGAAATATCTTCCCTTAAAAACTAGACAGAAGCATTCTCAGAAACTTACTCGTGATGTGTGTCCTCAACTAAAGAAGTAGAACCTTTCTTTTCATAGAGAAGTTTTGAAACGCTCTTTTTGTGGACTCTGCAAGTGGATATTTGGCTAGTTTGGAGGATTTCGTTGGAAGCGGGAATTCATACAAATTACAGACTGCAGCGTTCTGAGAAACATCTTTGTGATGTTTGTATTCAGGACACAGAGTTGAACATTCCCTATCATAGAGCAGGTTTGAATCACTCCTTTTGTAGTATCTGGAAGTGGACATTTGGAGCGCTTTCAGGCCTATGTTGGAAAAGGAAATATCTTCCCATAACAACTAGACAGAAGCATTCTCAGAAACTTATTTGAGATGTGTGTACTCAACTAAGAGAATTGAACCACCGTTTTGAAGGAGCAGTTTTGAAACTCTCTTTTTCTGGAATCTGCAAGTGGATATTTGGCTAGCTTTGGGGATTTCGCTGGAAGCGGGAATACATATAAAAAGCACACAGCAGCGTTCTGAGAAACTGCTTTCTGATGTTTGCATTCAAGTCAAAAGTTGAACACTCCCTTTCATAGAGCAGTCCTGAAACACCCCTTTTGTAGTATCTGGAACTGGACTTTTGGAGCGATTTCAGGGCTAAGGTGAAAAAGGAAATATCTTCCCATAAAAACTGGACAGAAGCATTCTCAGAAACTTGTTTATGCTGTATCTACTCAACTAACAAAGTTGAACCTTTCTTTTGATAGAGCAGTTTTGAAATGGTCTTTTTGTGGAATCTGCAAGTGGATATTTGGCTAGTTTTGAGGATTTCGTTGGAAGCGGGAATTCATACAAATTGCAGACTGCAGCGTTATGAGAAACATCTTTGTGATGTTTGTATTCAGGACACAGAGTTGAACATTCCCTATCATAGAGCAGGTTGGAATCACTCCTTTTGTAGTATCTGGAAGTGGACATTTGGAGCGCTTTCAGGCCTATTTTGGACAGGGAAATATCTTCCCATAACAACTATGCAGAAGCATTCTCAGAAACTTGTTTGTGATGTGTGCCCTCTACTGACAGAGTTGAACCTTTCTTTTCATAGAGCAGTTTTGAAACACTCTTTTTGTAGAATCTGCAACAGGATATTTGCATAGCTTTGAGGATTTCGTGGGAAACGGGATTGTCTTCAGGTAAAATCTAGACAGAAGCATTCTCAGAAACTTCTTTGGGATGTTTGCATTCAAGACACAGAGTAGAACATTCAGTTTGGTAGAGCAGGTTTGAAACACTCTTTTTGTAGTATCTGGAAGTGGACATTTGGAGCGCTTTCAGGCCCATGTTGGAAAGGGAAATATCTTCCCGTAACAACTAGGCAGAAGCATTCTCAGAAACTTATTTGAGATGTGTGTACTCAACTAAGAGAATTGAACCACCGTTTTGAAGGAGCAGTTTTGAAACACTCTTTTTCTGGAATCTGCAAGTGGATATTTGGCTAGCTTTGGGGATTTCGCTGGAAGCGGGAATACATATAAAAAGCACACAGCAGCGTTCTGAGAAACTGCTTTCTGATGTTTGCATTCAAGTCAAAAGTTGAACACTCCCTTTCATAGAGCAGTCTTGAAACACCCCTTTTGTAGTATCTGGAACTGGACTTTTGGAGCGATTTCAGGGCTAAGGTGAAAAAGGAAATATCTTCCCATAAAAACTGGACAGAAGCATTCTCAGAAACTTGTTTATGCTGTATCTACTCTACTAACAAAGTTGAACCTTTCTTTTGATAGAGCAGTTTTGAAATGCTCTTTTTGTGGAATCTGCAAGTGGATATTTGGCTAGATTTGAGGATTTCGTTGGAAGCGGGAATTCATACAAATTGCAGACTGCAGCGTTCTGAGAAACATCTTTGTGATGTTTGTATTCAGGACAGAGAGTTGAACATTCCCTATCATAGAGCAGGTTGGAATCACTCCTTTTGTAGTATCTGGAAGTGGACATTTGGAGCGCTTTCTGGCCTATGTTGAAAAAGGAAATATCTTCCCATAACAACTAGACACAAGCATTCTCAGAAACTTGTTTGTGATGTGTGCCCTCTACTGACACAGTTGAACCTTTCTTTTCATAGAGCACTTTCGAAACACTCTTTTTGTAGAATCTGCAAGAGGATATTGGCATAGCTTTGAGGATTTCGTGGGAAACGGGATTGTCTTCAGATAAAATCTAGACAGAAAGCATTCTCAGAAACTTCTTTGGGATGTTTGCATTCAAGTCACAGAGTAGAACATTCCCTTTGGTAGAGCAGGTTTGAAACACTCTTTTTGTAGTGTCTGGAAGTGGACATTTGGAGCGCTTTCAGGCCTATGTTGGAAAGGGAAATATCTTCCCGTAACAACTAGGCAGAGCATTCTCAGAAACTTATTTGAGATGTGTGTACTCAACTAAGAGAATTGAACCACCGTTTTGAAGGAGCAGTTTTGAAACACTCTTTTTCTGGAATCTGCAAGAGTATATTTGCCTAGCCTTGAGGATTTCGTTGGAAACGGGATTGTCTTCAGAGAAAATCTAGACAGAAGCATTCTCAGAAACTTCTTTGGGATGTTTGCATTCAAGTCACAGAGTAGAACATTCCCTTTGGTAGAGCAGGTTTGAAACACTCTTTTTTTAGTATATGGAAGTGGACATTTGGAGCGCTTTCAGGCCTACGTTGGAAAAGGAAATATCTTCCCATAACAACTAGACAGAAGCATTCTCAGAAACTAGTTTCTGATGTGTGTCCTCAACTAACACAGTTGAACATTTCTTTAGACAGAACAGTTTTGAAACACTCTTTTTGTGGAATCTGCAAGTGGCTATTTGGCTAGATTTGAGGATTTCGTTGGAAACGGGATTACATATAAAAAGCAGACAGCAGCATTCTCAGAAAGTTCTTTGTGATGATTGCATTCAAGTCACAGAATTGAACATTCCCTTTCACAGAGCAGGTTTGAAACACTCTTTTTGTAGTGTGTGTAAGTGGACATTTGGAGCACTTACCGGCCTAAGGTGAAAAAGGAAATATCTTCCCATAAAAACTAGACAGAAGCATTCTCAGAAACTTACTCGTGATGTGTGTACTCAAGTAAAGGAGTAGAAACTTTCTTTTCATAGAGAAGTTTTGAAACGCTCTTTTTGTGGAATCTGCAAGTGGATATTTGGCTAGTTTTGAGGATTTCGTTGGAAGCGGGAATTCATCCAAATTGCAGACTGCAGCGTTCTGAGAAACATCTTTGTGATGTTTGTATTCAGGACACAGAGTTGAACATTCCCTATCACAGAGCAGGTTTGAATCACTCCTTTTGTAGTATCTGGAAGTGGATATTTGGAGCGCTTTCAGGCCTATGTTGGAAAAGGAAATATCTTCCCATAACAAATAGACAGAAGCATTCTCAGAAACTTATTTGAGATGTGTGTACTCAACTAAGAGAATTGAACCACCGTTTTGAAGGAGCAGTTTTGAAACACTCTTTTTCTGGAATCTGCAAGTGGATATCTGGCTAGCTTTGGGGATTTCGCTGGAAGCGGGAATACATATAAAAAGCACACAGCAGCGTTCTGAGAAACTGCTTTCTGATGTTTGCATTCAAGTCAAAAGTTGAACACTCCCTTTCATAGAGCAGTCTTGAAACACCCCTTTTGTAGTATCTGGAACTGGACTTTTGGAGCGATTTCAGGGCTAAGGTGAAAAAGGAAATATCTTCCCATAAAAACTGGACAGAAGCATTCTCAGAAACTTGTTTATGCTGTATCTACTCAACTAACAAAGTTGAACCTTTCTTTTGATAGAGCAGTTTTGAAATGGTCTTTTTGTGGAATCTGCAAGTGGATATTTGGCTAGTTTTGAGGATTTCGTTGGAAGCGGGAATTCATACAAATTGCAGACTGCAGCGTTCTGAGAAACATCTTTGTGATGTTTGTATTCAGGACACAGAGATGAACATTCCCTATCATAGAGCAGGTTGGAATCACTCCTTTTGTAGTATCTGGAAGTGGACATTTGGAGCGCTTTCAGGCCTATGTTGAAAAAGGAAATATCTTCCCATAACAACTAGACACAAGCATTCTCAGAAACTTGTTTGTGATGTGTGCCCTCTACTGACAGAGTTGAACGTTTCTGTTCATAGAGCAGTTTTGAAACACTCTTTTTGTAGAATCCGCAAGAGGATATTTGCATACCTTTGAGGATTTCGTGGGAAACGGGATTGTCTTCAGGTAAAATCTAGACAGAAGCATTCTCAGAAACTTCTTTGGGATGTTTGCATTCAAGTCACAGAGTAGAACATTCCCTTTGGTAGAGCAGGTTTGAAACACTCTTTTTGTAGTATCTGGAAGTGGACATTTGGAGCGCTTTCAGGCCCATGTTGGAAAGGGAAATATCTTCCCGTAACAACTAGGCAGAAGCATTCTCAGAAACTTATTTGAGATGGGTGTACTCAACTAAGAGAATTGAACCACCCTTTTCAAGGAGCAGTTTTGAAACACTCTTTTTCTGGAATCTGCAAGAGTATATTTGCCTAGCTTTGAGGATTTCGTTGGAAACGGGATTGTCTTCAGATAAAATCTAGACAGAAGCATTCTCAGAAACTTCTTTGGGATGTTTGCATTCAAGTCACAGAGTAGAACATTCCCTTTGGTAGAGCAGGTTTGAAACACTCTTTTTTTAGTATATGGAAGTGGACATTTGGAGCGCTTTCAGGCCTACGTTGGAAAAGGAAATATCTTCCCATAACAACTAGACAGAAGCATTCTCAGAAACTAGATTCTGATGTGTGTCCTCAACTAACACAGTTGAACATTTCTTTAGACAGAACAGTTTTGAAACACTCTTTTTGTGGAATTTGCAAGTGGATATTTGGCTAGATTTGAGCATTTCGTTGGAAACGGGATTACATATAAAAAGCAGACAGCGGCATTCTCAGAAAGTTCTTTGTGATGATTGCATTCAAGTCACAGAATTGAACATTCCCTTTCACAGAGCAGATTTGAAACACTCTTTTTGTAGTGTGTGTAAGTGGACATTTGGAGCGCTTTCCGGCCTAAGGTGAAAAAGGAAATATCTTCCCATAAAAACTAGACAGAAGCATTCTCAGAAACTTACTCGTGATGTGTGTCCTCAACTAAAGGAGTAGAACCTTTCTTTTCATAGAGAAGTTTTGAAACGCTCTTTTTGTGGAATCTGCAAGTGGATATTTGGCTAGTTTTGAGGATTTCGTTGGAAGCGGGAATTCATACAAATTGCAGACTGCAGCGTTCCGAGGAAACATCTTTGTGATGTTTGTATTCAGGACACAGAGTTGAACATTCCCTATCATAGAGCAGGTTGGAATCACTCCTTTTGTAGTATCTGAAAGTGGACATTTGGAGCGCTTTCAGGCCTATGTTGGAAAAGGAAATATCTTCCCATAACAACTAGACAGAAGCATTCTCAGAAACTTATTTGAGATGTGTGTACTCAACTAAGAGAATTGAACCACCGTTTTGAAGGAGCAGTTTTGAAACTCTCTTTTTCTGGAATCTGCAAGTGGATATTTGGCTAGCTTTGGGGATTTCGCTGGAAGCGGGAATACATATAAAAAGCACACAGCAGCGTTCTGAGAAACTGCTTTCTGATGTTTGCATTCAAGTCAAAAGTTGAACACTCCCTTTCATAGAGCAGTCCTGAAACACCCCTTTTGTAGTATCTGGAACTGGACTTTTGGAGCGATTTCAGGGCTAAGGTGAAAAAGGAAATATCTTCCCATAAAAACTGGACAGAAGCATTCTCAGAAACTTGTTTATGCTGTATCTACTCAACTAACAAAGTTGAACCTTTCTTTTGATAGAGCAGTTTTGAAATGGTCTTTTTGTGGAATCTGCAAGTGGATATTTGGCTAGTTTTGAGGATTTCGTTGGAAGCGGGAATTCATACAAATTGCAGACTGCAGCGTTCTGAGAAACATCTTTGTGATGTTTGTATTCAGGACACAGAGTTGAACATTCCCTATCATAGAGCAGGTTGGAATCACTCCTTTTGTAGTATCTGGAAGTGGACATTTGGAGCGCTTTCAGGCCTATTTTGGAAAGGGAAATATCTTCCCGTAACAACTATGCAGAAGCATTCTCAGAAACTTGTTTGTGATGTGTGCCCTCTACTGACAGAGTTGAACCTTTCTTTTCATAGAGCAGTTTTGAAACACTCTTTTTGTAGAATCTGCAAGAGGATATTTGCATAGCTTTGAGGATTTCGTGGGAAACGGGATTGTCTTCAGGTAAAATCTAGACAGAAGCATTCTCAGAAACTTCTTTGGGATGTTTGCATTCAAGTCACAGAGTAGAACATTCCCTTTGGTAGAGCAGGTTTGAAACACTCTTTTTGTAGTATCTGGAAGTGGACATTTGGAGCGCTTTCAGGCCCATGTTGGAAAGGGAAATATCTTCCCGTAACAACTAGGCAGAAGCATTCTCAGAAACTTATTTGAGATGTGTGTACTCAAGTAAGAGAATTGAACCACCGTTTTGAAGGAGCAGTTTTGAAACACTCTTTTTCTGGAATCTGCAAGAGGATATTTGCCTAGCCTTGATGATTTCGTTGGAAACGGGATTGTCTTCAGATCAAATCTAGACAGAAGCATTCTCAGAAACTTCTTTGGGATGTTTGCATTCAAGTCACAGAGTAGAACATTCCCTTTGGTAGAGCAGGTTTGAAACACTCTTTTTTTAGTATATGGAAGTGGACATTTGGAGCGCTTTCAGGCCTACGTTGGAAAAGGAAATATCTTCCCATAACAACTAGACAGAAGCATTCTCAGAAACTAGTTTCTGATGTGTGTCCTCAACTAACACAGTTGAACATTTCTTTAGACAGAACAGTTTTGAAACACTCTTTTTGTGGAATCTGCAAGTGGCTATTTGGCTAGATTTGAGGATTTCGTTGGAAACGGGATTACATATAAAAAGCAGACAGCAGCATTCTCAGAAAGTTCTTTGTGATGATTGCATTCAAGTCACAGAATTGAACATTCCCTTTCACAGAGCAGGTTTGAAACACTCTTTTTGTAGTGTGTGTAAGTGGACATTTGGAGCACTTACCGGCCTAAGGTGAAAAAGGAAATATCTTCCCATAAAAACTAGACAGAAGCATTCTCAGAAACTTACTCGTGATGTGTGTCCTCAACTAAAGGAGTAGAACCTTTCTTTTCATAGAGAAGTTTTGAAACGCTCTTTTTGTGGAATCTGCAAGTGGATATTTGGCTAGTTTTGAGGATTTCGTTGGAAGCGGGAATTCATACAAATTGCAGACTGCAGCGTTCTGAGAAACATCTTTGTGATGTTTGTATTCAGGACACAGAGTTGAACATTCCCTATCATAGAGCAGGTTTGAATCACTCCTTTTGTAGTATCTGGAAGTGGACATTTGGAGCGCTTTCAGGCCTATGTTGGAAAAGGAAATATCTTCCCATAACAACTAGACAGAAGCATTCTCAGAAACTTATTTGAGATGTGTGTACTCAACTAAGAGAATTGAACCACCGTTTTGAAGGAGCAGTTTTGAAACACTCTTTTTCTGGAATCTGCAAGTGGATATTTGGCTAGCTTTGGGGATTTCGCTGGAAGCGGGAATACATATAAAAAGCACACAGCAGCGTTCTGAGAAACTGCTTTCTGATGTTTGCATTCAAGTCAAAAGTTGAACACTCCCTTTCATAGTGCAGTCCTGAAACACTCCTTTTGTAGTATCTGGAACTGGACTTTTGGAGCGCTTTCAGGGCTAAGGTGAAAAAGGAAATATCTTCCCATAAAAACTGGACAGAAGCATTCTCAGAAACTTGTTTATGCTGTATCTACTCAACTAACAAAGTTGAACCTTTCTTTTGATAGAGCAGTTTTGAAATGGTCTTTTTGTGGAATCTGCAAGTGGATATTTGGCTAGTTTTGAGGATTTCGTTGGAAGCGGGAATTCATACAAATTGCAGACTGCAGCGTTCTGAGAAACATCTTTGTGATGTTTGTATTCAGGACAGAGAGTTGAACATTCCCTATCATAGAGCAGGTTGGAATCACTCCTTTTGTAGTATCTGGAAGTGGACATTTGGAGCGCTTTCTGGCCTATGTTGAAAAAGGAAATATCTTCCCATAACAACTAGACACAAGCATTCTCAGAAACTTGTTTGTGATGTGTGCCCTCTACTGACAGAGTTGAACCTTTCTTTTCATAGAGCAGTTTTGAAACACTCTTTTTGTAGAATCTGCAAGAGGATATTTGCATAGCTTTGAGGATTTCGTGGGAAACGGGATTGTCTTCAGGTAAAATCTAGACAGAAGCATTCTCAGAAACTTCTTTGGGATGTTTGCATTCAAGTCACAGAGTAGAACATTCCCTTTGGTAGAGCAGGTTTGAAACACTCTTTTTGTAGTATCTGGAAGTGGACATTTGGAGCGCTTTCAGGCCTATGTTGGAAAGGGAAATATCTTCCCGTAACAACTAGGCAGATAGCATTCTCAGAAAACTTATTTGAGATGTGTGTACTCAACTAAGAGAATTGAACCACCGTTTTGAAGGAGCAGTTTTGAAACACTCTTTTTCTGGAATCTGCAAGAGGATATTTGCCTAGCCTTGAGGATTTCGTTGGAAACAGGATTGTCTTCAGATCAAATCTAGACAGAAGCATTCTCAGAAACTTCTTTGGGATGTTTGCATTCAAGTCACAGAGTAGAACATTCCCTTTGGTAGAGCAGGTTTGAAACACTCTTTTTTTAGTATATGGAAGTGGACATTTGGAGCGCTTTCAGGCCTACGTTGGAAAAGGAAATATCTTCCCATAACAACTAGACAGAAGCATTCTCAGAAACTAGTTTCTGATGTGTGTCCTCAACTAACACAGTTGAACATTTCTTTAGACAGAACAGTTTTGAAACTCTCTTTTTGTGGAATCTGCAAGTGGCTATTTGGCTAGATTTGAGGATTTCGTTGGAAACGGGATTACATATAAAAAGCAGACAGCAGCATTCTCAGAACGTTCTTTGTGATGATTGCATTCAAGTCACAGAATTGAACATTCCCTTTCACAGAGCAGTTTTGAAACACTCTTTTTGTAGTGTGTGTAAGTGGACATTTGGAGCACTTTCCGGCCTAAGGTGAAAAAGGAAATATCTTCCCATAAAAACTAGACAGAAGCATTCTCAGAAACTTACTCGTGATGTGTGTCCTCAACTAAAGGAGTAGAACCTTTCTTTTCATAGAGAAGTTTTGAAACGCTCTTTTTGTGGAATCTGCAAGTGGATATTTGGCTAGTTTGGAGGATTTCGTTGGAAGCGGGAATTCATACAAATTGCAGACTGCAGCGTTCTGAGAAACATCTTTGTGATGTTTGTATTCAGGACACAGAGTTGAACATTCCCTATCATAGAGCAGGTTGGAATCACTCCTTTTGTAGTATCTGGAAGTGGACATTTGGAGCGCTTTCAGGCCTACGTTGGAAAAGGAAATATCTTCCCATAACAACTAGACAGAAGCATTCTCAGAAACTAGTTTCTGATGTGTGTCCTCAACTAACACAGTTGAACATTTCTTTAGACAGAACAGTTTTGAAACACTCTTTTTGTGGAATCTGCAAGTGGCTATTTGGCTAGATTTGAGGATTTCGTTGGAAACGGGATTACATATAAAAAGCAGACAGCAGCATTCTCAGAAAGTTCTTTGTGATGATTGCATTCAAGTCACAGAATTGAACATTCCCTTTCACAGAGCAGGTTTGAAACACTCTTTTTGTAGTGTGTGTAAGTGGACATTTGGAGCGCTTTCCGGCCTAAGGTGAAAAAGGAAATATCTTCCCATAAAAACTAGACAGAAGCATTCTCAGAAACTTACTCGTGATGTGTGTCCTCAACTAAAGGAGTAGAACATTTCTATTCATAGAGAAGTTTTGAAACGCTCTTTTTGTGGAATCTCCAAGTGGATATTTGGCTAGTTTTGAGGATTTCGTTGGAAGCGGGAATTCATACAAATTGCAGACTGCAGCGTTCTGAGAAACTGCTTTCTGATGTTTGCATTCAAGTCAAAAGTTGAACACTCCCTTTCATAGTGCAGTCCTGAAACACTCCTTTTGTAGTATCTGGAACTGGACTTTTGGAGCGCTTTCAGGGCTAAGGTGAAAAAGGAAATATCTTCCCATAAAAACTGGACAGAAGCATTCTCAGAAACTTGTTTATGCTGTATCTACTCAACTAACAAAGTTGAACCTTTCTTTTGATAGAGCAGTTTTGAAATGCTCTTTTTGTGGAATCTGCAAGTGGATATTTGGCTAGTTTTGAGGATTTCGTTGGAAGCGGGAATTCATACAAATTTCAGACTGCAGCGTTCTGAGAAACATCTTTGTGATGTTTGTATTCAGGACAGAGAGTTGAACATTCCCTATCATAGAGCAGGTTGGAATCACTCCTTTTGTAGTATCTGGAAGTGGACATTTGGAGCACTTTCCGGCCTAAGGTGAAAAAGGAAATATCTTCCCATAACAACTAGACACAAGCATTCTCAGAAACTTGTTTGTGATGTGTGCCCTCTACTGACAGAGTTGAACCTTTCTTTTCATAGAGCAGTTTTGAAACACTCTTTTTGTAGAATCTGCAAGAGGATATTTGCATAGCTTTGAGGATTTCGTGGGAAACGGGATTGTCTTCAGGTAAAATCTAGACAGAAGCATTCTCAGAAAATTCTTCGGGATGTTTGCATTCAAGTCACAGAGTAGAACATTCCCTTTGGTA
Source organism: Homo sapiens (assembly GCF_000001405.40). Lineage (NCBI taxonomy): Eukaryota > Metazoa > Chordata > Mammalia > Primates > Hominidae > Homo > Homo sapiens. The sequence goes on from NC_000018.10 coordinate 20,231,548, forward strand.
GAGCAGGTTTGAAACACTCTTTTTGTAGTATCTGGAAGTGGACATTTGGAGCGCTTTCAGGCCTATGTTGGAAAGGGAAATATCTTCCCGTAACAACTAGGCAGAAGCATTCTCAGAAACTTATTTGAGATGTGTGTACTCAACTAAGAGAATTGAACCACCGTTTTGAAGGAGCAGTTTTGAAACACTCTTTTTCTGGAATCTGCAAGAGGATATTTGCCTAGCCTTGAGGATTTCGTTGGAAACGGGATTGTCTTCAGATCAAATCTAGACAGAAGCATTCTCAGAAACTTCTTTGGGATGTTTGCATTCAAGTCACAGAGTAGAACATTCCCTTTGGTAGAGCAGGTTTGAAACACTCTTTTTTTAGTATATGGAAGTGGACATTTGGAGCGCTTTCAGGCCTACGTCGGAAAAGGAAATATCTTCCCATAACAACTAGACAGAAGCATTCTCAGAAACTAGTTTCTGATGTGTGTCCTCAACTAACACAGTTGAACATTTCTTTAGACAGAACAGTTTTGAAACTCTCTTTTTGTGGAATCTGCAAGTGGCTATTTGGCTAGATTTGAGGATTTCGTTGGAAACGGGATTACATATAAAAAGCAGACAGCAGCATTCTCAGAAAGTTCTTTGTGATGATTGCATTCAAGTCACAGAATTGAACATTCCCTTTCACAGAGCAGGTTTGAAACACTCTTTTTATAGTGTGTGTAAGTGGACATTTGGAACACTTTCCGGCCTAAGGTGAAAAAGGAAATATCTTCCCATAAAAACTAGACAGAAGCATCCTCAGAAACTTACTCGTGATGTGTGTCCTCAACTAAAGGAGTAGAACCTTTCTATTCATAGAGAAGTTTTGAAACGCTCTTTTTGTGGAATCTCCAAGTGGATATTTGGCTAGTTTTGAGGATTTCGTTGGAAGCGGGAATTCATACAAATTGCAGACTGCAGCGTTCTGAGAAACATCTTTGTGATGTTTGTATTCAGGACACAGAGTTGAACATTCCCTATCATAGAGCAGGTTTGAATCACTCCTTTTGTAGTATCTGGAAGTGGACATTTGGAGCGCTTTCAGGCCTATGTTGGAAAAGGAAATATCTTCCCATAACAACTAGACAGAAGCATTCTCAGAAACTTATTTGAGATGTGTGTACTCAACTAAGAGAATTGAACCACCGTTTTGAAGGAGCAGTTTTGAAACTCTCTTTTTCTGGAATCTGCAAGTGGATATTTGGCTAGCTTTGGGGATTTCGCTGGAAGCGGGAATACATATAAAAAGCACACAGCAGCGTTCTGAGAAAACTGCTTTCTGATGTTTGCATTCAAGTCAAAAGTTGAACACTCCCTTTCATAGTGCAGTCCTGAAACACTCCTTTTGTAGTATCTGGAACTGGACTTTTGGAGCGCTTTCAGGGCTAAGGTGAAAAAGGAAATATCTTCCCATAAAAACTGGACAGAAGCATTCTCAGAAACTTGTTTATGCTGTATCTACTCAACTAACAAAGTTGAACCTTTCTTTTGATAGAGCAGTTTTGAAATGGTCTTTTTGTGGAATCTGCAAGTGGATATTTGGCTAGTTTTGAGGATTTCGTTGGAAGCGGGAATTCATACAAATTGCAGACTGCAGCGTTCTGAGAAACATCTTTGTGATGTTTGTATTCAGGACACAGAGTTGAACATTCCCTATCATAGAGCAGGTTTGAATCACTCCTTTTGTAGTATCTGGAAGTGGACATTTGGAGCGCTTTCAGGCCTATGTTGGAAAAGGAAATATCTTCCCATAACAACTAGACAGAAGCATTCTCAGAAACTTATTTGAGATGTGTGTACTCAACTAAGAGAATTGAACCACCGTTTTGAAGGAGCAGTTTTGAAACACTCTTTTTCTGGAATCTGCAAGTGGATATTTGGCTAGCTTTGGGGATTTCGCTGGAAGCGGGAATACATATAAAAAGCACACAGCAGCATTCTCAGAAACTTATTTGAGATGTGTGTACTCAACTAAGAGAATTGAACCACCGTTTTGAAGGAGCAGTTTTGAAACTCTCTTTTTCTGGAATCTGCAAGTGGATATTTGGCTAGCTTTGGGGATTTCGCTGGAAGCGGGAATACATATAAAAAGCACACAGCAGCGTTCTGAGAAACTGCTTTCTGATGTTTGCATTCAAGTCAAAAGTTGAACACTCCCTTTCATAGAGCAGTCCTGAAACACCCCTTTTGTAGTATCTGGAACTGGACTTTTGGAGCGATTTCAGGGCTAAGGTGAAAAAGGAAATATCTTCCCATAAAAACTGGACAGAAGCATTCTCAGAAACTTGGTTATGCTGTATCTACTCAACTAACAAAGTTGAACCTTTCTTTTGATAGAGCAGTTTTGAAATGGTCTTTTTGTGGAATCTGCAAGTGGATATTTGGCTAGTTTTGAGGATTTCGTTGGAAGCGGGAATTCATACAAATTGCAGACTGCAGCGTTCTGAGAAACATCTTTGTGATGTTTGTATTCAGGACACAGATTTGAACATTCCCTATCATAGAGCAGGTTTGAATCACTCCTTTTGTAGTATCTGGAAGTGGACATTTGGAGCGCTTTCAGGCCTATGTTGGAAAAGGAAATATCTTCCCGTAACAACTATGCAGAAAGCATTCTCAGAAACTTATTTGAGATGTGTGTACTCAACTAAGAGAATTGAACCACCGTTTTGAAGGAGCAGTTTTGAAACACTCTTTTTCTGGAATCTGCAAGTGGATATTTGGCTAGCTTTGGGGATTTCGCTGGAAGCGGGAATACATATAAAAAGCACACAGCAGCATTCTCAGAAACTTATTTGAGATGTGTGTACTCAACTAAGAGAATTGAACCACCGTTTTGAAGGAGCAGTTTTGAAACACTCTTTTTCTGGAATCTGCAAGTGGATATTTGGCTAGCTTTGGGGATTTCGCTGGAAGCGGGAATACATATAAAAAGCACACAGCAGCGTTCTGAGAAACTGCTTTCTGATGTTTGCATTCAAGTCAAAAGTTGAACACTCCCTTTCATAGAGCAGTCCTGAAACACTCCTTTTGTAGTATCTGGAACTGGACTTTTGGAGCGCTTTCAGGGCTAAGGTGAAAAAGGAAATATCTTCCCATAAAAACTGGACAGAAGCATTCTCAGAAACTTGTTTATGCTGTATCTACTCAACTAACAAAGTTGAACCTTTCTTTTGATAGAGCAGTTTTGAAATGGTCTTTTTGTGGAATCTGCAAGTGGATATTTGGCTAGTTTTGAGGATTTCGTTGGAAGCGGGAATTCATACAAATTGCAGACTGCAGCGTTCTGAGAAACATCTTTGTGATGTTTGTATTCAGGACAGAGAGTTGAACATTCCCTATCATAGAGCAGGTTGGAATCACTCCTTTTGTAGTATCTGGAAGTGGACATTTGGAGCGCTTTCAGGCCTATGTTGAAAAAGGAAATATCTTCCCATAACAACTAGACACAAGCATTCTCAGAAACTTGTTTGTGATGTGTGCCCTCTACTGACAGAGTTGAACCTTTCTTTTCATAGAGCAGTTTTGAAACACTCTTTTTGTAGAATCTGCAAGAGGATATTTGCATAGCTTTGAGGATTTCGTGGGAAACGGGATTGTCTTCAGGTAAAATCTAGACAGAAGCATTCTCAGAAACTTCTTTGGGATGTTTGCATTCAAGTCACAGAGTAGAACATTCCCTTTGGTAGAGCAGGTTTGAAACACTCTTTTTGTAGTATCTGGAAGTGGACATTTGGAGCGCTTTCAGGCCTATGTTGGAAAGGGAAATATCTTCCCGTAACAACTAGGCAGAAGCATTCTCAGAAACTTATTTGAGATGTGTGTACTCAACTAAGAGAATTGAACCACCGTTTTGAAGGAGCAGTTTTGAAACACTCTTTTTCTGGAATCTGCAAGAGTATATTTGCCTAGCCTTGAGGATTTCGTTGGAAACGGGATTGTCTTCAGAGAAAATCTAGACAGAAGCATTCTCAGAAACTTCTTTGGGATGTTTGCATTCAAGTCACAGAGTAGAACATTCCCTTTGGTAGAGCAGGTTTGAAACACTCTTTTTTTAGTATATGGAAGTGGACATTTGGAGCGCTTTCAGGCCTACGTTGGAAAAGGAAATATCTTCCCATAACAACTAGACAGAAGCATTCTCAGAAACTAGTTTCTGATGTGTGTCCTCAACTAACACAGTTGAACATTTCTTTAGACAGAACAGTTTTGAAACACTCTTTTTGTGGAATCTGCAAGTGGCTATTTGGCTAGATTTGAGGATTTCGTTGGAAACGGGATTACATATAAAAAGCAGTCAGCAGCATTCTCAGAAAGTTCTTTGTGATGATTGCATTCAAGTCACAGAATTGAACATTCCCTTTCACAGAGCAGGTTTGAAACACTCTTTTTGTAGTGTGTGTAAGTGGACATTTGGAGCGCTTTCCGGCCTAAGGTGAAAAAGGACATATCTTCCCATAAAAACTAGACAGAAGCATTCTCAGAAACTTACTCGTGATGTGTGTCCTCAACTAAAGGAGTAGAACCTTTCTTTTCATAGAGAAGTTTTGAAACGCTCTTTTTGTGGAATCTGCAAGTGGATATTTGGCTAGTTTGGAGGATTTCGTTGGAAGCGGGAATTCATACAAATTGCAGACTGCAGCGTTCTGAGAAACATCTTTGTGATGTTTGTATTCAGGACACAGAGTTGAACATTCCCTATCATAGAGCAGGTTGGAATCACTCCTTTTGTAGTATCTGGAAGTGGACATTTGGAGCGCTTTCAGGCCTATGTTGGAAAAGGAAATATCTTCCCATAACAACTAGACAGAAGCATTCTCAGAAACTTATTTGAGATGTGTGTACTCAACTAAGAGAATTGAACCACCGTTTTGAAGGAGCAGTTTTGAAACTCTCTTTTTCTGGAATCTGCAAGTGGATATTTGGCTAGCTTTGGGGATTTCGCTGGAAGCGGGAATACATATAAAAAGCACACAGCAGCGTTCTGAGAAACTGCTTTCTGATGTTTGCATTCAAGTCAAAAGTTGAACACTCCCTTTCATAGAGCAGTCTTGAAACACCCCTTTTGTAGTATCTGGAACTGGACTTTTGGAGCGATTTCAGGGCTAAGGTGAAAAAGGAAATATCTTCCCATAAAAACTGGACAGAAGCATTCTCAGAAACTTGTTTATGCTGTATCTACTCAACTAACAAAGTTGAACCTTTCTTTTGATAGAGCAGTTTTGAAATGGTCTTTTTGTGGAATCTGCAAGTGGATATTTGGCTAGTTTTGAGGATTTCGTTGGAAGCGGGAATTCATACAAATTGCAGACTGCAGCGTTCTGAGAAACATCTTTGTGATGTTTGTATTCAGGACACAGAGTTGAACATTCCCTATCATAGAGCAGGTTGGAATCACTCCTTTTGTAGTATCTGGAAGTGGACATTTGGAGCGCTTTCAGGCCTATTTTGGAAAGGGAAATATCTTCCCGTAACAACTATGCAGAAGCATTCTCAGAAACTTGTTTGTGATGTGTGCCCTCTACTGACAGAGTTGAACCTTTCTTTTCATAGAGCAGTTTTGAAACACTCTTTTTGTAGAATCTGCAAGAGGATATTTGCATAGCTTTGAGGATTTCGTGGGAAACGGGATTGTCTTCAGGTAAAATCTAGACAGAAGCATTCTCAGAAACTTCTTTGGGATGTTTGCATTCAAGTCACAGAGTAGAACATTCCCTTTGGTAGAGCAGGTTTGAAACACTCTTTTTGTAGTATCTGGAAGTGGACATTTGGAGCGCTTTCAGGCCTATGTTGGAAAGGGAAATATCTTCCCGTAACAACTAGGCAGAAGCATTCTCAGAAACTTACTTGAGATGTGTGTACTCAACTAAGAGAATTGAACCACCGTTTTGAAGGAGCAGTTTTGAAACACTCTTTTTCTGGAATCTGCAAGAGTATATTTTCCTAGCCTTGAGGATTTCGTTGGAAACGGGATTGTCTTCAGATAAAATCTAGACAGAAGCATTCTCAGAAACTTCTTTGGGATGCTTGCATTCAAGTCACAGAGTAGAACATTCCCTTTGGTAGAGCAGGTTTGAAACACTCTTTTTTTAGTATCTGGAAGTGGACATTTGGAGCGCTTTCAGGCCTACGTTGGAAAAGGAAATATCTTCCCATAACAACTAGACAGAAGCATTCTCAGAAACTAGTTTCTGATGTGTGTCCTCAACTAACACAGTTGAACATTTCTTTAGACAGAACAGTTTTGAAACTCTCTTTTTGTGGAATCTGCAAGTGGCTATTTGGCTAGATTTGAGGATTTCGTTGGAAACGGGATTACATATAAAAAGCAGACAGCAGCATTCTCAGAAAGTTCTTTGTGATGATTGCATTCAAGTCACAGAATTGAACATTCCCTTTCACAGAGCAGGTTTGAAACACTCTTTTTGTAGTGTGTGTAAGTGGACATTTGGAGCACTTACCGGCCTAAGGTGAAAAAGGAAATATCTTCCCATAAAAACTAGACAGAAGCATTCTCAGAAACTTACTCGTGATGTGTGTCCTCAACTAAAGGAGTAGAACCTTTCTTTTCATAGAGAAGTTTTGAAACGCTCTTTTTGTGGAATCTGCAAGTGGATATTTGGCTAGTTTTGAGGATTTCGTTGGAAGCGGGAATTCATACAAATTGCAGACTGCAGCGTTCTGAGAAACATCTTTGTGATGTTTGTATTCAGGACACAGAGTTGAACATTCCCTATCATAGAGCAGGTTGGAATCACTCCTTTTGTAGTATCTGGAAGTGGACATTTGGAGCGCTTTCAGGCCTATGTTGGAAAAGGAAATATCTTCCCATAACAAATAGACAGAAGCATTCTCAGAAACTTATTTGAGATGTGTGTACTCAACTAAGAGAATTGAACCACCGTTTTGAAGGAGCAGTTTTGAAACTCTCTTTTTCTGGAATCTGCAAGTGGATATTTGGCTAGCTTTGGGGATTTCGCTGGAAGCGGGAATACATATAAAAAGCACACAGCAGCGTTCTGAGAAACTGCTTTCTGATGTTTGCATTCAAGTCAAAAGTTGAACACTCCCTTTCATAGAGCAGTCCTGAAACACCCCTTTTGTAGTATCTGGAACTGGACTTTTGGAGCGATTTCAGGGCTAAGGTGAAAAAGGAAATATCTTCCCATAAAAACTGGACAGAAGCATTCTCAGAAACTTGGTTATGCTGTATCTACTCAACTAACAAAGTTGAACCTTTCTTTTGATAGAGCAGTTTTGAAATGGTCTTTTTGTGGAATCTGCAAGTGGATATTTGGCTAGTTTTGAGGATTTCGTTGGAAGCGGGAATTCATACAAATTGCAGACTGCAGCGTTCTGAGAAACATCTTTGTGATGTTTGTATTCAGGACACAGAGTTGAACATTCCCTATCATAGAGCAGGTTGGAATCACTCCTTTTGTAGTATCTGGAAGTGGACATTTGGAGCGCTTTCAGGCCTATGTTGGAAAGGGAAATATCTTCCCGTAACAGCTATGCAGAAGCATTCTCAGAAACTTGTTTGTGATGTGTGCCCTCTACTGACAGAGTTGAACCTTTCTTTTCATAGAGCAGTTTTGAAACACTCTTTTTGTAGAATCTGCAAGAGGATATTTGCATAGCTTTGAGGATTTCGTGGGAAACGGGATTGTCTTCAGGTAAAATCTAGACAGAAGCATTCTCAGAAACTTCTTTGGGATGTTTGCATTCAAGTCACAGAGTAGAACATTCCCTTTGGTAGAGCAGGTTTGAAACACTCTTTTTGTAGTATCTGGAAGTGGACATTTGGAGCGCTTTCAGGCCCATGTTGGAAAGGGAAATATCTTCCCGTAACAACTAGGCAGAAGCATTCTCAGAAACTTGTTTGAGATGTGTGCCCTCTACTGACAGAGTTGAACCTTTCTTTTCATAGAGCAGTTTTGAAACACTCTTTTTGTAGAATCTGCAAGAGGATATTTGCATAGCTTTCAGGATTTCGTTGGAAACGGGATTGTCTTCAGATAAAATCTAGACAGAAAGCATTCTCAGAAAACTTCTTTGGGATGTTTGCATTCAAGTCACAGAGTAGAACATTCCCTTTGGTAGAGCAGGTGTGAAACACTCTTTTTTTAGTATATGGAAGTGGACATTTGGAGCGCTTTCAGGCCTACGTTGGAAAAGGAAATATCTTCCCATAACAACTAGACAGAAGCATTCTCAGAAACTAGTTTCTGATGTGTGTCCTCAACTAACAGAGTTGAACATTTCTTTTGACAGAACAGTTTTGAAACACTTTTTTTTTGGAATCTGCAAGTGGATATTTGGCTAGATTTGAGGATTTCGTTGGAAACGGGATTACATATAAAAAGCAGACAGCAGCATTCTCAGAAAGTTCTTTGTGATGATTGCATTCAAGTCACAGAATTGAACATTCCCTTTCACAGAGCAGGTTTGAAACACTCTTTTTGTAGTGTGTGTAAGTGGACTTTTGGAGCGCTTTCCGGCCTAAGGTGAAAAAGGAAATATCTTCCCATAAAAACTAGACAGAAGCATTCTCAGAAACTTACTCGTGATGTGTGTCCTCAACTAAAGGAGTAGAACCTTTCTTTTCATAGAGAAGTTTTGAAACGCTCTTTTTGTGGAATCTGCAAGTGGATATTTGGCTAGTTTTGAGGATTTCGTTGGAAGCGGGAATTCATACAAATTGCAGACTGCAGCGTTCTGAGAAACATCTTTGTGATGTTTGTATTCAGGACACAGAGTTGAACATTCCCTATCATAGAGCAGGTTTGAATCACTCCTTTTGTAGTATCTGGAAGTGGACATTTGGAGCGCTTTCAGGCCTATGTTGGAAAAGGAAATATCTTCCCATAACAACTAGACAGAAGCATTCTCAGAAACTTATTTGAGATGTGTGTACTCAACTAAGAGAATTGAACCACCGTTTTGAAGGAGCAGTTTTGAAACACTCTTTTTCTGGAATCTGCAAGTGGATATTTGGCTAGCTTTGGGGATTTCGCTGGAAGCGGGAATACATATAAAAAGCACACAGCAGCGTTCTGAGAAACTGCTTTCTGATGTTTGCATTCAAGTCAAAAGTTGAACACTCCCTTTCATAGAGCAGTCCTGAAACACCCCTTTTGTAGTATCTGGAACTGGACTTTTGGAGCGATTTCAGGGCTAAGGTGAAAAAGGAAATATCTTCCCATAAAAACTGGACAGAAGCATTCTCAGAAACTTGTTTATGCTGTATCTACTCAACTAACAAAGTTGAACCTTTCTTTTGATAGAGCAGTTTTGAAATGCTCTTTTTGTGGAATCTGCAAGTGGATATTTGGCTAGTTTTGAGGATTTCGTTGGAAGCGGGAATTCATACAAATTGCAGACTGCAGCGTTCTGAGAAACATCTTTGTGATGTTTGTATTCAGGACAGAGAGTTGAACATTCCCTATCATAGAGCAGGTTGGAATCACTCCTTTTGTAGTATCTGGAAGTGGATATTTGGAGCGCTTTCAGGCCTATGTTGAAAAAGGAAATATCTTCCCATAACAACTAGACACAAGCATTCTCAGAAACTTGTTTGTGATGTGTGCCCTCTACTGACAGAGTTGAACCTTTCTTTTCATAGAGCAGTTTTGAAACACTCTTTTTGTAGAATCTGCAAGAGGATATTTACATAGCTTTGAGGATTTCGTGGGAAACGGGATTGTCTTCAGGTAAAATCTAGACAGAAGCATTCTCAGAAACTTCTTTGGGATGTTTGCATTCAAGTCACAGAGTAGAACATTCCCTTTGGTAGAGCAGGTTTGAAACACTCTTTTTGTAGTATCTGGAAGTGGACATTTGGAGCGCTTTCAGGCCCATGTTGGAAAGGGAAATATCTTCCCGTAACAACTAGGCAGAAGCATTCTCAGAAACTTATTTGAGATGTGTGTACTCAACTAAGAGAATTGAACCACCGTTTTGAAGGAGCAGTTTTGAAACACTCTTTTTCTGTAATCTGCAAGAGTATATTTGCCTAGCCTTGAGGATTTCGTTGGAAACGGGATTGTCTTCAGATAAAATCTAGACAGAAGCATTCTCAGAAACTTCTTTGGGATGTTTGCATTCAAGTCACAGAGTAGAACATTCCCTTTGGTAGAGCAGGTTTGAAACACTCTTTTTTTAGTATATGGAAGTGGACATTTGGAGCGCTTTCAGGCCTACGTTGGAAAAGGAAATATCTTCCCATAACAACTAGACAGAAGCATTCTCAGAAACTAGTTTCTGATGTGTGTCCTCAACTAACACAGTTGAACTTTTCTTTAGACAGAACAGTTTTGAAACACTCTTTTTGTGGAATCTGCAAGTGGATATTTGGCTAGATTTGAGGATTTCGTTGGAAACGGGATTACATATAAAAAGCAGACAGCAGCATTCTCAGAAACTTCTTTGTGATGATTGCATTCAAGTCACAGAATTGAACATTCCCTTTCACAGAGCAGGTTTGAAACACTCTTTTTGTAGTGTGTGTAAGTGGACATTTGGGACGCTTTTCGGCCTAAGGTGAACAAGGAAATATCTTCCCATAAAAACTAGACAGAAGCATTCTCAGAAACTTACTCGTGATGTGTGTCCTCAACTAAAGGAGTAGAACCTTTCTTTTCATAGAGAAGTTTTGAAACGCTCTTTTTGTGGACTCTGCAAGTGGATATTTGGCTAGTTTTGAGGATTTCGTTGGAAGCGGGAATTCATACAAATTGCAGACTGCAGCATTCTCAGAAACTTGTTTATGCTGTATCTACTCAACTAACAAAGTTGAACCTTTCTTTTGATAGAGCAGTTTTGAAATGCTCTTTTTGTGGAATCTGCAAGTGGATATTTGGCTAGTTTTGAGGATTTCGTTGGAAGCGGGAATTCATACAAATTGCAGACTGCAGCGTTCTGAGAAACATCTTTGTGATGTTTGTATTCAGGACAGAGAGTTGAACATTCCCTATCATAGAGCAGGTTGGAATCACTCCTTTTGTAGTATCTGGAAGTGGACATTTGGAGCGCTTTCAGGCCTATGTTGAAAAAGGAAATATCTTGCCATAACAACTAGACACAAGCATTCTCAGAAACTTGTTTGTGATGTGTGCCCTCTACTGACAGAGTTGAACCTTTCTTTTCATAGAGCAGTTTTGAAACACTCTTTTTGTAGAATCTGCAAGAGGATATTTGCATAGCTTTGAGGATTTCGTGGGAAACGGGATTGTCTTCAGGTAAAATCTAGACAGAAGCATTCTCAGAAACTTCTTTGGGATGTTTGCATTCAAGTCACAGAGTAGAACATTCCCTTTGGTAGAGCAGGTTTGAAACACTCTTTTTGTAGTATCTGGAAGTGGACATTTGGAGCGCTTTCAGGCCCATGTTGGAAAGGGAAATATCTTCCCGTAACAACTAGGCAGAGCATTCTCAGAAACTTATTTGAGATGTGTGTACTCAACTAAGAGAATTGAACCACCGTTTTGAAGGAGCAGTTTTGAAACACTCTTTTTCTGGAATCTGCAAGAGTATATTTGCCTAGCCTTGAGGATTTCGTTGGAAACGGGATTGTCTTCAGAGAAAATCTAGACAGAAGCATTCTCAGAAACTTCTTTGGGATGTTTGCATTCAAGTCACAGAGTAGAACATTCCCTTTGGTAGAGCAGGTTTGAAACACTCTTTTTTTAGTATATGGAAGTGGACATTTGGATCGCTTTCAGGCCTACGTTGGAAAAGGAAATATCTTCCCATAACAACTAGACAGAAGCATTCTCAGAAACTAGTTTCTGATGTGTGTCCTCAACTAACACAGTTGAACATTTCTTTAGACAGAACAGTTTTGAAACACTCTTTTTGTGGAATCTGCAAGTGGCTATTTGGCTAGATTTGAGGATTTCGTTGGAAACGGGATTACATATAAAAAGCAGACAGCAGCATTCTCAGAAAGTTCTTTGTGATGATTGCATTCAAGTCACAGAATTGAACATTCCCTTTCACAGAGCAGGTTTGAAACACTCTTTTTATAGTGTGTGTAAGTGGACATTTGGAACACTTTCCGGCCTAAGGTGAAAAAGGAAATATCTTCCCATAAAAACTAGACAGAAGCATTCTCAGAAACTTACTCGTGATGTGTGTCCTCAACTAAAGGAGTAGAACCTTTCTATTCATAGAGAAGTTTTGAAACGCTCTTTTTGTGGAATCTCCAAGTGGATATTTGGCTAGTTTTGAGGATTTCGTTGGAAGCGGGAATTCATACAAATTGCAGACTGCAGCGTTCTGAGAAACATCTTTGTGATGTTTGTATTCAGGACACAGAGATGAACATTCCCTATCATAGAGCAGGTTGGAATCACTCCTTTTGTAGTATCTGGAAGTGGACATTTGGAGCGCTTTCAGGCCCTATGTTGAAAAAGGAAATATCTTCCCATAACAACTAGACACAAGCATTCTCAGAAACTTGTTTGTGATGTGTGCCCTCTACTGACAGAGTTGAACCTTTCTTTTCATAGAGCAGTTTTGAAACACTCTTTTTGTAGAATCTGCAAGACGATATTTGCATAGCTTTGAGGATTTCGTGGGAAACCGGATTGTCTTCAGGTAAAATCTAGACAGAAGCATTCTCAGAAACTTCTTTGGGATGTTTGCATTCAAGTCACAGAGTAGAACATTCCCTTTGGTAGAGCAGGTTTGAAACACTCTTTTTGTAGTATCTGGAAGTGGACATTTGGAGCGCTTTCAGGCCCATGTTGGAAAGGGAAATATCTTCCCGTAACAACTAGGCAGAAGCATTCTCAGAAACTTATTTGAGATGTGTGTACTCAAGTAAGAGAACTGAACCACCGTTTTGAAGGAGCAGTTTTGAAACCCTCTTTTTCTGGAATCTGCAAGAGTATATTTGCCTAGCCTTGAGGATTTCGTTGGAAACGGGATTGTCTTCAGATAAAATCTAGACAGAAGCATTCTCAGAAACTTCTTTGGGATGTTTGCATTCAAGTCACAGAGTAGAACATTCCCTTTGGTAGAGCAGGTTTGAAACACTCTTTTTTTAGTATATGGAAGTGGACATTTGGAGCGCTTTCAGGCCTACGTTGGAAAAGGAAATATCTTCCCATAACAACTAGACAGAAGCATTCTCAGAAACTAGTTTCTGATGTGTGTCCTCAACTAACACAGTTGAACATTTCTTTAGACAGAACAGTTTTGAAACACTCTCTTTGTGGAATCTGCAAGTGGATATTTGGCTAGATTTGAGGATTTCGTTGGAAACGGGATTACACATAAAAAGCAGACAGCAGCATTCTCAGAAAGTTCTTTGTGATGATTGTATTCAAGTCACAGAATTGAACATTCCCTTTCACAGAGCAGGTTTGAAACACACTTTTTGTAGTATGTGTAAGTGGACATTTGGAGCGCTTTCCGGCCTAAGGTGAAAAAGGAAATATCTTCCCATAAAAACTAGACAGAAGCATTCTCAGAAACTTACTCGTGATGTGTGTCCTCAACTAAAGGAGTAGAACCTTTCTTTTCATAGAGAAGTTTTGAAACGCTCTTTTTGTGGAATCTGCAAGTGGATATTTGGCTAGTTTTGAGGATTTCGTTGGAAGCGGGAATTCATACAAATTGCAGACTGCAGCGTTCTGAGAAACATCTTTGTGATGTTTGTATTCAGGACACAGAGTTGAACATTCCCTATCATAGAGCAGGTTGGAATCACTCCTTTTGTAGTATCTGGAAGTGGACATTTGGAGCGCTTTCAGGCCTATGTTGGAAAAGGAAATATCTTCCCATAACAACTAGACAGAAGCATTCTCAGAAACTTATTTGAGATGTGTGTACTCAACTAAGAGAATTGAACCACCGTTTTGAAGGAGCAGTTTTGAAACTCTCTTTTTCTGGAATCTGCAAGTGGATATTTGGCTAGCTTTGGGGATTTCGCTGGAAGCGGGAATACATATAAAAAGCACACAGCAGCGTTCTGAGAAACTGCTTTCTGATGTTTGCATTCAAGTCAAAAGTTGAACACTCCCTTTCATAGAGCAGTCTTGAAACACCCCTTTTGTAGTATCTGGAACTGGACTTTTGGAGCGATTTCAGGGCTAAGGTGAAAAAGGAAATATCTTCCCATAAAAACTGGACAGAAGCATTCTCAGAAACTTGTTTATGCTGTATCTACTCAACTAACAAAGTTGAACCTTTCTTTTGATAGAGCAGTTTTGAAATGGTCTTTTTGTGGAATCTGCAAGTGGATATTTGGCTAGTTTTGAGGATTTCGTTGGAAGCGGGAATTCATACAAATTGCAGACTGCAGCGTTCTGAGAAACATCTTTGTGATGTTTGTATTCAGGACACAGAGTTGAACATTCCCTATCATAGAGCAGGTTGGAATCACTCCTTTTGTAGTATCTGGAAGTGGACATTTGGAGCGCTTTCAGGCCTATGTTAAAAAAGGAAATATCTTCCCATAACAACTAGACACAAGCATTCTCAGAAACTTGTTTGTGATGTGTGCCCTCTACTGACAGAGTTGAACCTTTCTTTTCATAGAGCAGTTTTGAAACACTCTTTTTGTAGAATCTGCAAGAGGATATTTGCATAGCTTTGAGGATTTCGTGGGAAACGGGATTGCCTTCAGGTAAAATCTAGACAGAAGCATTCTCAGAAACTTCTTTGGGATGTTTGCATTCAAGTCACAGAGTAGAACATTCCCTTTGGTAGAGCAGGTTTGAAACACTCTTTTTGTAGTATCTGGAAGTGGACATTTGGAGCGCTTTCAGGCCCATGTTGGAAAGGGAAATATCTTCCCGTAACAACTAGGCAGAAGCATTCTCAGAAACTTATTTGAGATGTGTGTACTCAACTAAGAGAATTGAACCACCGTTTTGAAGGAGCAGTTTTGAAACACTCTTTTTCTGGAATCTGCAAGAGTATATTTGCCTAGCCTTGAGGATTTCGTTGGAAACGGGATTGTCTTCAGAGAAAATCTAGACAGAAGCATTCTCAGAAACTTCTTTGGGATGTTTGCATTCAAGTCACAGAGTAGAATATTCCCTTTGGTAGAGCAGGTTTGAAACACTCTTTTTTTAGTATATGGAATTGGACATTTGGAGCGCTTTCAGGCCTACGTTGGAAAAGGAAATATCTTCCCATAACAACTAGACAGAAGCATTCTCAGAAACTAGTTTCTGATGTGTGTCCTCAACTAACACAGTTGAACTTTTCTATAGAAAGGACAGTTTTGAAACACTCTTTTTGTGGAATCTGCAAGTGGATATTTAGCTAGATTTGAGGATTTCGTTGGAAACGGGATTACATATAAAAAGCAGACAGCAGCATTCTCAGAAAGTTCTTTGTGATGATTGCATTCAAGTCACAGAATTGAACATTCCCTTTCACAGAGCAGGTTTGAAACACTCTTTTTGTAGTGTGTGTATTTGGACATTTGGAGCGCTTTCCGGCCTAAGGTGAAACAGGACATATCTTCCCATAAAAACTAGACAGAAGCATTCTCAGAAACTTACTCGTGATGTGTGTCCTCAACTAAAGGAGTAGAACCTTTCTTTTCATAGAGAAGTTTTGAAACGCTCTTTTTGTGGAATCTGCAAGTGGACATTTGGCTAGTTTTGAGGATTTCGTTGGAAGCGGGAATTCATACAAATTGCAGACTGCAGCGTTCTGAGAAACATCTTTGTGATGTTTGTATTCAGGACACAGAGATGAACATTCCCTATCATAGAGCAGGTTGGAATCACTCCTTTTGTAGTATCTGGAAGTGGACATTTGGAGCGCTTTCAGGCCTATGTTGAAAAAGGAAATATCTTCCCATAACAACTAGACACAAGCATTCTCAGAAACTTGTTTGTGATGTGTGCCCTCTACTGACAGAGTTGAACCTTTCTTTTCATAGAGCAGTTTTGAAACACTCTTTTTGTAGAATCTGCAAGAGGATATTTGCATAGCTTTGAGGATTTCGTGGGAAACGGGATTGTCTTCAGGTAAAATCTAGACAGAAGCATTCTCAGAAACTTCTTTGGGATGTTTGCATTCAAGTCACAGAGTAGAACATTCCCTTTGGTAGAGCAGGTTTGAAACACTCTTTTTGTAGTATCTGGAAGTGGACATTTGGAGCGCTTTCAGGCCCATGTTGGAAAGGGAAATATCTTCCCGTAACAACTAGGCAGAAGCATTCTCAGAAACTTATTTGAGATGTGTGTACTCAACTAAGAGAATTGAACCACCGTTTTGAAGGAGCAGTTTTGAAACCCTCTTTTTCTGGAATCTGCAAGAGTATATTTGCCTAGCCTTGAGGATTTCGTTGGAAACGGGATTGTCTTCAGATAAAATCTAGACAGAAGCATTCTCAGAAACTTCTTTGGGATGTTTGCATTCAAGTCACAGAGTAGAACATTCCCTTTGGTAGAGCAGGTTTGAAACACTCTTTTTTTAGTATATGGAAGTGGACATTTGGAGCGCTTTCAGGCCTACGTTGGAAAAGGAAATATCTTCCCATAACAACTAGACAGAAGCATTCTCAGAAACTAGTTTCTGATGTGTGTCCACAACTAACACAGTTGTACATTTCTTTAGACAGAACAGTTTTGAAACACTCTTTTTGTGGAATCTGCAAGTGGATATTGGGCTAGATTTGAGGATTTCGTTGGAAACGGGATTACATATAAATAGCAGTCAGCAGCATTCTCAGAAAGTTCTTTGTGATGATTGCATTCAAGTCACAGAATTGAACATTCCCTTTCACAGAGCAGGTTTGAAACACTCTTTTTGTAGTGTGTGTAAGTGGACATTTGGAGCGCTTTCCGGCCTAAGGTGAAAAAGGACATATCTTCCCATAAAAACTAGACAGAAGCATTCTCAGAAACTTACTCGTGATGTGTGTCCTCAACTAAAGGAGTAGAACCTTTCTTTTCATAGAGAAGTTTTGAAACGCTCTTTTTGTGGAATCTGCAAGTGGATATTTGGCTAGTTTGGAGGATTTCGCTGGAAGCGGGAATTCATACAAGATGCAGACTGCAGCGTTCTGAGAAACATCTTTGTGATGTTTGTATTCAGGACACAGAGTTGAACATTCCCTATCATAGAGCAGGTTTGAATCACTCCTTTTGTAGTATCTGGAAGTGGACATTTGGAGCGCTTTCAGGCCTATGTTGGAAAAGGAAATATCTTCCCATAACAACTAGACAGAAGCATTCTCAGAAACTTATTTGAGATGTGTGTACTCAACTAAGAGAATTGAACCACCGTTTTGAAGGAGCAGTTTTGAAACTCTCTTTTTCTGGAATCTGCAAGTGGATATTTGGCTAGCTTTGGGGATTTCGCTGGAAGCGGGAATACATATAAAAAGCACACAGCAGCGTTCTGAGAAACTGCTTTCTGATGTTTGCATTCAAGTCAAAAGTTGAACACTCCCTTTCATAGAGCAGTCTTGAAACACCCCTTTTGTAGTATCTGGAACTGGACTTTTGGAGCGATTTCAGGGCTAAGGTGAAAAAGGAAATATCTTCCCATAAAAACTGGACAGAAGCATTCTCAGAAACTTGTTTATGCTGTATCTACTCAACTAACAAAGTTGAACCTTTCTTTTGATAGAGCAGTTTTGAAATGGTCTTTTTGTGGAATCTGCAAGTGGATATTTGGCTAGTTTTGAGGATTTCGTTGGAAGCGGGAATTCATACAAATTGCAGACTGCAGCGTTCTGAGAAACATCTTTGTGATGTTTGTATTCAGGACAGAGAGTTGAACATTCCCTATCATAGAGCAGGTTGGAATCACTCCTTTTGTAGTATCTGGAAGTGGACATTTGGAGCGCTTTCAGGCCTATGTTGAAAAAGGAAATATCTTCCCATAACAACTAGACACAAGCATTCTCAGAAACTTGTTTGTGATGTGTGCCCTCTACTGACAGAGTTGAACCTTTCTTTTCATAGAGCAGTTTTGAAACACTCTTTTTGTAGAATCTGCAAGAGGATATTTGCATAGCTTTGAGGATTTCGTGGGAAACGGGATTGTCTTCAGGTAAAATCTAGACAGAAGCATTCTCAGAAACTTCTTTGGGATGTTTGCATTCAAGTCACAGAGTAGAACATTCCCTTTGGTAGAGCAGGTTTGAAACACTCTTTTTGTAGTATCTGGAAGTGGACATTTGGAGCGCTTTCAGGCCTATGTTGGAAAGGGAAATATCTTCCGGTAACAACTAGGCAGAAGCATTCTCAGAAACTTATTTGAGATGTGTGTACTCAACTAAGAGAATTGAACCACCGTTTTGAAGGAGCAGTTTTGAAACACTCTTTTTCTGGAATCTGCAAGAGTATATTTGCCTAGCCTTGAGGATTTCGTTGGAAACGGGATTGTCTTCAGAGAAAATCTAGACAGAAGCATTCTCAGAAACTTCTTTGGGATGTTTGCATTCAAGTCACAGAGTAGAACATTCCCTTTGGTAGAGCAGGTTTGAAACACTCTTTTTTTAGTATATGGAAGTGGACATTTGGAGCGCTTTCAGGCCTACGTTGGAAAAGGAAATATCTTCCCATAACAACTAGACAGAAGCATTCTCAGAAACTAGTTTCTGATGTGTGTCCTCAACTAACACAGTTGAACATTTCTTTAGACAGAACAGTTTTGAAACTCTCTTTTTGTGGAATCTGCAAGTGGCTATTTGGCTTGATTTGAGGATTTCGTTGGAAACGGGATTACATATAAAAAGCAGACAGCAGCATTCTCAGAAAGTTCTTTGTGATGATTGCATTCAAGTCACAGAAATTGAACATTCCCTTTCACAGAGCAGGTTTGAAACACTCTTTTTATAGTGTGTGTAAGTGGACATTTGGAGCACTTTCCGGCCTAAGGTGAAAAAGGAAATATCTTCCCATAAAAACTAGACAGAAGCATTCTCAGAAACTTACTCGTGATGTGTGTCCTCAACTAAAGGAGTAGAACCTTTCTTTTCATAGAGAAGTTTTGAAACGCTCTTTTTGTGGAATCTGCAAGTGGATATTTGGCTAGTTTTGAGGATTTCGTTGGAAGCGGGAATTCATACAAATTGCAGACTGCAGCGTTCTGAGAAACATCGTTGTGATGTTTGTATTCAGGACACAGAGTTGAACATTCCCTATCATAGAGCAGGTTGGAATCACTCCTTTTGTAGTATCTGGAAGTGGACATTTGGAGCGCTTTCAGGCCTATGTTGGAAAAGGAAATATCTTCCCATAACAACTAGACAGAAGCATTCTCAGAAACTTATTTGAGATGTGTGTACTCAACTAAGAGAATTGAACCACCGTTTTGAAGGAGCAGTTTTGAAACACTCTTTTTCTGGAATCTGCAAGTGGATATTTGGCTAGCTTTGGGTATTTCGCTGGAAGCGGGAATACATATAAAAAGCACACAGCAGCGTTCTGAGAAACTGCTTTCTGATGTTTGCATTCAAGTCAAAAGTTGAACACTCCCTTTCATAGAGCAGTCTTGAAACACCCCTTTTGTAGTATCTGGAACTGGACTTTTGGAGCGATTTCAGGGCTAAGGTGAAAAAGGAAATATCTTCCCATAAAAACTGGACAGAAGCATTCTCAGAAACTTGTTTATGCTGTATCTACTCAACTAACAAAGTTGAACCTTTCTTTTGATAGAGCAGTTTTGAAATGGTCTTTTTGTGGAATCTGCAAGTGGATATTTGGCTAGTTTTGAGGATTTCGTTGGAAGCGGGAATTCATACAAATTGCAGACTGCAGCGTTCTGAGAAACATCTTTGTGATGTTTGTATTCAGGACACAGAGTTGAACATTCCCTATCATAGAGCAGGTTGGAATCACTCCTTTTGTAGTATCTGGAAGTGGACATTTGGAGCGCTTTCAGGCCTATTTTGGAAAGGGAAATATCTTCCCGTAACAACTATGCAGAAGCATTCTCAGAAACTTGTTTGTGATGTGTGCCATCTACTGACAGAGTTGAACCTTTCTTTTCATAGAGCAGTTTTGAAACACTCTTTTTGTAGAATCTGCAAGAGGATATTTGCATAGCTTTGAGGATTTCGTGGGAAACGGGATTGTCTTCAGGTAAAATCTAGACAGAAGCATTCTGAGAAACTTCTTTGGGATGTTTGCATTCAAGTCACAGAGTAGAACATTCCCTTTGGTAGAGCAGGTTTGAAACACTCTTTTTGTATTATCTGGAAGTGGACATTTGGAGCGCTTTCAGGCCTATGTTGGAAAGGGAAATATCTTCCCGTAACAACTAGGCAGAAGCATTCTCAGAAACTTATTTGAGATGTGTGTACTCAACTAAGAGAATTGAACCACCGTTTTGAAGGAGCAGTTTTGAAACACTCTTTTTCTGGAATCTGCAAGAGTATATTTGCCTAGCCTTGAGGATTTCGTTGGAAACGGGATTGTCTTCAGAGAAAATCTAGACAGAAGCATTCTCAGAAACTTCTTTGGGATGTTTGCATTCAAGTCACAGAGTAGAACATTCCCTTTGGTAGAGCAGGTTTGAAACACTCTTTTTTTAGTATATGGAAGTGGACATTTGGAGCGCTTTCAGGCCTACGTTGGAAAAGGAAATATCTTCCCATAACAACTAGACAGAAGCATTCTCAGAAACTAGTTTCTGATGTGTGTCCTCAACTAACACAGTTGAACATTTCTTTAGACAGAACAGTTTTGAAACACTCTTTTTGTGGAATCTGCAAGTGGCTATTTGGCTAGATTTGAGGATTTCGTTGGAAACGGGATTACATATAAAAAGCAGCCAGCAGCATTCTCAGAAAGTTCTTTGTGATGATTGCATTCAAGTCACAGAATTGAACATTCCCTTTCACAGAGCAGGTTTGAAACACTCTTTTTGTAGTGTGTGTATTTGGACATTTGGAGCGCTTTCCGGCCTAAGGTGAAAAAGGACATATCTTCCCATAAAAACTAGACAGAAGCACTCTCAGAAACTTACTCGTGATGTGTGTCCTCAACTAAAGGAGTAGAACCTTTCTTTTCATAGAGAAGTTTTGAAACGCTCTTTTTGTGGAATCTGCAAGTGGATATTTGGCTAGTTTGGAGGATTTCGTTGGAAGCGGGAATTCATACAAATTGCAGACTGCAGCATTCTCAGAAACTTATTTGAGATGTGTCTACTCAACTAAGAGAATTGAACCACCGTTTTGAAGGAGCAGTTTTGAAACACTCTTTTTCTGGAATCTGCAAGTGGATATTTGGCTAGCTTTGGGGATTTCGCTGGAAGCGGGAATACATATAAAAAGCACACAGCAGCGTTCTGAGAAACTGCTTTCTGATGTTTGCATTCAAGTCAAAAGTTGAACACTCCCTTTCATAGTGCAGTCTGAAACACTCCTTTTGCAGTATCTGGAACTGGACTTTTGGAGCGCTTTCAGGGCTAAGGTGAAAAAGGAAATATCTTCCCATAAAAACTGGACAGAAGCATTCTCAGAAACTTGTTTATGCTGTATCTACTCAACTAACAAAGTTGAACCTTTCTTTTGATAGAGCAGTTTTGAAATGGTCTTTTTGTGGAATCTGCAAGTGGATATTTGGCTAGTTTGGAGGATTTCGTTGGAAGCGGGAATTCATACAAATTGCAGACTGCAGCGTTCTGAGAAACATCTTTGTGATGTTTGTATTCAGGACACAGAGTTGAACATTCCCTATCATAGAGCAGGTTGGAATCACTCCTTTTGTAGTATCTGGAAGTGGACATTTGGAGCGCTTTCAGGCCTATGTTGAAAAAGGAAATATCTTCCCATAACAACTAGACACAAAGCATTCTCAGAAACTTGTTGGTGATGTGTTTCCTCTACTGACAGAGTTGAACCTTTCTTTTCATAGAGCAGTTTCGAAACACTCTTTTTGTAGAATCTGCAAGAGGATATTTGCATAGCTCTGAGGATTTCGTGGGAAACGGGATTGTCTTCAGGTAAAATCTAGACAGAAGCATTCTCAGAAACTTCTTCGGGATGTTTGCATTCAAGTCACAGAGTAGAACATTCCCTTTGGTAGAGCAGGTTTGAAACACTCTTTTTGTCGTATCTGGAAGTGGACATTTGTTGCGCTTTCAGGTCTATGTTGGAAAGGGAAATATCTTTCCCGTAACAACTAGGCAGAAGCATTCTCAGAAACTTATTTGAGATGTGTGTACTCAACTAAGAGAATTGAACCACCGTTTTGAAGGAGCAGTTTGGAAACACTCTTTTTCTGGAATCTGCAAGAGGATATTTGCCTAGCTTTGAGGATTTCGTTGGAAAAGGGATTGTCTTCAGATCAAATCTAGACAGAAGCATTCTCAGAAACTTCTTTGGGATGTTTGCATTCAAGTCACAGAGTAGAACATTCCCTTTGGTAGAGCAGGTTTGAAACACTCTTTTTGTAGTATCTGGAAGTGGACATTTGGAGCGCTTTCAGGCCTACGTTGGAAAAGGAAATATCTTCCCATAACAACTAGACAGAAGCATTCTCAGAAACTAGTTTCTGATGTGTGTCCTCAACTAACACAGTTGAACTTTTCTTTAGACAGAACAGTTTTGAAACACTCTTTTTGTGGAATCTGCAAGTGGATATTGGGCTAGATTTGAGGATTTCGTTGGAAACGGGATTACATATAAAAAGCAGACAGCAGCATTCTCAGAAAGTTCTTTGTGATGATTGCATTCAAGTCACAGAATTGAACATTCCCTTTCACAGAGCAGGTTTGAAACACTCTTTTTGTAGTGTGTGTAAGTGGACATTTGGAGCGCTTTCCGGCCTAAGGTGAAAAAAGAAATATCTTCCCATAAAAACTAGACAGAAGCATTCTCAGAAACTTACTCGTGATGTGTGTCCTCAACTAAAGGAGTAGAACCTTTCTTTTCATAGAGAAGTTTTGAAACGCTCTTTTTGTGGAATCTGCAAGTGGATATTTGGCTAGTTTGGAGGATTTCGTTGGAAGCGGGAATTCATACAAATTGCAGACTGCAGCGTTCTGAGAAACATCTTTGTGATGTTTGTATTCAGGACACAGAGATGAACATTCCCTATCATAGAGCAGGTTGGAATCACTCCTTTTGTAGTATCTGGAAGTGGACATTTGGAGCGCTTTCAGGCCTATGTTGAAAAAGGAAATATCTTCCCATAACAACTAGACACAAGCATTCTCAGAAACTTATTTGAGATGTGTGTACTCAACTAAGAGAATTGAACCACCGTTTTGAAGGAGCAGTTTTGAAACACTCTTTTTCTGGAATCTGCAAGTGGATATTTGGCTAGCTTTGGGGATTTCGCTGGAAGCGGGAATACATATAAAAAGCACACAGCAGCGTTCTGAGAAACTGCTTTCTGATGTTTGCATTCAAGTCAAAAGTTGAACACTCCCTTTCATAGAGCAGTCCTGAAACACTCCTTTTGTAGTATCTGGAACTGGACTTTTGGAGCGCTTTCAGGGCTAAGGTGAAAAAGGAAATATCTTCCCATAAAAACTGGACAGAAGCATTCTCAGAAACTTGTTTATGCTGTATCTACTCAACTAACAAAGTTGAACCTTTCTTTTGATAGAGCAGTTTTGAAATGCTCTTTTTGTGGAATCTGCAAGTGGATATTTGGCTAGTTTTGAGGATTTCGTTGGAAGCGGGAATTCATACAAATTGCAGACTGCAGCGTTCTGAGAAACATCTTTGTGATGTTTGTATTCAGGACAGAGAGTTGAACATTCCCTATCATAGAGCAGGTTGGAATCACTCCTTTTGTAGTATCTGGAAGTGGACATTTGGAGCGCTTTCAGGCCTATGTTGAAAAAGGAAATATCTTCCCATAACAACTAGACACAAGCATTCTCAGAAACTTGTTTGTGATGTGTGCCCTCTACTGACACAGTTGAACCTTTCTTTTCATAGAGCAGTTTCGAAACACTCTTTTTGTAGAATCTGCAAGAGGATATTTGCATAGCTTTGAGGATTTCGTGGGAAACGGGATTGTCTTCAGGTAAAATCTAGACAGAAGCATTCTCAGAAACTTCTTTGGGATGTTTGCATTCAAGTCACAGAGTAGAACATTCCCTTTGGTAGAGCAGGTTTGAAACACTCTTTTTGTAGTATCTGGAAGTGGACATTTGGAGCGCTTTCAGGCCCATGTTGGAAAGGGAAATATCTTCCCGTAACAACTAGGCAGAAGCATTCTCAGAAACTTATTTGAGATGTGTGTACTCAACTAAGAGAATTGAACCACCGTTTTGAAGGAGCAGTTTTGAAACACTCTTTTTCTGGAATCTGCAAGAGTATATTTGCCTAGCCTTGAGGATTTCGTTGGAAACGGGATTGTCTTCAGAGAAAATCTAGACAGAAGCATTCTCAGAAACTTCTTTGGGATGTTTGCATTCAAGTCACAGAGTAGAACATTCCCTTTGGTAGAGCAGGTTTGAAACACTCTTTTTGTAGTATCTGGAAGTGGACATTTGGAGCGCTTTCAGGCCTACGTTGGAAAAGGAAATATCTTCCCATAACAACTAGGCAGAAGCATTCTCAGAAACTAGTTTCTGATGTGTGTCCTCAACTAACACAGTTGAACATTTCTTTAGACAGAACAGTTTTGAAACACTCTTTTTGTGGAATCTGCAAGTGGATATTTGGCTAGATTTGAGGATTTCGTTGGAAACGGGATTACATATAAAAAGCAGACAGCAGCATTCTCAGAAACTTCTTTGTGATGATTGCATTCAAGTCACAGAATTGAACATTCCCTTTCACAGAGCAGGTTTGAAACACTCTTTTTGTAGTGTGTGTAAGTGGACATTTGGAGCACTTTCCGGCCTAAGGTGAAAAAGGAAATATCTTCCCATAAAAACTAGACAGAAGCATTCTCAGAAACTTACTCGTGATGTGTGTCCTCAACTAAAGGAGTAGAACCTTTCTTTTCATAGAGAAGTTTTGAAACGCTCTTTTTGTGGAATCTGCAAGTGGATATTTGGCTAGTTTTGAGGATTTCGTTGGAAGCGGGAATTCATACAAATTGCAGACTGCAGCATTCTCAGAAACTTATTTGAGATGTGTGTACTCAACTAAGAGAATTGAACCACCGTTTTGAAGGAGCAGTTTTGAAACTCTCTTTTTCTGGAATCTGCAAGTGGATATTTGGCTAGCTTTGGGGATTTCGCTGGAAGCGGGAATACATATAAAAAGCACACAGCAGCGTTCTGAGAAACTGCTTTCTGATGTTTGCATTCAAGTCAAAAGTTGAACACTCCCTTTCATAGAGCAGTCTTGAAACACCCCTTTTGTAGTATCTGGAACTGGACTTTTGGAGCGATTTCAGGGCTAAGGTGAAAAAGGAAATATCTTCCCATAAAAACTGGACAGAAGCATTCTCAGAAACTTGTTTATGCTGTATCTACTCAACTAACAAAGTTGAACCTTTCTTTTGATAGAGCAGTTTTGAAATGGTCTTTTTGTGGAATCTGCAAGTGGATATTTGGCTAGTTTTGAGGATTTCGTTGGAAGCGGGAATTCATACAAATTGCAGACTGCAGCGTTCTGAGAAACATCTTTGTGATGTTTGTATTCAGGACACAGAGTTGAACATTCCCTATCATAGAGCAGGTTGGAATCACTCCTTTTGTAGTATCTGGAAGTGGACATTTGGAGCGCTTTCAGGCCTATGTTGAAAAAGGAAATATCTTCCCATAACAACTAGACACAAGCATTCTCAGAAACTTGTTTGTGATGTGTGCCCTCTACTGACACAGTTGAACCTTTCTTTTCATAGAGCAGTTTCGAAACACTCTTTTTGTAGAATCTGCAAGAGGATATTTGCATAGCTTTGAGGATTTCGTGGGAAACGGGATTGTCTTCAGGTAAAATCTAGACAGAAGCATTCTCAGAAACTTCTTTGGGATGTTTGCATTCAAGTCACAGAGTAGAACATTCCCTTTGGTAGAGCAGGTTTGAAACACTCTTTTTGTAGTATCTGGAAGTGGACATTTGGAGCGCTTTCAGGCCCATGTTGGAAAGGGAAATATCTTCCCGTAACAACTAGGCAGAAGCATTCTCAGAAACTTATTTGAGATGTGTGTACTCAACTAAGAGAATTGAACCACCGTTTTGAAGGAGCAGTTTTGAAACACTCTTTTTCTGGAATCTGCAAGAGGATATTTGCCTAGCCTTGAGGATTTCGTTGGAAACGGGATTGTCTTCAGATCAAATCTAGACAGAAGCATTCTCAGAAACTTCTTTGGGATGTTTGCATTCAAGTCATAGAGTAGAACATTCCCTTTGGTAGAGCAGGTTTGAAACACTCTTTTTTTAGTGTATGGAAGTGGACATTTTGATCGCTTTCAGGCCTACGTTGGAAAAGGAAATATCTTCCCATAACAACTAGACAGAAGCATTCTCAGAAACTAGTTTCTGATGTGTGTCCTCAAC